>NC_000013.11:113368090-113673020 GCF_000001405.40 Homo sapiens
AGAAAACCGCGTTTTGCCCAACTCTTGAGACCTCACCGGTCTGACACACTTGCAATCATCCTTTCAGAAACAGTACCAAGTCTAGATTTTTTAAAACGCTCTCAATTTATTTATTTATTGCTCCTGGCAACCACTCTTCTACTTTCTGCTTCTACGCATTGGAGATTTGCTTTTTTTTTTTTTTTTTTCTGGTTTGTGACAGGGTCTTTTTCTGTCACCCAGGCTGGAGTGCAGTGGTGTGAACTTGGCTCACTGCAGCCTGGAACTTCCGGGCTCAAGTGATCCTTCTACCTCAGCCTCCTGAGTAGCTAGGACCACAGGCATGTGCCACCACACCTGGCTAATTTTTTAGTTTTTGTAGAGATGGGGGTCTTGCTATGTTGCCTAGGTGGTGTCAAATTCCTGGGCTCAAGCAGTCCTCCTGCCCCGGCCTCCCGAAGCACTGGGGTTACCGGCATGAACCACTGTGCATGGCCCTGATTTGTTTTTTATTTGACAAAAGAGAAGAGTACTTATGGGTAAAATGATATGAAGTCTGGAGTTGGCTTTAAAAATACTCCAGCACGCAGGGTACAGTGGCTCACACCTGTAATCCCAGCACTTTGGGAAGCCGAGGTGGGAGGATCACTTGAGGTCAGGAGTTTGAGGCCAGCCTGGCCAACATGGTGAAACCCCTTCTCTACTGTAAACACAAAAATTAGCCGGGCGTGGTGGTGGGTGCCTGTAATCCCAGCTACTCGAGAGGCTGAGGCAGGAGGATCGAAAGTTCAGGAGGTGGAGGTTGCAGTGAACCCAGATCACACCACTGCACTCCAGCCTGGGCAACAGAGTGAGACTCTGTCTCAAAAAAAAAACAACAAAAACCTCCAGCAAAGAAAAAAAAAGCAGAGGGTAGATTAAAAATAAAAAAAAAGCAACAAGATGGAACTCTTTGAAGATGACTGACTGAGGAGATTTTTGTGTCTGTTTGATAATTTGCTTTAAACGGTGAGGAGGGATGCCCCCTTCTTCTGGGGCCTGCCCTGCTGCGTTGACCATGGCAGCGTCAACAAGCTCAGGCCATGGTGAGTCCTAGCTTCTGGGCCAGAGGCCACCCTCCTCTGGAGCTGGGGCTGCAGGACTTCGTGTGCGAAGCATCACCTGACTCCCCCGACCCACAGACCCTCCTGCCTGAAAGCAAGCAGGGGTGCATGCAGGGAGGTGGGGAGACAAGCGCCCAGTCTGCAGATCCAGCGGCGCAGGCCGGCTCTGGGCCGTCCCTTTGCGCCTCCCGCCTTCCCTTTGCCCTGTGTTGGAGGCCTGAGCCAGAGCGTGCGGACCTGATCTTGCTGGGACGAGGGTGATGAGCGGCTGTCCAGGAGAAGCGGGCTGTGGCCACGCCGCGTGGGGAAGGCCCAGACGTCGAGTGGGCCTGGGCAGAGTCGGCCCCGAGCTCAGCCGCACCGTCGCTAGGCGCCCCTCTGTCCGTGGGAGTGACGGAGGACACGTGACTCCTGGCTGTGCCCGCTAAGCCGTGTTCAGCAATCCTGGTGGTTTTTAATTTATTTTTATATATTTTTTGAGACGGAGTCTCGCTCTGTCGCCCAGGCTGGAGGGCAGTGGCGCGATCGGGTTCCTGCCATTCTCCTGCCTCAGCCTCCCGAGTAGCTGGGACTACAGGCGCCCGCCACCACGCCCGGCTAATTTTTTTGTATTTTTAGTAGAGACGGGGTTTCACCGTGTTAGCCAGGATGGTCTCGATCTCCTGACCTCATGATCCTCCCACCTCAGCCTCCCAAAGTGCCGGGATTACATGCGTGAGCCACTGCACCCGGCCTATAACCCTGGTGGTTTTATGGCCGTCAAAGGGCAGCAGGCTTGACCCAGCCCCTATTCAGGACCCTCCCAATCTCAGGGACCACTGCTATCAGCCTCTGGGAGGTTGCCAGTGCGGGAGGCCCACCTTAAGGATGGTCACCTCAGGGCCTCTCTTGTAGGGGTTCTGTCCGAGAAGGCCTCTGAAGAAGGAAAGCACGTTGAGGGGGATGGCAGGGCAAGGTGCAGGCTGCAGGCTCTCCTGGAGTGGGGCAGCTCCCGGCCACCCCGGGCTCCCTCAGGAAGCAAGAGGCTGACTCGGAGGCGGCTTTAAAGTCAGGCTCTTCCAGTTGCTTTGCCTCTTTCATTTTTTCAGAATTTTTTTTTTTTTTGAGACGGAGTCTCGCTGTCACCCAGGCTGGAGTGCAGTGGCGCGATCTCGGCTCACTGCAAGCTCTGCCTCCCGGGTTCAAGCGATTCTCCTGCCTCAGCCTCCCGAGCAGTTGGGACTACAGGCGCCCGCCACCACCCCCGGCTAATTTTTTTTGTATTTTTAGTAGAGACAGGGTTTCACCGTGTTAGCCAGGATGGTCTGGATCTCCTGACCTCGTGATCCGCCCGCCTCAGCCTCCCAAAGTGCTGGGATTACAGGCGTGAGCCACCGCGCCTGGCCCATTTTTTCAGATTTTTGAACATCGGGTATTTTGCTAGGCTCTGGGTATGTGGGGGCTTACAATTTGGTTTAGGAGAAAATTTTAAGAGTGCTACCCATAAGCAGGTGCTATTTTCATAGTAGATAACAGGAACATTTTTATGAAATGTTGCAATACAATATGGCATTGCATAAAAACCGCAATAAAGTTCTGTGAGAATGAGGCCGCTGGTGGCTCACACCTGTAATCCCAGCACTTTGGGTGGATGAGGTGGGTGGATCACATGAAGTCAGGAGTTCGAGACTAGCCTGGCCAACATGTTGAAACCCTGTCTCTACTAAAAATACAAAAATTAGCCAGGCGTGGTGGCGGGAGCCTGTAACCCCAGCTACTTGGGAGGCTGAGGCAGGAGAATTGCTTGAACCTGGGAGGTGGAGGTTGCAGTGAGGCGAGATCAGCCTGGGAGACAGAGCCAGACTCCATCTCCATCTCCAAAAAAAACCACAACAACAACAAAAAACTGCTTTGCGAGAATGAGAGACGGAGCAAATCGTCTCCGGGCCATCCAGGAAGCCTTCAGGAAGCGATGTTTGTTCGGAGCGGGCGGTCCCACCTGAGCCTGCTCTAGCCTGACTGCCAAGCCCTGAAGGGCCCAGTGTAGGGCCAGGGCAGGAAGCTTGGTGGGGGCTGTGGTTGCTCCCCACCCCCTTCCCCTCTTCTCCCTTCCCCAGTGGAGCCCGCACAGTGCAGCGCTGCACATGCCCCAGGGATGCTGTGGCGAGGGGCTGCCGGCCGGGCTGGGCTGGATGGTGGGAATTCATTCTCTCCCCTTCTTCAGGCCCAGGGCTGGCTCTTCCTGAGGCCCCTCCCTCCTCCTGAGGTCTCCCTCCCTCCTCCTGAGACCCCCTCCCTCCTCCTGAGACCCCCTCCCTCCTCCTGAGGCCCCTCCCTCCTCCTGAGACCCCCTCCCTCCTCCTGAGGCCCCCTCCCTCCTCCTGAGACCCCCTCCCTCCTCCTGAGGCCCCCTCCCTCCTCCTGAGACCCCCTCCCTCCTCCTGAGGCCCCCTCCCTCCTCCTGAGACCCCCTCCCTCCTCCTGAGGCCCCCTCCCTCCTCCTGAGACCCCCTCCCTCCTCCTGAGGCCCCCTCCCTCCTCCTGAGACCCCCTCCTTCCTCCTGAGGCCCCTCCCTCCTCCTGAGACCCCCTCCCTCCTCCTGAGACCCCCTCCCTCCTCCTGAGACCCCTCCCTCCTCCTGAGGCCCCTCCATCCTCCTGAGGCCCCTCCCTCCTCCTGAGGTCTCCCTCCCTCCTCCTGAGACCCCCTCCCTCCTCCTGAGGCCCCCTCCCTCCTCCTGAGGCCCCTCCCTCCTCCTGAGGTCCCCCTCCTTGGCTGGCAGTGTCTTCTCCCCATGTCCTCACTGTCATGCTCCGGTGTGCCTGCGCCCTAATCTCCTCCTCTTATGAGGACACCAGACAGGTTGGCTCAGGGACCACGGGAATGACCTCACTGTACCTTAAGGACATCCTTATTTCTTTTTATTTTTGTTTGTTTTATTTTTTATTTTTTATTTTTATTTATTTATTTATTTTTTTTGAGACGGAGTCTCGCTCTGTCGCCCAGGCTGGAGTGCAGTGGCGGGATCTCGGCTCACTGCAAGCTCCGCCTCCCGGGTTCAGGCCATTCTCCTGCCTCAGCCTCCCGAGTAGCTGGGACTACAGGCACCTGCCACCACGCCCGGCTAATTTTTGTATTTTTAGTAGAGACAGGGTTTCACCGTTTTAGCCGGGATGGTCTCGATCTCCTGACCTCGTGATCCGCCCGCCTCGGCCTCCCAAAGTGCTGGGATTACAGGCTTGAGCCACCACGCCCGGCCTTATTTTTTATTTTTTTTGAGACAGAGTCTTGTTCTGTTGCCCAAGCTGTTGTGCAGTGGCGCGATCTCAGCTCACTGCAAACTCCGCCTCCCGGGTTCAAGCAATTCTCCTGCCTCAGCCTCCTGAGTAGCTGGGATAACAGGCGCCCGCCACCACGCCCGGCTCATTTTTGTATTTTTAGTAGAGATGGGGTGTCACCATGTTGGTCAGGCTGGTCTCGAACTCCTGAACTCGTGATCCAGCCTCGGCCTCCCAAAGTGCTGGGATTACAGGCATGAGCCACCACGCCCAGCCTTCTTTTTATTTTTAAATTAGAGACAGGGTAAACTTAAACCTAACCATATAATTCATTTCATTAATGATCTAAGCACTCCAATTAAATAGCAAAGATTTTTAAACTGGATAGAAACTAAGACCAGCGTGTACACCACCATCTACCAGAAAGGCTTTTGCTGTTGTTGTTTCAGAGACAGGGTCTCGCTCTGTTGCCCAGGCTAGAGTGCAGTACCTGCTATATTTTCTGACTATCACTGATTCGGGGGTTCTGCGGAAATAGTGTTTATGAGCAGGGATTAAAGAAAGAGTGTGAAAACAGGTAGGAAGCCATCTCTCCCCACTGGAAATGCACACAGCACACATGTAGCTCTGAAATTGCCCACAGGGACAGCCAGGCGGGGTTATAGGAAAACAGTAAGAGTGATTTTGGAGCTGAGACAGTTCTCAGGGAGAAATGACCTGTGGACATACACTGCCTCCTAGGGTTCATGTCCAGTGACAGTGAGGAAGGCACCAGGCGCTGTGCTGGGCTGGAGCTCCCGGCAGGGCCAGGCTTCCAGCATCACTGAAGACTGTCACAGAAGGGATAAAACCGCTCACAAGCCACCCTGCAAGACAGCACTCCCTGGACGGCTTCCTCCCCAGAATTCTTGGAGATGGGGTTTCTTTACAAACCCAGAATGCTGCTCAGACCCCCTGACCCTGGGGTGGGTGCAGGAGGGCCCAGTGAGGCCTGAATCCTCCTGGCCCTCCCTGGCTCTTCTCCCTCTGAGATAGGGAGCGGGGGAGGGAGAAGAGACCCACAACCAGCTTGGCTGGGCGCGGTGGCTTATGCCTGAAATCCCAGCACTTTGGGAGGCCAAAGCAGGCGGATCACCTGAGATCAGGAGTTCAAGACCAGCCTGACCAACGTGGAGCAACCCTGTCTCTACTAAAAATACGAAATTAGCCTGACGTGGTGGCACATGCCTGTAATCCCAGCTACTCGGGAGGCTGAGGCAGGAGAACTCAGGAGGCAGAGGTTGCGTGAGCTGAGATCGCGCCATCGCGCTCCAGCCTGGGCAACAAGAGAGAAATTACATCTCAAAAAAAAAAAAGAAGAAGAAGAAGAAGCCACACTTTGCTTTGGCCGCATTCTTGGCTGGCCTCCACTCAGCCTTGGCAGCAAATGTTTGTCGCAGAGGAACCCTGGTGGGATTTGCTGTGGGACCCAGCAGATGAGATGTGGGTGCCCACCTGTGCTTCAGTCGCTCCTGTGTGAGGACGGGGCAGACCTGGAGCCGCATCCTCCAAGTTCATGTGCCACGTAAGAGAAGGTCGGGGTGGGGGGGGGCGGTGCTGGAAGCCCCTGGAGGGGACAGCACTGGAGTCCCAGGACGGCAGCTTCACACTCGTACAGGCGCCTTGTGGTCCCTTACCGGCTGTTTTCTCTTTGGCGCCAGGACTGACTGATTTAATCACACCATGGCGGATTGATCCCCGGAGAGATGAGGCTGGGGACTCTTGCCTGATGGCTGACCTGAGGATCTGACTCCTGGGCACTCCATGGGCATCTCCAGCTTGATACACACCCACCCGCAGGCACCCCAGAGCCACCGCCAGCGTCCCAGAAGGTCCAGGGAGGGGCCTGCTACCCCTGCAGCCCTCAGGCCTGAGCACAGAGCATCTCTGGGGGCTGTCTGTCTTCCTGCTGCCTCTCTGGACTGAATGTGGACTCTGGCAACAGCTCCGTCTTCCTCATCTCTGAGTCCCCAGTTCCCAGGACAGTTCCAGTTATTCATTGTGTGACAAATCGCCCCAGAGTTGTGGTTGGAACAAGAGCCCTCCTCTCTTTGTGCCCTTCCAGGGTTCCGGGTGGCCTGGGCACCTCCAGGTGGTCCTCAGGGTCTCGCCATCATGGTCACACCCCTGGGGCCAAGGGGTATCTGAGGGCTGGTCATGACCCACCTGGGGTCAGTGGTGGCTGTCAGCTGTCACTCAGCTGTGCCATCACTGGGTCACCCACCCACGCTTGTCTGCAACGCCTACACACTGCCTGGAGGCTGGGCTTGGAGAGCTGGTGTGCTAGATGGACAAGAGGAAACTGTGTCACCATGTTGCTTCTGCCAAGTCACAGCCACCCAGAGTCAGGAGCAGAAACACAGACCCCTCTCCTCCATAGAGGAGCCAGTCACAGCCTACGAGGAGTGGGGCTGCCATGAGCACTTTGGAAAATAGGACCTGCGACTCCTAAACACAGCAGGTGCTCACCCAGGGCCTGCTGGATTCACAGGCGAATGTGAGGAAAAGAAGAGCTGGGGTTTGTGTGATGTCATCCTCCATGACGTGCTCAGAAAGTTCTGATGCATCTGATGGGGACTGATGGGGACTCATGGGAACTGACAGAGACTGATGGGGCTGATGGGTCTGATGGGGATGATGGAGTCTGATGGGGACTAATGGGGTGTGATGGGGTCTGATGGGGTCTGATGGGGACTCATGGGGTCTGCTGGGGACTGATGGAGTCTGATGGGGACTGATGGGGACTAATGGGGTGCGATGGGGTCTGATGGGGACTCATGGGGTCTGCTGGGGACTGATGGAGTCTGATGGGGACTGATGGGGACTAATGGGGTGCGATGGGGTCTGATGGGGACTCATGGGGTCTGCTGGGGACTGATGGAGTCTGATGGGGACTGACAGGAACTAATGGGGTGTGATGGGGTCTGATGGGGACTCATGGGGTCTGCTGGGGACTGATGGAGTCTGATGGGGACTGACAGGAACTAATGGGGTGTGATGGGGTCTGATGGGGACTCATGGGGTCTGCTGGGGACTGATGGAGTCTGATGGGGACTGACAGGGACTAATGGGGTGTGATGGGGTCTGATGGGGACTCATGGGGTCTGCTGGGGACTGATGGAGTCTGATGGGGACTGACAGGAACTAATGGGGTGTGATGGGGTCTGATGGGGACTCATGGGGTCTGCTGGGGACTGATGGAGTCTGATGGGGACTGACAGGGACTAATGGGGTGTGATGGGGTCTGATGGGGACTCATGGGGTCTGCTGGGGACTGATGGAGTCTGATGGGGACTGACGGGGACTAATGGGGTGTGATGGAGTCTGGTGGGGACTGATGGGGTCTGTTGGGGTCTGATGGAGTCTGATGGGGACTGATGGGGTCTGATGGGGACTGACGGGGACTAATGGGGTGTGATGGGGTCTGATGGGGACTCATGGGGTCTGCTGGGGACTGATGGAATCTGATGGGGACTGACGGGGACTAATGGGGTGTGATGGAGTCTGGTGGGGACTGATGGGGTCTGTTGGGGTCTGATGGAGTCTGATGGGGACTGATGGGGTCTGATGGGGATGACGGGGTCTGGTGGTGACTGAAGGAGTCTGATGGGGACTCATGGGGACTCATGGGGTCTGCTGGGGACTGATGGAGTCTGATGGGTCTGATGGGGTCTGATGAGGGTGATGGGGTCTGATGGGGACTGATTGGGACTAATGGGGTGTGATGGCATCTGGTGGTGACTGATGGGGTCTGTTGGGGTCTGATGGAGTCTGATGGGGATGAAGGGGTCCGATGGGGACTAATGGGGTGTGATGGGGATGATCGGCACTGGTGGGCTGGCCCATGGGCTGCGGCCACATTTCCATGCTGAAGAGCCTGATGTGGTCTGATTTATTTTTTTAAAAAGTATTTCCCCAGTTATTCTGTAGCTTGCTGTCTGACAAGAGTGGAGGCAGGGGCCAGTGAGAAGGGTTAGAGAGGACAGTGGCCTGGAGGAGGAGCAGATGGAGAGGAGGGGTCGCCTCTGGATTCTTTGCTGAGGTGGGTGCAGCAGGAGCTGCTTCTGGGGTGGATTCGTCCAGATTTGTTAATTGCCTTCATTCTTCTCTACTTCATCTGCCTCAGGAAAGAAGGGAGTACGCATCTGGAAGGCTTAATTCAGACTATTTTTACTGTTGAAAAATAATGACATTGTCTAGGTTAGAATTTAGGAGCAGTAATATAAAGATTCGTGAGATGAAAGTTGTACGTCCAGAGAAACCTACTTACACCTGGAATAGCGTTACTGGATTTAGCAAATAAAAATGCAAATACAGGACACCCAGAGTGAGACATACTTTTACTAATATAGAGGAAGAAGTCAAAGCAAAACAAAACACTTCCTCTAATCTATTGCTTGAGGGACCTGGGAATTCCTTGGACCTGGGAATCAACGTGATCAGGCAGATTAACAAGAGAAAAAGACAATTTTAATTATGTAAGTATTCACAGTGGCTGGCCAAAAAAAAAAAAAAGTGGCCGAAGCAGGTGGCCAGAATCTTTCCCCTGATCCAGGAGAGAATTCACTGGGTCTGGTGCCTTCTTAAGTCTGAAAAGAAAGATTTGCAATCTATTGTCTCTGAAGCCTGATACCTGGAGGCTTCATCTGCATAATAAGAACCTTGGTCTCCACAAGCTCTTTTTTTTTTTTTTTTTTTTTGAGACAGAGTCTCGCTCTGTCGCCCCAGGCTGGAGTACAGTGGCTCAATCTCCGCTCGCTGCAAGCTCCACCTCCCGGGTTCACGCCATTCTCCTGCCTCAGCCTCCTCAGTAGCTGGGACTACAGGTGCCCGCCACCATGCCCGGCTAATTTTTTGTATTTTTAGTAGAGACGGGGTTTCACCGTGTTAGCCAGGATGGTCTCCATCTCCTGACCTCGTGATCCGCCTGCCTCGGCCTCCCAAAGTGCTGGGATTACAGGCGTGAGCCACCGCGCCCGGCCATGCTCTTATCTTAACCCAGACACACCTCTTTGTATTGATTCCAGGTCTTTTTTTTTTTTTTTTTTTTTTCTGAGATGGAGTCTCACTCTGTCGCCAGGCCGGAATGCAGTGGCGTGATCTCGGCTCACTGCAACCTCTGCCTCCTGGGTTCAAGCGATTCTCCTGCCTCAGCCTCCCGAGTAGCTGGGATTACAGGCGTGCACCACCAGGCCCAGCTAATTTTTGTATTTTTAGTAGAGACAGGGTTTCACCATGTTGGCCAGGCTGGTCTGGATTTCCTGACCTCGTGATCTGCCCCCCTCGGCCTCCCAAAGTGCTGGGATTACAGGTGTGAGCCACTGCGCCCGGCCAATTCCTGGCCTTTAGATAAACTCTTTCAAACGACTGACAATCTGAAAATCACCTATGACCTGAAGCCCACCCCCGCGTCCTTCAAGTTGTCCCGCCTTTCCAGACCGCAGTGTTCACCTTACATGTATTGAATGATGTCTCCTGTCTCCCTAAAATGTAGAAAACCACGCTGTAGCCTGTGTCCTCAGGATCTCCTGAGGCTGCGTCAGGGTTCAGGCTAGACAACGGATAAGGGGGTTTGGGCTTTTGGAGGGCAGGTAAGAAACGGGAAGGTGACCAGGAAGTGTGTAGTGAACAAGGTTGTTTAGTAAATGTGTTACGTAGGCCAGGCACAGTAGCTCACACCTGTGATCTGTGAAAGGAAATTAAATCTTGAGACCCCAAACTCATTTAGCCAAAGGAAAAAGTCAAGTTGGGGACTGGATCATGCAAACTTGCCTCCCCTTTTGGTTTCTAAATAAGATGGCTGCAAGATGAGAAGCTCCATACCTCCCTAATATTTTGCCCACAAGGAAATTTTTACTGAGCTCCGAGATCTTTACTCTAAGGTGTTTCCATAAAGATTTCACTATGGCAATGTAAACTGATTCCTCATCTTTACAGGTGCAGTCACCCATGGCCCATCAGACACAAATGCATACCCAATTGTTTCCCTGCCCCATTTTGTCTGTGTGATCTTATGTAAAAATACAGATTCACTGAGGCAGACAGAGGCATGAATGACTCTTTTCCCCTACCCTCTTCTTTTTTTTTTTTGAGACAGTCCCGCTCTGTCACGTAGGCTGGACAGCAGTGGCACGATCTCTGCTCACTGCAAGCTCTGCCTCCCAGGTTCACGCCATTCTACTGCCTCAGCCTCCCGAGTAGCTGGGACTACAGGTGCCCACCACCACGCCTGGCTAATTTTTTGTATTTTTAATAGAGACGGGGTTTTGCTGTGTTAGCCAGGATGGTCTCGATCTCCTGACCTTGTGATCTGCCCACCTCGGCCTCCCAAAGTGCTGGGATTACAGGCATGAGAGCCACCGCGTCCGGCAAACTTGTGCTGATTCATCAGGGACCACCCCAAACAGAATGATGGCGTTTTGCTCCTACCTGGGCGTGTTTGTGTGTGCCCAAGTCTGTGTTTGTGTCGGAAAGCTGATGTCAAGGTCAAACACATGATCAATGTTCCAAGCAGGGCACAGGCAGGGCCTGGCTGGTCAGCGCCATTTCTGTCAATCAATGTTCCAAGCAGGGCACGGGCAGGGCCTGGCTGGTCAGCGCCATTTCTGTCAATCAATGTTCCAAGCAGGGCACAGGCAGGGCCTGGCTGGTCAGTGCCATTTCTGTCATCACAGTTTCCATCTTCCACTGGAGTTTTCATGTCAAGAGTTCCTCAGCGTTTCTCACTATGAAAATGTCCCAACCCTGCAATTCCATGGTGACGTGCAGGCCAGTGGACGTCTCAGGGGACCCCACGTGCGCTTCCAGGAAGAAGTTGGAGCAGTTTTGGCTCTATCCTCCAGCAGCCGACTCTAGGCTTCTGAGAATTTCAGCTTCTTTGGCTGTCGGGGGCATTTTCTTTCTCTTCCATTTGGCTTTTTCTTAGGAGGCAAAACAGTTTTAGGCCAGGTACGGTGGCTCACGCCTGTAATCCCAGCACTTTGGGAGGCAGAGGCGGGCGGATCACCTGAGGTCAGGAGTTAAAGACCAGCCTGGCCAACATGGTGAAACCCCATCTCTACTAAAAATACAAACATTAGCCAGGCGTGGTGGTGGGTGCCTATAATTCCAGCTACTCGGGAGGCTGAGGCCAGAGAATCACTTGAACCTGGGAGGCAGAGGTTGCAGTGAGCCGAGATCGTGCCACTGCACTCCAGCCTGGGAGACAAGAGCGGAACTCCGTCTCAAAAAAAAAAAAAAAAAAAAAAGGGACGCAAAATAGCTTCTTCTGTACAATCTCTGGGACAAATATGTCAAAAAAAAGTTCCACCAAACAAGGTGAGAAGCTTGATTGTTTGTTTTGGAATAATCTACAAGCATCCTGAGATTTTCTCCAATCCCTCGGTGGCAGGGGATCAGCAAAAACTGAAGTTTGTGGTGCAAAAGTGTGTAAAGCTAGTTACACGCACATTCCCAGGTCCTTCAGGTAGGGCCAAAGCAAATTGTTCAAAATGACCCCAAGGAGCCAAATCAATTAAAAATATGCAATTATTATTTGTACATTAAAAATAAAATTTAATAAAATAATATAAGTATGAAAAACTATGCTCATAGCCACAGATTTGTTTGCGGGAGCCACTTAGGAAAGAATAATTAAACAAGCGGCCCAGAGAGGCGTAAGTCCAGGAGGAGGGTGTTTATTTTTAGAGGCCGTTGACATTTATCAACAACCAGCTCCCGGCAGGTAGGAGCCGCCCCTCACCGCCTGGAGCTGCAGCCTTCAGCTGTGGAGGGAGTGGATGCTGGCTGACCCCTCCCTGCCTCCTGCGGTGGTTCCCCTTCACTCAGCAGGCGTCTCCTCCCTGTCCGTCAGAGATAGGCCCGCATGCTGTCCCCTTCCCCTTTTTAACGTTTGGCAATATCTATATAACATAAAATTGACCATCTTAACCATTTGAAGCTTGCAGTTCAGCGGCATGAAGTGCAGCCAACACCACTGTCCTCTCCAGAACTTTCCATCCTCCCGAAGTGAACTCTGGACCCACTGATCACACACTCCCCACTCCCTTCCCCAGCACCTAGCACCCACCTTCTCATTTATGTCTCAGTGGATTTCACTCCTCTGAGGACCGTGCTAAGGAAAGAAAAGAACTTGCATCTGAGGAAGGCAAATCCTTTCCAATGATCAGGCCCAGAGAAACATTAAAATAGGACTGGGTTAGAGGCGTTTGAACCAGAGCAACACCATCCTGAATGGGAGTTGGGTAAAAGGCTGAGACCTTCTGGACTGCATTCCCAGGAGGTTAGACATTCCAAGTCACAGGATGACATAGGAGGTCAGCACAAGATACAGGTCATAAAGACAGGTTGCAGTAAAGAAGCCGGCTAAACCCTGGCCGGGCGTGGTGGCTCACACCTGTAATCCCAGCACTTTGGGAGGCTGAGGCGGGCGGATCACGAGGTCAGGAGATCGAGACCATCCTGGCTAACACAGTGAAACCCTGTCTCTACTAAAAATACAAAAAAATTAGCCAGGCGTGGTGGCGGGCGCCTGTAGTCCCAGCTACTCGGGAGGCAGACGCAGGAGAATTGCTTGAACCCGGGAGGCGGAGCTTGCAGTGAGCCGAGATCGCGCCACTGTGCCACTGCACTCCAGCCTGGGTGACAGAGCGAAACTCTGTCTCAGAAAAAAAAAAAAAAAAAAAAAAAAAGAAGCTGGCCAAACCCACCAAAACCAAACTGGCGACAAGAGTGACCTCTGGTGACCACAAACCTGACCTCTGGTGACCACAAACCTGACCTCTGATGGTCGGCACTGCTACACTCCCACCAGCTCCGTGACAGTTTACAGATGCCATGGCAACGTCAGGAAGTTGCCCTATATGGTCTAAAAAGGGAGCATGAATAATCCACCCCTTGTTTAGCATATCATCAAGACATCACCATAAAAATGGGCAACCAACCAGCAGCCCTCAGCTGCTCTGCCTATGGAGCAGCCATTCTTTATTTCTTTACTTTCTTTTTTTTTTTTTGAGACAGAGTCTCACTCTGTCACCCAGACAAGAGTGCAGTGGCTCAATCTCAGCTCACTGCAACCTCCACCTCCCAGGTTGAAGCGATTCTCCTGCCTCAGCTTCCCAAGTAGCTGGGACTACAAGCACCCACGACCATGCCCGGCTAATTTTTGTATTTTTAGTACAGATGGGGTTTCACCATATTGGCCAGGCTGGTCTTAAACTCCTGACCTTGTGATCCGCCCACTTCAGCCTCCCAAAGTGCTGGGATTGCAGGCGTGAGCCACCGCGCCCTCCCCTTCGTGTCATTCTTATTTATGCCTCTGCATCCTCATGTTTTAGCTCCCACTTATGAGTGAGAACGTATCATGTTTGGTTTTCCATTCCTGAGTTACTTCACTTAGAATAAGAGTCTCCAATCTCATCCAGGTTGCTGTGAATGCCATTAATTCATTTCTTTCTTTCTTTCTTTCTTTTTTTGAGATGGAGTCTCGCTCTGTCACCAGGCTGGAGTGCAATGGCTCAATCTTGGCTTGCTGCAACCTCTGCCTCCCGGGTTCAAGCGATTCTCCTGCCTCAGCCTCCCAAGTAGCTGGGATTACGGGCACGCACCACCACTCCCAGCTAATTTTTGTATGTTTAGTAGTGACGGGGTTTTCCCATGTTGGCCGGGATGGTCTGGATCTCCTGACCTCGTGATCTGCCCGCCTTGGCCTCCCAAAGTGCTGGGATTACAGGCTTGAGCCACCGTGCCCGGCCAATTCATTTCTTTTTATAGCTGAGTAGTATTCCATCATATATATATATATCACAGTTTCTTTATCCACTCGTTAGTTGATGGGCACATTTGGGCTGGTTCCACATTTTGCAATTGCAAATTGTGCTGCTCTAAACAGGCATGTGCAAGTATCTTTTTTGTATAATGACTTCTTTTCCTCTGGGTAGATACCCAGTAGTCGGATTGCTGGACCAAACAGTTGTTCTACTTTTAGTTCTTTAAGGCATCTCCACACTGTTTTCCATAATGGTTGTGCTAGTTTAGATTCCCACCAGCAGTATAGAAGTGTTCCCTGTTCACCGCATCCATACCAACTTCTATCACTTTTTGATGTTTTGATTATGGCCATTCTTGCAGGAGTAAGGTGGTATTGCATTGTGGTTTTGATTTGCATTCCCCTGATCATTAGTGATGTTGAGCATTTTTCCATATATTTGTTGGCCATTTGTATATCTTCTTTTGAGACTTGTCTATTCATGTCCTTAGCCCACTTTTTGATGGAATTGTTTTTTTTTTTTCTTGCTAATTTGTTTGAGTTTGTTGTAGATTCTGGATGTTAGTCAGATGTATAGATTGTGAAGATTTTCTCCTACTCTGTCAGTTGTTTGTTTACTCTGCTGACTGTTCCTTTTTTTTTTTTTTTTTGAGACGGAGTTTCGTTCTTGTTGCCCAGGCTGGAGTGCAATGGCACAATCTCAGCTCACCGCAACCTCCACCTCCTAGGTTCAAGCAATTCTCCTGCCTCAGCCTTCCAAGTAGCTGGGATTACAGGCATGCACCACCACATCCAGCTCATTTTGTATTTTCTTTTAATGAGAGATGGGGTTTCTCCATGTTGGTCAGGCTGGTCTCAAACTCCCGACCTCAGGTGATCTGCCCGCCTCGGCCTCCCAAAGTGCTGCGATTACAGGCGTGAGCCACTGCGCCCGGCCCTCTGATTGTTCCTTTTGCTGTGCAAAAGCTCTTTAATTAACTCCCAGCTATTCATGGTTGTTTTTATTGCATTTGCTTTTAGGTTCTTGGTCATGAAATCCTTGCCCAAGCCAATGTTTAGAAGGGGTTTTCCAATGTTATCTTTCTCACTTTTTATAGTTTCGGGTCTTAGATTTAAGTCCTTGATCCATCTGGAGTTGATTTGTGTATAAAATGAGAGATAAGGATCCAGTTTCATTCTCCTCCTTGTGGCTTGCCAATTATCCCAGCACCGTTTGTTGAATAGGGTGTCCTTTCCTCACTGTATGTTTTTGTTTGCTTTGTTGAAGATCAGTTGGCTGTAAGTATTCGGGTTTATTTCTGGGTTCTCTATTGCGTTCCATTGGTCTATGTGCCTACTTTTGTACCAGTACCGTGTTGTTTTGGTGACTACGGCCTCACATTATAGTTTGAAATCAGGTAATGTGATACCTCCAGATTTGTTCTTTTTGCTTAGTCTTGCTTTGGCTATGAGGGCCCTTTTTTGGTTCCACATGAATTTTAGGATTGTTTTTCTAATTCTTTGAAGAATGATGGTGCTATTTTGATGGGAATTGCGTTGAATTTGTAGACTGCTTTTGGCACTATGGTCATTTTAACAATATTGATTCTACCCAACGATGAGCATGGGATGTGTTTCCATTTGTTTGTGTTATCTATGATTTGTTTCAGTAGTGTTTTGTAGTTTTCCATGTAGAGGTCTTTCACCTTCTTGGTTAGGTATATTCCTAAGTTGTTTTTTTTTGTTTTTTTTTGCAGCTATTGTAAAAGAGGTTGAGTTCTTGATTTGATTCTCTGCTTGGTCACTGTTGGTGTATAGAAGAGCTACTGATTTGTGTACATTAATTTTGTATCTGGAAACTTTGCTGAATTCTTTTATCAGTTCTAGGAGCTCTCTAGAGGAGTCTTTAGGGTTTTCTAGGTAACAATCATATCATCAGCAAACAGTGACAGTTTGACTTCGTCTTTACTGATTTGGATGCCCTTTCTTTCTTTCTCTTATCTGATTGCTCTGGCTAGGACTTCCAGTACTATGTTGAAGAGGAGTGGACATCCTTGTCTTGTTTCAGTTCTCAGAGGGAATGCTTTCGACTTTTCCCCATTCAGTATTATGTTGGCTGTGGGTGTGTCATAGATGGCTTTTATTACATTGAGGTATGTCCCTTGTATGCTGATTTTGCTGAGAGTTTTAATCATAAAGGGATGCTGAATTTTGTTGAATGCTTTTTCTGCATCTATTGAGATGATCATGTGATTTTTGTTTTTAATTCTGTTTATGTGGTGTATCACATTTATTGACCTGCGTAGGTTTTTTGTTTGTTTGTTTTAGACAGAGTTTCACTCTTGTCGCCCAGGCTGGAGTGCAATGGCACGATCTTGGCTCACCACAACCTCCGCCTCCTGGGTTCAAGTGATTCTCCTGCCTCAGCCTCCCAAGTAGCTGGGACTACAGGCATGTGCCGCCACGCCTAGCTAATTTTTGTATTTTTTTTTCGTAGAGATGGGGTTTCACCATCTTGGTCAGGCTGGTTTCGAATTCCTGACCTCATGATCCACCCACCTCGGCCTCCCAAAGCACTGGTATTACAGGTGTGAGCCACCATGCCCAATGACCTGCATATGTTAAACCATCCCTGCATCCCTGGTATGAAACCCATTTGATCATGATGGATTAACTTTTCGATATGTTGTTAGATTTGCTTAGCTAGTGTTTTGTTAAGGATTTTAGCATCTATGTTCATCAGGGATATTGGTCTGTAGTTTTCTTTTTTGGTTATGTCCTTTCCTGATTTTGGTATTAGGGTGATACCAGCTTTATAGAATGATTTAGGGAGGGTTCCCTCTTTCTCTATCTTGTGTAATAGTGTCAATAGGATTGGTACCAATTCTTCTTTGAATGGTAGAATTCTGCCGTGAATCCATCTGGTCCTGGACTTTTTTTTTGTTGGTAATTTTTAAATTACCATTTCAATCTCGCTGCTTGTTACTGGTCTGTTTGTGGTATCTAGTTCTTCCTGATTTAAGCTAGGAGAGTTGTATTTTTCCAGGAATTTATCCATATTCTCTAGGTTTTCTAGTTTATGTGCATAAAGGTGTTCACAGTAGCCTTGAATGATCTTTTGTATTTCTGTGGTGTCAGTTGTAATATCTCTCGTTTTGTTTCTAATTGATCTTATTTGGATTTTCTCTTTTCTTTTCTTGGTTAATCTTGCTAATGGTCTATCAATTCTATCTTTTCAAAGAACCAGCTTTTTATTTATCTTTTCTATTTTTTTTTTTGTTTCAATTTCATTTAGTTCTGCTCTGATCTCAGTTATTTCCTTTCTTCTGCTGGGTTTGGGTTTGGTTTGTTCTTGTTTCTCTAGTTCCTTGAGGCGTGACCTTAGATTGTCTGTTTGTGCTCTTTCAGACTTTTTGATGTAGGCGTTTAGGGCTTTGAACTTTCCTCTTAGCACCGCCTTTGCTGTATCCTAGAGGTTTTGATAGGTTGTGTCACTATCGTCGTTCAGTTCGGAGAATTTTTTTTTTTTTTCTTGAAACGGGGTCTCGCCCTGTCGCCCAGGCTGGCATGCAATGACGTGATCTCGGCAACCTCCGCCTCCTGGGTTCAAGTGATTCTCCTGCTCAGCCTCCTGAGTAGCTGGGATTACAGGCACCCACCACCACACCTGGCTAATTTTTGTATTTTTAGTAGAGACAGGGTTTCACCATGTTGGTCGGGCTGGTCTCAAACTCCTGACTTCATGATCCACCCACCTCGGCCTCCCAAAGTGCTGGGATTATAGGCATGAGCCACTGTGCCTGGCCAGAGAATGTTTTGATTTTCATCTTGATTTCATTTTTGACTCAATGATCATTCAGGAGCAGGTTATTTAATTTCCATGTATTTGCATGGTGTTGAAGGTTCCTTTTGGAATTGATTTCCAGTTTTATTCCACTGTGGTCTGAGAGAGTGCTTGATATAATTTCAATTTTCTTAAATTTATTGAGGCTCATTTTGTGGCCTATCGTATGGTCTACCTCGAAGAAAGTTCCATGTACTGTTGAATAGAATGTATATTCTGTGGTTGGTGGGTAGAATGTTCTGTATATATCTGTTAAGTCCACTTGTTCCAGGGTATAGTTTAAATGTGTTAAATTGTTTCTTTGTCGACTTTCTGTCTTGATGATCTGTCTAGTGCTGTCAGTGCAGTATTGAGGTCCCCCACTATTATTGTGTTGCTGTGTATCTCATTTCTTTGGTCTATTAGTCCTGGTTTTATGAACTTGGGAGCTCCAGTGTTAAGTGCATATATATTTAGGACTGTGATATTTTCCTGTTGGACAAGGCCTTTTATCATTATATAATTTCCCTCTTTCTGTTTTTTAACTGCTGTTGCTTTAAAGTTTGTTTTGTCTGAGATAACAATAACTACTCCTGCTCCCTATTGGTGTCCATCTGCATGGAATGTCTTTTCCACCCCTTTACCTTAAGTTTATGTGAGTCCTTACATGTTAGGTGAGTCTCTTGAGGCAGCAGATAGTTGGTTGGTGAGTTCTTATCCATTCTGCAATTCTGTATCTTTTAAGTGGAGCATTTAGACCATTTACATTTAATGTTAGTATTGAGATGTGAGGTACCATTCCATTCATCATGCTATTTGTTGCTTGTATAGCTTGGGGTTTTTTTTTTATGGTATTTCTGTTTTATAAGTGCTGTGAGATTTATGCTTTAAAGAGATTCTGTTTTGATGTGTTTCCAGGATCTGTCTCAAGACTTACAGCTCCTTTTAGTAGTTCTTATAGTGGTGGTGTGGTAATGACAAATTCTCTCAGCATTTGTTTGTCTGAAAAAGGCCTATCTTTCCTTTATTTAGGAAGCTTAGTTTCACTGGGTAAAAAATTCTTTTGCTGATAATTGTTTTGTTTGAGGAGGCTGAAGATGGGCTCCCAATCCCTTCTTGCTTTTAGGGTTTCTGCTGAGAAATCTGCTGTTAGTCTCATAGATTTTCCTTTATAGGTTACGTGGTGCTTTTTTCTCACAGCTCTTAAGATTCTTTTCTTCGTCTTAACTTTAGATAACCTGATAATGTGCCTAGGTGATGACCTATTTGCAATGAATTTCTCAGGTGTTCTTTGAGCTTCTTGTGTTTGGATGTCTAGGTCTCTAGCAAGGCTGGGGAGTTTTCCTCGATTATTCCACCAAATATATTTTCCAAACTTTTAGATTTCTCTTATTCCTCAGGAACACCAATTATTCTTAGGTTTGTTCAAGATGGCCTAGCAAACTGGTCAGTTATAAACTATGCTGTAGGTCCCTGAAAAAAACTGGATGAGATTTCCTTACTGCCTTGTATGTCCTTGGGAGCTGGATCTTGTAACCATGTGGTTGTGCTTTCTCTTTTCACAGCGGTGCCTTGGGTTCAGGGTCCAATTCCTGGCTTAGGGAATGAGTCCTTTATCTTCTGTCTGTATTTATATGTGTTATGAGTGTGATGTTTATATATGAAAGAGCTTTGATTAATTGGTTTAATAACAGTAAGACCTTAAATCAGATATTTTATCAGAAAATTTAAAAGTATAATGCCTTTTAGTTCATGTGACTTAAGTAATTTTTGGGAAATAAAGGCAGCTTTAAAGATTATTGGTAAAATAAAAATATCTTCAAAAATGTAAACATTTGGTCTAAATCATGCAGGTCAGATTTTAAGCTTGCTAAATGCTTTAAGGTCATAAACTGCTTCTTTGACTTTTGAAAACCGTTCAGTTCACCTACCTTGGAGCATTAGATTGTAGATTAGGCTAGGGGCCCTAATGCAACAATGACATTTGGCTTATTTGGTACAAGAATCTTTTTTTTTTTTTTTTTTTTTTGAGACAGAGTGTCACTCTGTCACCCAGGCTGGAATGCAGCAGCACAATCTTGGCTCACTGCAACCTCTGCCTCCCGGGTTCAAGCAATTCTCCTGCCTCAGTCTCCTGAGTAGCTGGGACTACAGGCTCATGCCACCATGCCCGGCTAATTTTGTATTTTTGGTAGAGACAGGGTTTCAGCATGTTGGTCAGGCTGGTCTTGAACTCCTGACCTCAGGCAATCCACCCACCTCAGCCTCCCAAAGTGCTGGGATTACAGGCATGATCCACCACACCTGGCTTGGTACAAGAATCTTACAGGAAGCATTGTCAAATATAAAATGGTATTTGGTTTTCTTTGGGCTGTATTTGTATATATAAATGTGTTATTGGTATGTGTTCCAAAATTACTTTTAAAACTCCTATAATTCTCACATGATTTAGTGTATGTTATTAATAGATATAATTGTTATGTAAAATTTTGTATGCCACAGAAGTAATCAAATTTCCTTATCAGTTGTGGCTTTAATGATGGCTGTCCGAAGATGTTTTGTCATCCACAAACAATGGTTGTCTTGTTTTGGTCCTCTTTAGAAGGTGGTTTATAATCAGCTACAGGACTTTGACAGATGTTCTTGAGTGCAGGTTTCCGATAACTGGTGATGGTGACATCAGAATAGAGGAAAAAACTTTTAGAATTCTTATGGAGAGCTGAAATGTCCATGAATATCAAACAGAAGTTAACTACATGGACTAAACTAATAGAAACCAGAAGTAATCTTTTTAACTTTTTGCTTAAAATATTGCTGATCCTTTGTTTTGTTTTTCAGAATCAAGGAAACTTTTGAGCGAGTTATAGCTTTTAACAATTGAATAAGTATACTTGTATGAATAAAATTTGGAGCATATTTGTTTCTCTCTACCTAATTTCTCCAAAATTTGGGAACTAGTTGTGAGTATTCTTAATTTATGGCAATATAGCTATTTGCATAAGTGCAATAAGAATCTGTTTTCTTTTTTTTTTTTTTTTTTGAGACAGAGTCTTGCTCTGTTGCCCAGGCTGGAGTGCAATGGTATGATCTCGGCTCACTGCAACCTCCGCCTCCCAGGTTCAAGCAATTCTCCTGTCTCTGCCTCCCAAGTAGCTGGGATTACAGGTGCCAGCCACCACACCTGGCTAATTTTTGTATTTGTAGTAGAGATGAGGTTTCACCATGTTGGCCAGGCTGGTCTTGAACTCTTGACCTCAGGTGGTCTGCCTGCCTCGGCCTCCCAAAGCGCTGGGATTACAGGTGTGAGCCACTGTGCCTGGCCAGGAATCTGTTTTCTTTTGCAACAGGACACAATTGGAGAAACTGCTTATTTTACCAAGGATTTGACTAGAATGATGTGTTTTCCTTTAAGAAATTAAACGTGACTTATAGAGCTGATAAAGCCCCTTGGGAAAACTGACCTGATACGTTCTCTCCACAGTCCTTATACAGAGTTCCTGACCCGTGGTAAGTAAAGAATGTCACTTTATGCTGGGTGCGGTGGCTCATGCCTGTAATCCCAGCACTTTGAGAGGCTGAGGCGGGTGGATCATGAGGTCAGGAGATTGAGACCATCTTGGCTAAGATGGTGAAACCCTGTCTCTACTAAAAATACAAAAAATTAGCGGGGCATGGTGGCGGGCACCTGTAGTCCCACCTATTCAGGAGGCTGAGGCAGGAGAATGGCATGAACCCGGGGGGGCGGAGCTTGCAGTGAGCAGAGATCATGCCACTGCACTCCAGCCTGGGCAACAGAGCGAGATTCGGTCTCAAAAAAAAAAAAAGTCACTTTCTCACAGGCCCAGGAGCCCCAAGTTATCTTGGAAACTCAAGAGGAGAGAAATTTACTCAACTTACAGGTATTTGAGGGTACAAACCCATGGCGGGGCTCAGTTCTAAAAGAGTCTTAGCTAAGATTCCTTCTACGGAACAGAGTTCCATCAAAGCCAATTTAAAAAGAACCTATGTGAAAAATATTCTTGCTGCCCTTTATACAAATAATCAGGCCAAGTATAATAAAGTAAATCAGTCTTACCATGATTTGCCTTTAGTAAAAATGGGAAACTAGAGAGAGAAATATTATGTTTCAGGAACTGTGGTATGTTGTTTTTAAATTCTAGTCTCATCAGTTGTTTTTAGATTTGCTTCTGGAATTTAGGCTAACCTTGCTTATTCCTGTGAACCAACCAGTGAACTCTGACTGCTGCTCAGAAGAAATAAGAGGGATGGGTAATGTAAAAATCTGAATCAATATTCTAATTCTGGGCACACTAGAATTGGCTAGCAACCTCACATCATCTTGGTTCCAATAGTTGCCCAGTTCATGAAAAGCCTTCTAATTTAGTTTACTTGGAATAATTGTACTTATTTTGCTTTACTATTGTGGAATATATTGTTGTTGTACTCTGTGTAGGTATGCAAAATAAACTTGCTCAATGTTTTCTTAAACTGAACACTTATTAATTGCCCAGATATCACCTTTTGTTGGAACTTAAGAGTTATGAATAGCCCTCACCACACTGATGCCTTCTGACTGTGCTCCTCTCTACCCTGAACACAAGGGACCCTAATAGTTAGGCAGGAATGTCATCGCCCCTATTCAGCCTGAAGAAGTTACAGAAGATGGATCTTCATCCCCCTGCAACTCTTAGGATTAAGGGTTCTCTTATAAAAGGGAAAGAGAAAATGTCAGGCATGTTTGAACCAGAGCAACTCCATCTTGAGTAGGAGCTGGGTAAAATGAGGCTGAGACCTATTGGACGGCATTCCCAGGAAGTGAGACATTCTAAGTCACAGGATGAGATAGGAGATTGGCACAAGATATAGATCATAAAGACCTTGCTGATAAGACAGGTTGCAGCAAAGAAGCCGGCCAAACCCACCAAAACCAAAATGGCCACAAGAGTGACCTCTGGTCATCCTCACTGCTACACTCCCACCAGCTCCGTGACAGTTTACAGATGCCATGGCAACGTCAGGAAGTTACCCTATATGGTCTAAAAAGGGGAGCATGAATAATCCACCCCTTGTTTAGCATATCATCAAGAAATCACCATAAAAATGGGCAACCAGCAGCCCTCAGCTGCTCGCCTATGGAGTAGCCATTCTTTATTTCTTTATTTTCTTAATAAACTGGTTTCACTTGTCTCTATGGACTCGCTCTGAATTCTTTCTTGCGCGAGATCCAAGAACGCCCTCTGGGGGTCTGGATCGGGACCCCTGTCTGGTAACAACTGCAGATATCTCCCTCCAACACATTGAGCTGTGTGTTGATGTCTTGGAACTTGCTAGCTGTGAATTAACCTAACAATGCCATCCCCCACCCTGCAACCCACACCCTGCAGCTCAACGGTGCACAGCCCATCACTAATCAATGTTATTTCTGTCAACCAACAAGAATTCCTGAAAAACAACTTTGTATCAGCCACTCCCTGTTCCCCTTTTTGCCTTTAAAATCCTGATTGTAATAAAGGCCTAATGGGGCTCATATCCAAGGCCACTCGAGTCTCCCAGGCAGCTGTCCTCACCTTGGCTCAAGTCAACTCTTTAAATCATAATTTGCACCTCAGCCTCTTCCTTCTTGTCACCCTTACGTAAGTGGGATCCCACAGAATTTGTCCTTCTGTGTCTGGCTAATTTCACTCAGCATGGTGTCCTCAAGCTTCACCCAAGTTCCAGGGTAGGGAGGTTTTCATACAATTTTGTAGCCCGCGTAACCTCTCTACTGTGGGAGGTGCTCCGAAAGTGAATTTGGTTGACTCTCTTTCCTCCTTGAGCTTTTCTTGGACACATTTCTGGCTTGGTGGGCCAAAGTCTGCTAAGAAGAAACTCATCTCTGTCCATCAAAGGGGGAAATGGTGAGGGCTGTATGCCCTGGGAGCGGCCACCCTCTCAGAAGACACAGAAACAGAGCACTTTAACCTCCTTCTATCAAAGTCCTAGAAGAGGAAGGTGTGCTTTAAAAACAGACTCTTCTCATGAATCCTGTTGAAGTCTCACTCACTCTGTTGCCTAGGCCGGTGTGCAGTGGCACCATCTCAGCTCACTGCCAGCTTTGCCTTCTGGGTTCAAGCAATTCTCCTGTCTCAGCCTCCCAAGTAGCTGGGACCACAAGTGCCTGCCACCATGCCCAGCTAACTTTTTGTAGAGATGGGGTTTTGCCATGTTGGCCAGGCTGGTTTTGAACTTTTGAGCTCAAGCGATCCACTCGCCTCAGCCTCCCAAAGTGCTGGGATTACAGGTGTGAGCTACCGCGCCCGGCCTTTTTTTTTCTTTCTTTTTTCTTTTATTAAGACAGGGTCTTGCTCTGTTGCCCAGACTGGAGTGCAGTGGTACAATCTTGGCTCACTGCAGCCTCAACCTCCTGGGCGCAACTCATCCTCCTGCCTTAGCCTCCCAAAATGCTGGGATTACAGGCATGAGCCTCCGTGCCTGGCAGTGGGATCCTCTTTACCTGAACTGCCCAGGGACCTCCATAAGTATCCCTGGCTGGGGGCCGTGGGTCACGCCTGTAATCTCAGCACTTTGGGAGGCTAAGGTAGGAGGATTGCTTGAGCCCAGGAGTTCAAGACCAGCCTGGACAACATAGCAAGACCCTGTCTCTACAAAAAAATACAAAAATTAGTGCATACCTGTGATCCCAGCTACTCAGGAGGCTGAGGCGGGAGAATTGCTTGAGCCCAGGAGGTTGAGGCTGCAGTGAGCCATGATTGCACCACTGCACTCCAGTCTGGGCGATAAAGTGAAACCCCGACTCTTAAAAAAAACGGGCTGGGCACGGTGGCTCACGCCTGCAATCCCAGAACTTTGGGACGCTGAGGCCGGCGGATCACCTGAGGTCAGGAGTTCGAGACCAGCCTGACCAACATGGAGAAAACTCCATCTCTGCTGAAAAAAAAAAATTAGCCAGGTGTGGTGGCACATGCCTATAATCCCAGCTACTCGGGAGGCTGAGGCAGGAGAATCGCTTGAACCTGGGAGGTGGAGGTTGCAGTGAGCCGAGATCGCGCCATTGCGCTCCAGCCTGGGCAATAAGAGTGAAGCTTGGTCTCAAAAAAAAAAAAAAGTATCCCTGGCACCTTCTCACAGACAGAACAGGGAAAAGGAGGGGCGGTTTACATCCCTGTGGAGCACAGCAAACCCACACAATGAGCCTTTCAGGTGTGGGGGGCAGGAGCAGGGCGGGGGCTGTCTCCCAGGGACCATCAGTCGGTTGGCTCAGGGGCTCAGGAGCCCAGGCCCGATGCCAGGAAGCTTCTCACCCCTAAGGAGAGGACACGCAGTCAGTCCGACTGGCAAAGTGGCCGGATCAGCGCCTGGCTGTGCCACCCCACATGGAGTGCCACACGCGGTCACAACAGCCCCATGACGTAGGTCCCAGTATTACTATTTTAGGGAAGACTGTGGTACACGCACCCGGACACACAGTTGCACATATGGCCACACAGGCCTCCACCTCTACTACCCAGACAAGTGCCCCAGTGCGCATCACACATGCACATGGGTGTGTACACAGCCTGCCCAGACACAGCCCTCCACAACACAGGGACCCACCCATGCACACACGCGTGTGCACACACACCAAGCAGACACGGCCCCTACACAACACAGGGACCCACCCATGCACACACGCGTGTGCACACACACCAAGCAGACACAGCCCTCCACAACACAGGGACCCACACATGTACACACTAAGGAAATGTGGAAACACTACGTGACCTCCGGTGGCAAGGCCATGGCTGGAAGCCCTGCAGCCTCTCCGGCTTCCAGGTCCTGATGCCAAGGCTGCCCCTCCCAGAATCCACGAGGAGGTCACCGTCCCCGCTCCGCACCAGGGAGGGGCTCCAGAAGCCCGGAGGCCAGCGCCGAGGTCCCCGCACGTACGCCTGTGTCCCCGGCTCTGGGGAAGGCAACCGTCCCTTAGGGGGCCGGGAACCTGCGCGCCGCCCCGACTCCCGCCCACCCCGGCGGCTCCCGGCGGCTCCCGGCGGCGTCCGGATGTGGCAGCAGCTCGCGGGCCGGGGCTTCCTCTTGCAGCAGCCGCCGCCCGGGAGGCCGGCAGCGCCCCCTGGCGGACTCAGGCAGGAGGCGTCCGGCGAGGCGGGCGCGGGGTAGGCGGGCGCGGGACGGTGCAGCCCGAGGCCTGTCCCTGCAGGTGCAGGAGGGACCCGTCGCTCCCCTGCGCACCGAGGGGGCGACAACCCCTCCCAGAGACCTGCTGCCCGCGGAGCCTCCCCCAGTGACTCGTGCGGTCCCCAAAGGAGAGGCGGGAAGCCGAGTCCTGGAGAAGCCTGGAGACAATGGGCAACAGGGGCATTGGGCCTCCGTCCAGCCCCCGCCAGCGCCCCAGGGTCACACATAGGCCTTTATTTTCTGATCCTGAAAGTGATGCAAGTGCATTTAAATTAACGCAGAAAGCAGTGACAGATAACGACGGGAAAACACACCTACACATCGGGTGTTCGTGGATAACCACTGCTCACCTTTTTTCGCGTTTCTCTTTCTTTGCCCCCTTCACACGTATTTACATATTTGAATCTACTATTTTATACTGGATTTTTTTTTTCTTTTTGAGGTGTAGCTTCACTCTTGTTGCCCAGGCTGGAGTGCAATGGCGCCATCTCGGCTCACTGTAACCTCTGCCTCCTGGGTTCAAGCGATTCTCCTGCCTCAGCCTCCTGAGTAGCTGGGATTACAGGCGTCCGCCGCCACCATGTCCAGCTAATTTCTGTATTTTTAGTAGAGATGGGGTTTCCCCATGTTGGCCGGGCTGATCTCGAACTCCTGACCTCAGGTGATCCACCCTCCTTGGCCTCCCAAAGTGCTGGGATTACAGGCATGAGCCACTGCGCCCGGCCTTATATTGGATTTTAAACATTAAATGGTACAATATTTTCCATTTCACAAAGTTCTTCCTCAGCTAATTTTAAATGACTGCTATTTCACTGAATAAGACACCACACTTTATTTAACTAATCTCTTTTTTTTTTTTGAGAGGGAGTCTTGCAATGTTGCCCAGGCTGGAGTGCAATGGTGTGATCTCGTCTCACCGCAACCTCCGCCTCCTGGGTTCAAGCGATTCTCCTGCCTCAGCCTCCCTAGTAGCTGGGATTACAGGTGCCCGCCACCACGCCCAGCTAATTTTTTGTATTTTTAGTAGACACGGGGTTTCACTGTGTTGGCCAGGCTGGTCTTGAACTCCTGACTTCGTGATCCGCCCGCCTCGGCCTCCCAAAGTGCTGGGATTACAGGCGTGAGCCACCGCGCCTGGCCAACTAATCTCTTAATTGGTGGACATTTGTGTCACTTATGGCTGTATCTTGAGTAGTACCACGCTGGACAGATTGCTTTTCCTAAATACAGTTTCTCAAAGCTGGAATTGCTGGGCTGAGGAGCCACCCCTTCTAAAGGTTCTTGACATTATTGCCAAATTGCTTTATAAAAAGGAAGGGCCAATGTTTGGTCCCATCAGGAATGACTGTCTCCGTACATCCTCAGAGGTAGTGAGTGTTACCGATTCCTTTTAAAAATTGGGGGTTTTGGTTCTCAACTTGATAGACCCATGAGAGTTCAACTTCATGTCTTTGACCACCACGCACGCAGTATGTGGTCCGATACGGCACGTCCACCGTGGATGTTGATGGGGACAGCCCCGTGTGCTCCAGTATGTGGTCCGATACAGCACGTCTGCTGTGGGTTTTGATGGGGGCGCCCCTGTGTGTTCTTTTTTTTTTTTTTTTTTTTTTTTTGAGACGGAGTCTTGCTCTGTCGTCCAGGCTGGAGTGCAGTGGCACAATCTCGGCTCACTGCAAGCTCCGCCTACCAGGTTCACGCCATTCTCCTGCCTCAGCCTCCCGAGTAGCCGGAACCACAGGCACCCACCACCACGCCCGGCTAATTTTTTTGTATTTTTAGTAGAGACGGGGTTTCACCGTGTTAGCCAGGATGGTCTCTATCTCCTGACCTCGTGATCCGCCTTTCTTGGCCTCCCAAAGTGCTGGGATAACAGGCGTGAGCCACCGCGCCCGGCCCCCTGTGTTTTCTTGAGTGCAGGGGGCAGAATCCATCCTGGGGAATTTGAGCAGAAAGGGACATGGTGAGCAGTGTGACAGCTCCCAGCTCCTTGCAGGACTAGAGGAAAGGCCTCCAAGCCCAGCTCTGCACTGGCTAATGAGCTTCCTTCTCTCAGCTTCCCTGGAAACATCTTTCTCTGCACACCCAGGAGACTCCATATCACCGGCTCGTCCTCACCGTGGGCCCAGAACCTGCTGTGCCCTGCCGGCCTGGGGAGGTTGCGTCTCCCTGGCAGAGCTGCATGCGTCCCAGCAGCAAGGAAGGCTGGGGATGTGGGATGTGGGACTGCCGTGCAGAGAGAAGACAGGATTCATGTTGTGGGGAGCTGTCAAAACGTAGAAAAATAGCCCCACTTTTGGGGCTCCCATGAAAGACTGGGGTCTTATTCATATGTTTGAGCCCCTTTGGAATTTGAAATGAAGCCGAGTTCCCTTCCTAACGACACAGAGCTCGCAGAAGCCGCCTCTTCTCTTGGGCGTCCACCGTCAGCTCTTTCTGGACTTTGTTCTTCCTGTATGTGTGCGGCTTCCTGCCGTTATCAAAGTCCAAGAATTTCATCAGTTTCTTATTTTGTTTTATTTTTTAACATTTTATTCATTTTTTTTTAAGATACAAGATCTTGCTATGTTTCTAGGCTGGCCTCAAACTCCGAGGCTTACGTGATCCCCCCACCTCAGCCTCCTGAGTAGCTGGGACCACAGGTGCTGCCACCGCACCCGGCTTCTTGATTATTTTATCATCATCATTATTGATTGAGCAATGGAAATCTGTAACTTATTTGGTGCTTTTTTTGGGTTCTTATTTCTTCAAGATTTGGAAAATTCTTCCCTACGTGCAGATTTGCTGGTGGGTTGAGCGCCTTCTTCCAGTTGGGGATTAAGACATGACTTCCAGTGGTACAGGCCGTAAGGAAACAGCCATCCAGAGAATTCAACAGCTCTTTCTCCGCTCTTCAATACAACATGACCTGTGGTCTTTTGTTCTTTTATTTTTTATTTTACTTTCATTTTTAAATAGAGACGGGGTCTCACTATGTTGCCCAGGCTGGTCTGGAACTCCTGGTCTCAAGTGGTGAGAAACAAACTCATCTGTCCAAACCCAGAAGAAGGACTCGGAGACCCGGAGGAGAGTGAAAGGGAGACTTTCTTTCTTTCTTTTTTTTTTTTGAGACAGAGTCTCGCTCTGTCACCCGGCTGGAGTGCAGTGGCGTAATCTCGGCTCACTGCAACCTCTGCTTCCCGGGTCCAAGCAGTTCTCCTGCCTCAGCCTCCTGAGTAGCTGGGATTACAGGTGCACACCACCACACTCAGTTAATTTTTTTATTTTTAGTAGAGACGGGGTTTCACCATGTTGGTCAGGCTGGTCTTGAACTCCTGACCTTGTGATCTGCCTGCCTCAGCCTCCCAAAGTGCTGGGATTACAGGCATGAGCCACTGCACCTGGCTGAAAGTGAGACTGTTGATGATGGTCTTGCAAGATCGGGTGTCTGATGGGCAGCCACAGCCAGCACAGTTTCAACAAATAATTTATCCCCTAGTGCACAGGTGTCTCCCCGGGTTCCTCACAGGCTGAGTACTCTGGGGTCACAGTCTTCTGGGACGTCACCTATTGGTTGTTGGGCAGGGGCTGTAGGTGTTTTTTTTAGGGGTGTCCTGTTGCATTTTGTTGCAGCCCACAATGCATTGCAATCCCAGTCAGCCCAGGGGCTCTTCAAGTATTTGACTTATGACCTAAGTAGCTGGGCAGGCTGATAAGAACAGACAAAGCCAGCTATTTTGCAGGCTAGTAAACTGTTATCTTAGACTAAACTTCTTTAGTTCAGGTGAGAGCACCTAAGGGCCGGGGGGAAGGGAGGGAGAAGGGGAGGCCGGCAAGCAGGCACTGGCGATCCAGGCAGGGGCCTCGGACCTCCTGTTTCTTCTGTAGTTTGCTGACTTAAGCCGATTCAAGGCACTTTGTCTTGGAAACGGACCACTGTAGACACTGTTGCCTTCACTCCCCGCTTGGCCTCCTTTGTTCTTCTAGGAGAAGATGCCTCGGCACTTTCACGAGTTTGGGGTGTGCACAGATGGGGCTTCTAGTAGGCTCCTGTGCCTTCGAGTGGCTTCCCAGACACCGCCTGGGGTTGTGGACCTGAGCCAGGCCAGTCCTCTCGCTGTCAGAGAAACGGCGTGCACTGCTCAGCTGCTCAGTCCTGGGCTTTGGGGGCTACGTGACATCCATTCCTGTCAAAAATCCATGGCGGCCATAAAGATTCAGCAAATGCACCGACGCTCAAACAGACAAATGTCCCGGCACTTCCTTTTGTGGTTGGGGCTTTTTCTTCTGTTCAGGGAAACATTTGTCTACCCCAAGCTTATAACAATATCCCAAGAATGGGGTTTGATCAGACTTCTATGTACACCAGTCTCACAGACGCCCTCAATAAGTGCTTTTAAAAGTTCTAGCCGGTCGCAGAGGCTCACGCCTGTAATCCCAGCACTTTGGGAGGCCGAGGCAGGCGGATCACGAGGTCAGGAGATCGAGACCATCCTGGATAACGTGGTGAAACCCTGTCTCTACTAAAAATACAAAAAATTAGCCGGGCGTCTTGGCGGGCGCCTGTAGTCCCAGCTACTGAGGAGGCTGAGGCAGGACAGTGGCGTGAACCCGGGAGGCAGAGCTTGCAGTGAGCCGAGATCACGCCACTGCACTCCAGCCTGGGTGGCAGAGCGAGACTCCGTCTCAAAATAAATAAATGAAATAAAATAAAATAAAAGTTCTAATGAAAGCCTGTGTCATAGCTTAATTGACAGGGGTTTTCTTTCAGGACAAGAGGTGCCTGCACCATCCCAAAGCCTCGGCTGCCGGGCCAGTGCTCTCAGACACGAGGCATCAGCTCGTTTCAGTGGAACAAGCTTTCCTCCTCACAAGATGCCAAGAACCCGCGCCACCCACGGGCACAGCAGGGGTTTGGAATGCAGGCATTCCCAGCTAGGTCTGGCGTGAGCTTAAACCACCCGTTGTTAAATCCTCATGAAAAGTCACTTACAAAGTTCTCCTGCATACAGAGTAGTGGAGGGCAGAGGGTGTCTCACAGGCCTGCTGGGCCCGTTGCACCCATACTCCTTCCCTCCCTTCTGTCCAGTCTCCCTCCGTGTCCCAGAGGACACCCCAGCCCTTTGGCCCCCCGCGGCCCAGGTGCAGTGGCCGAAGTCCAGCTCCCTGGGTCTTGCTCCGAGGCCGGCACAGTCTTGACTGGACCAAGAGAGGGTCTGGGGAGTGCATGGCCTTGTCTCTCTAAGCACATCCTAAGGAGTTCTCCTCCCACTTGGGGCCTTGCCCCAGACCCTCCCTCCTGCCCAGGATCACTGCTCCAGGCTGGCCACATTCACCCGATGGGGGCTCTGCCCCTCGCCCCAGGCCTGAGTCCTACTTCATTTATGCGGCTGCTTCAACAATGCAAGGAAGAGATTTGTAATGGGAAAGGTATTTTATTTCTTTTTGAAATTATTTCCAGCTGAATGATGTTAGTAAAAATACAGAGAGAATACAACAAATGACATTTAGTAATTTTTTCTGACTAACCCATTTTAGGGTTGTTTATATACAAAGAAGAATATGAACAAGAACAAATTTAATAAATAGCTGTAGCCTAATACACAACCGAAAGACCGTAACTCCAACAGCAGAGATACCCTGAGAACAGAATAAGGAGGTGGTGCTGAGCGTGTAAAATCCCAGACAACGACCCTCCCTGAGCGAGTGTCCTGAACATGACCACATTCTCGTCGCCGTCTCGGGACCTTCCTGCCGCCTGAGTGCACCGCCTCCCGCCCGGCTGTTGTCACTTGCACCCACAGACCTGCGGCTCACAGTGGGCCTGTCGACAGCCGGAGGCACCGTAAAAAACTGCAGGGAGGAGGCAGTCAACGAGTCGCTCAACTACACAAAATTAATGATGTTAACTAAGAAGCTAAAATAAATATCCTGTTTTCTTTTCTTTTCTTTTCTTCTTTTTTTTTTTTTTTTTGACGGAGTCTCGCTCTGTCACCCAGGCTGGAGTGCAGTGGCGCAATCTCGGCTCACTGCAAGCTCCACCTCCCGGGTTCACGCCATTCTCCTGTCTCAGGCTCCCGAGTAGCTGGGACTACAGGCACCCACCACCACGCCCGGCTAATTTTTGTATTTTTAGTAGAGACAGGGTTTCACTGTGTTAGCCAGGATGGTCTTGATCTCCTGACCTCGTGATCTGTCTGCCTCGGCCTCCCAAAGTGCTGGGATTACAGGCATGAGCCACCGTGCCCGGCCACTTTCTTTCTTTCTTTTTTTTTTTTTTTAAAAAAACAAAACAACTTTGGGTTTTATTTAAAATGCCCGTGGAGGTGGTTAGCGCCCCATTCTTCTGCTGTAGTTATTTCACCCCGGGAGGGTGTGGGCCTTAGCCATGTGGCCGTGATGGTCGTATCTGAAGTGTGAATACTTCCCCGCGCTATCTTCTAACCTGCGCTGTCTCAGCTTAGTGTGAACGTACGGACCGTTCTCAAATCCTGGTGAAGTCACTGGCAGTTTTTTCCTGCACACAGAGTAGCTGTGCTGTTTTTGAGCTGAGGGCAGTGTCATGCTGGGCTGCATCTGGCACATGGAGAGGACGGGCCAGTCGAGCAGGTGGCCTCCTGGCCGCTCACAGACTCTGCGCCCGCCAGACTGTGAGAGGGGTTCAGGCACGACACTTCCGGAGCTGTCATCTGGAGGAGATTCTCATCATTTTTTCCACCACTTAAAATAAAACCACTCAATGCCTTCTCCAGTGTACTCTCTGGTCTATTTAAAAATAGCAGCGCAAGTCCCACCACTTCTTATTTATAAAGGGAACAGCCAGTGAACATATTTTTACCTCCCGTGTCTGTCATCATGTTCTTGCCACTCATTGCCTCCAATTCCAAATAGGTAAAGAGTGAGGGCCGTGCCGCTGTGCCTGGAGTGGCAGGGGCAGCCACACAGACCTGGGGGTCCCTGAGCTCCCCCAGCTCCAGGGAGGACGCCCCAGGCATGAGCAGGGGCCGCCAACAGGACAAAGAGGCCACTCTGTCAGCCTCTGCTGGACCCCTGAGCTCCCCTCTCATGGGCCTCTCCGTTTGGGTGGCTCCGAGAGGCCAACTCCAGCCCCAACTGCAGGCTCCCAGGACTGCAGGGGCAGGGACTCTGGAGGTCCGTGTGCTTCGTGAGAGAGGGGACCCTGTCCTCCTAGCAGGGGTCCAGCGGCACCACAGCAAGACTTCTGTGGCCAAGTACACGCCATGCTCAGCTCTGCCCCCACCCGCACCCCCGGACCATCCTGTGTGCAGCTGGGCTGCCCCGGGACCCACACGCGCGAGGGGCACCCGGTGCTCAGGAGCCTCCACACACAGCAGCTCGCACTTAGAACCCACACGCCAAGCAGAAACCCCTCGAAGCGGGCTGGGAGCACGGACCCCTGATTTATAGAGGAGGCCCCGGGGGCCCTGTCGGGGGAGCTGTGGGGACCGGCCCCCCAGAGCTCAGCACAGCCCGGCCCTCCTTCCAGACACCAGCACTCGCATGTCCCAGCAGGTGAGGGTGGGTCAAACCTGCTGGATCTGAAGTTAATTGTTCGACTGGAAGGAAACCTGTGCGCTCCCCGGAGCATGACGCCACGCCGCCTCCTTGGCGCTGCAGAGCCAAAGCCACTGGCGTCTGCCGGGATGGACCTTCCCTGGAAGGAGAGACCTCAGCCCCGCGTGGGTAGGACGCGCCTGCTGAACGCCCTCTCAGGGCCGACACTGGAAAACACCTTCCTCTAAAGGAACATCCGAGTCAGAAAACAGGTGCTCGCAGCAGGCACCAAAGCGCCTTTGCGAACGCTTAGGGCTGTTTCAGGAAACCGCTCAGTAGCAAAGGCAGAAGATGCCAAGACACCTTCAAAAAGCAGGAATTAACTTTCCACAGGGAGGGCACCACCAAAAACAAGGGTGCGGGGCTGTAGGGCGACAGGCTGCATCGGTTCACGCTGAAAATCCAGCTGCTCCGGGGCCACTCAGGCAGCCGTGTGGCCTCACGGGTCCGGGTTTCAGAGGCCACCGAGTGGCCTGGGACGATGGATCGCGACACGGAGGTGCATGGCTCCATCATGGGGAAGAATGTGCTTTAAAATAGGTGCATGGAGGAAGAGCCTAAAAAATAGTCCAGAGTAGCAACAAAAACCATCTCGAGGCAATGTGACCACAGGTGGCTTTGATTTCCTTCTTGTGCCTCTAGACAGCATTCAAATATTCCAGCCTGAACATGCATTACCTCAGTACCTGAACAGGGCCGGAGTCGTGGGCCGTCTCGGGCCAGGGCAGGAAACACTTCTATGCTGTTCGGGAGGACGGAGGACAGACAGCGAGGCTCTCAGGTCACCGGCACCAGTGGCACCACCCACAGGGACTGCAGGGAAGGGCGGGCAGGCTCCCGTTCGTTCTCCCAGCACCCAGTTTCCAGACGAAGCCTCCCTGGGATCCTGGCTTCCCACGGCTCTGCACTGTCCCTTTCTCAGAACTTAACGTGGGCATTTCCTGAGGCCTCTTCCTCCGGATGAGCTGGTTTCGGCCTGGGATCCCAGCGTCCCCACACCCTCTGGTGACCACCACATGGCCCAGCAGCCACACAGCACCCGGCACCCACCTGGGCGTCTGAGGCTGGAGGAAGCTCTGCCCTTTCTTTCGAGTCATGGGGGTGGGGCGGTGTGCATCACTTTGGGCCCATGGATGGTGGGTGCCATGCGGCCACGTCAGAGCAGGGCATGGTGGGGTGTGGGCAGGGAGCAGTGGGAGGTGGCCCTGTGAGAGCTGGGGAGGTGTCCCAAAGTGCCAGCATCCTGCAGATCGAAGGGGACGCACACACCGTGCCACTGCGGGAGGTGTGAGCTCCACGCTGCAGGCTGTGTGAGAGAGGGGTGAGCCGGCGCCCCCGAGTGAAGACACAAAGAATCCCGAGGGCCTGGTGAGGCCACAGGCCCGCACCTCCCACCCCCATGGCCTCGTGGCTCTGTGGGGTGACAGGAACCCGACCCACATGTAGCTCAATCCTCCCAAGGTCAGCTTGTGAAGAAGGGAAAGAAAATTATGGAAACAGGCGTCTCTGTAGGGGATGCTCCAAGACGCATTTGGAGGCAGGAAAATGCCTGAAGTCCCTCAATGGGCGGATGTCACAGTGCTGGGCGAGCCACGGTGTGTACTCGGGGCCTCACTTTGGGAGCTCAGACGTGTCGCTGGCCCTGACGCTCATTGGTCTGAAGGACAAATCGAAGGCCCTCTGGTCACGGAAGCTCTGGGCTTTGTACTTGGCCAGGTGCCTGGACCTCCCGCGACGCTCGGGCTCCGATGCCTCCATCCTGTCCTGCAGGGCCCTCTCAGCCCCAGGGTGGTCTGGGGACCCCTCCTGGGCCGGGGCCTGGGGAGTCCCGCAGCCCCCAGCCTCAGGCTTGGGCTCAGTTGGGCTCTTTCCCAGCCCCAGGGGAGAGGTGGCAATGCTCTTGCCCCTGAGGGGGCGGCTTCCTGGGGGTGGGTACCCGGCGCTGGGCTCCCCCAGGCCACTGCCCCCTGACTGTCCACCATCCCTGGGGGCTGGGCTTCTGGACCCCCCACTCCTGCCAGCAGCATCCACTCCCTCAGCTATGCCACTAATGGGCTGCTCCCAGGCCCGAGGCGCCATCCCACTTGTCAAGGCCTGTTCCCGACCCTGTTCCCAAGCCCGTTCCTGAGCCCCTTTCTGGGTCTGCCTCTGAGTCTCTATCTGGGTCTGCTCCCAGCCCTGATCCCGAGCCCGATCCCGAGCCCATTCCTGAGCCCCTTTCTGGGCCTGACCCTGAGCCTCTATGTGGGTCTGCTCCCGACCCTGTTCCTGAGCCCGTTCCTGAGCCCCTTTCTGGGCCTGTTCCCGAGCCCGTTCCTGAGCCCCTTTCTGGGCCTGTTCCCGAGCCCGTTCCTGAGCCCCTTTCTGGGCCTGTTCCCGAGCCCGCTCCTGAGCCCCTTTCTGGGCCTGTTCCCGAGCCCGTTCCTGAGCCCCTTTCTGGGCCTGTTCCCGAGCCCGTTCCTGAGCCCCTTTCTGGGCCTGTTCCCGAGCCCGTTCCTGAGCCCCCTTCTGGGCCTGACCCTGAGCCTCTATCTGGGTCTGCTCCTGAGCCTGTTCCTGGGCCCGTTCCTGAGCCCCTTTCTGGGCCTGACCCTGAACCCGTTCCTGAGCCCCTTTCTGGGTCTGTTCCTGAGCCCATTTCTGGGCCTTTATCTGGGTCTGCCACTGGGCCTGTCCCTGAGCCTCTTCCTGGGCCCATTTCTGAACCTCTCCTTGAACCTGTTTCTGGGCCTGTCCCTGAATCTGCCCCTGAGCCCATTTCTGGGCCTGTCCCTGAACCTGTCCCTGGGCCCCACCCTGAGCTGGTTCCTGTGCCTGCCCCTGGGCCTCTATCTGGGTCTGCCACTGGGCCTGTTCTTGAGCGTGTCCCTGAGCCTGTCCCTGGGCCCAATTCTGAAACTGTTTCTGGGCCTGTCCCTGACTGTGTCCCTGGGTCCCACCCTGAGCCTGTTCCTGTGCCTGCCCCTGGGCCTCTATCTGGGTCTGCCACTGGGCCTGTTCTTGAGCGTGTCCCTGAACCTGTCCCCGGTCCCATTCCTGAACCTGTTTCTGGGCCTGTCCTTGGGCTGCCGGGCTTCCCGGCCCCTCGGGCTCCCCTGGAGGCACAGCTGGGTTCCTGGCAGCCCTGGTGCCCTCTCCCCACGCCGTGCTCCGCCCCCGCTCCTCCCAGGGTCCCTGCAGATGCTGCTGACCTTGGTCACTGCGCTGGCAGGCGCCCCCAACCCCAATGGCCATCCCTTTGTCCCCGGCCAGATCCTGTGCCCACCATGTCTGAGGCTCTTTTGCTGGGTTCAGCACAACCTTCGAGCCCGACGGCGCCACCCTCTTCCCCGCATCCCCGGGCTGGGGGGTCTCCTCCTGTGCCTGGTGACTCTGTTGCCTCCCCAGGTCCGCCTGTGTCAGGGGACGCTCCTGGGATTCACCTGCCTGCGTCCTAGGCTCGGGGACACTGGCCCGGAGCTTTGCCTGTGTGTCACCAGCAGTAGGGGGCAGGTGTGCCTGTAGATGGGGAGGGCCCCGCTGGTGGGTGCCACCTACCCACCCCATGTCCACCTCCGCGGGAGGCACTGCGGGAAGCAGATGGTCAGGCTCCGCCCCACGGGGAAACCTGACGCCCTCCCTGCCCTTTGCCTGTGGGTTCTCAGGAGGCGACGGCGGGAGGCCAGGGCCATAGCTGGGGGACTCTGCCACGCTCCTTGCCTGTGGCCTAGGATGATCAGAAGCAGGAATTCCAGACTCTGTGCTGAAACCCAAAAGGTTTCCTTCCACAGCCACATCCTTTCTGCCTCCTACAGCTGCTGTATGTCTGCTGGCTGCTGATGTGTTTGAAATGTATAATCGGGCCGCCTCTGGGTGCCGGGCGAGGGCCGCAGCATCCTCCGGGTGGCGGGCGAGGGTCGCAATGTCCTCTGGGTGCTGGACGAGGGCCACGCCTCTCAGGAGGCTCCTCCCTGCTGCTCCACTCTTGGGCTCCAAGGATCCCCCAGGGGCCAGGAGGCCGTGGCTGTGAGGGTCTCGAGGGAGAGCCTCTCCTCTGGGGTGGCTTTCGGACAAGGCTCTGCTTCCCCACTGGCCCAGCGTCTCTGGCTCTCCCGCTGTGCGGTCTCCAGGGCTCTGGGTGCTGCCTGGCGCTGGTGCAGGCGTGGCGCGGCTCGCAACGCTCCCTGCAGCTGCCATCGCCCCACAGGCTTTCATACCTGGTTTGGGTGGTTCATTTAATGAGGACAGTGGGTTCTCGCGAACATCATGGCTGGTGATTTCCTCGGCAGCCTTCAGGGGCTGAGAAGACTCTATTAGCAGCGGCCTTCTGCATTCCTCCAGCGCACCGGGCACTGTCATGCCCATCGGGGTGACACCCTCAGGCCCCGTACGCCCCTTGGATGATGCCGCCAGTGACGTGGGGGCTCCTGTTGGGTTTCTCCCAGTCGGGGACGGCACTTGCTGGCTGCTGGAGGCATGGCTGGTGTTTCCCCTCAGAAGGTTTTGTGAGGCTGCAGGATCATTTGTTGCGGAGCCCTTCTTCTGCATTGATATTTCATTAGATTCCGGCAACGGATGCTTCACATCTCTGAGCTCAGAGGTCCTCTCTCCTGAAATATCGTCAGGATTCCTGGGACCGTGTGAATTCTCAAAGCTGCCTTTGTTTTCCTTCCCGCCAGCAGGATCTGTCTGGAGTCTCTGTGTCAGAAGTGTCTCTGGGACACTGTGGTCGGCGCCCACAGCCCCTCTTGCTGCTGCCAGACGCGGAGCTGCCCGTGGCCCCTGCGGCGAAGAGGCGCTGAGTCCCGCCTGCATCCCTGAAAGCTTGCTCAGTTCCACTGGGGCTCGGTGACCCCTTCTGTTCTCAGTCACGGTGGGAAATTCTGTGTGGGCATTTTCAACCACATTCTCTCCTCCACAAATACAAGGTTTGTTTTCACCACTTGACATATTTTGCAGCCTGGTGGGAGGGGCTGGCATTTCATGGACAACTGGAATTTGGACAGTTATCCGTGGAGGCTCCGTGGCAGGCTGTGTTCTCCGAGCAGCCTGGACCGATGGAGCGTTCAGGGGTGGGATGTGCTCCGGCACCTTCTGTTCTGGGAAATACTTCTGGGTGGCAAAGAGGGGGTCTCTCCCTGGGTCTGGGAAGCCTGCTCCTTCCCTTTCATCCTCTGAACTGCAAACAGTCATGGTGATTTCAGGGCCCTCCCCTGCACACTCGCCTGGGGGCCCAGGAGGCCACGTGAGCCTGGCTCCCCTCACCTCCTGGACGCCTCCTGCGGTGCTCTCTGCGGTGGGGTCTGCAGTCCCATCACCTCCGGCTGATCCGGTGCCCCAAGGGCTGGCCGGTCCCAGTGGGGATGATGCAGGCACAAGGCCAGGAAGGACTCCACCTGTGCAGGGAGCACAAGAGAAGGCCAGCGAGGGGACAGCGTGGCCGTCCCTCTGAGCCATCACCTGGGGTGTCACGGGCTTCGAGGGCCTTGGCTGTCTTTGGGGCTCCTCCTCCAGGGGCCCCTTTCCCACTGCTTTGTTCCCACTGGGCCCCGTCTCCCTGGCACTAGGGGGCACGCTGGCTTCTCCTCTGGGTGGACGCCTTGCCTCCGAGTGGCTGATTTTGGTGCAGTGGGACAGCCAGCTCCTGGGGCCACAGACGACGGTGGCGATGCTGAGGGCCGGCAGGGGCTCAGCCGTGCAGGCCAGAAAGCGGGCAGGGGGCATCTTGACGCAGGTGCTGGCCATGGTGGCCGTGTGCAGCACGCGCACCTCCGGCCGGTGCATCCTCTTCCTCTGCAGGTTCCTCTTCTTCCGCTCCTGCGTGTGCAGCCTCAGCGCACTGGCCTCGGAGCACAGGCAGCTGTTCTGCTCGAACTTCTCCCGCAGCTTGGACAGCACCGAGCTCTTGCCCATGATCTTCGGCAAGAGGCCCCTGGCGGCTTTGGGCCGCTCCACAGGGGGCTTCTCGCGTGCTTCTTTCTCCTTCGCCTCCTTCTCCTCGGCGGCCAAGAATATCTTCAGGATGTTTTTCACGGTGCTCTTCCCGGCCGGGTGGCCCCAGCGGGGCTTCTCGCTGAGGCAGGGCTTTGGGGCCGGCTCCTTGGTCTTCTCCAGGAGCTTGTTGATGGTGGCACCCACGAGGCCCCCACCCGGCCCCTGCTTGTCCTTGGAGATCAGCCGGCCCACCTCCCTGGTCCTCTTGAGGTAGCGCTCCCGGCCAGTGCCCAGGAACTTGGCCTGCAGGAGCTGGAAGCGCGTGGGCCGCTGGGTGGCCTCCTGGGTCTGGGGCTGGTGGCTGGGCCTGCTCCCCCCGGCCTCTGTCCCCGGGGGCCGGTCTGCGCGGCCCGTGACGTAGAGCAGCAGGCTGCTGAGGATGGAGTGGGCGGCCGGGTCACAGGCCAGCTTGCCCATCTTCTTCTTCAGGGTTTGGGCGTCCACAGACATGACGTCACTGCAGGTCTTGCTGCTCTTCCGGCTGCAGAGAAAAAGGAATCATCACCTACTTCATCATCATTTTTCTCCAAGATGACTCTATAGAACATTTATCATGGGGCAATCCCACCTTTTCAGGGGCCCCAAAAGTCTGGTAGGGAGAAAAAGAGATTAGGAGCCAGGAGCTGTGGCTTCTGGGCTGTCTCTGCTGTTAATTCGGGGTTGGCAGGGATGCCAAAGCTTTTCTGGGTCACTGTTTCCTGTTAAATGGCAGGAACTTCTGACACACGCTCCTCCTAAGGGCATTGAGGAGTTGACATTGAACAGTTTAGTGAAAGCGTTTGGAAAACCACTTTGCATATGCAACATATTAAAAGAAAATTTTAACAAACATACTTTGCTTGTACAGTAGGTAAAAAAGCACATATAAAGAAGTGTCTATTCTCTGTGTGGACTGTGTATGTCTCTACCTTTAAGTATGAAAGATAAAATTAACAGCATATTTAAATTCTGCCATGATCCCAGGGACCTGGGTCCCTACAGCAGAGACTGAAGATTCAGCAAACCGCTCAGGCTTGGGGTGGGCGGAGAAGGCAGAAAGAGTTTCCTCACAAGCTCCTGGGCAGGAACCAGCACTGCAGTGGGCAGTGCCCACCAGGAGCAGGGGAGGAGGGGGCTGCAGAGAGGAAGGGAGGAGGGGGCTGCAGAGAGGAGGGAAAGATGGGGCTACTGAAAGGAGGGGAGGAGCGGGTTGCAGAGAGGAGGGGAGGTTGCAGAGAGGGAGGAAAGAGGGGGCTGCAGAGAGGAGGGAGGAGGGCTGGGATCACTTGGCTGGGTCTCCGGAACCCCTTTCAAAATGGCTTAGAGGAGCCACTGAGGCTGGGGGCTGCCGCCCTTTCCCAGTGAGATGTTTTTCTGCAGGTTCACCAGGGATTCCTTCCCACCAGCCCAGCTTTCAAAGAGACGGGACCAAATGGGTCTTGGCTGGAGAGACAGGGTCTTTGTGATTTGATGGTGTTTTCTGAGCCTGGGTCCGGGGTAAGTTCTGCTCCTGAGCAGCCGTGACCACAGGAGCAAAGCTGGAAGGTCTCCCCATCTGTGGCAGGGGGTGGAGCCGTCTCTGACCTCCCCAGATGATAATTTTGGGTAGACGCACCCAGAATCTTAGCTGTCACACCTGTTAGTCATTCATTCTAAGGAGATCATCAGGGATGAGGAACAAAGACTCGAGTATTACAGGAAAAGTCGCCTTCATGGTGCCGTTTATAATGTTGAAAAATCTAGAGCATCCTCGATGTCCAACTCCAGGGCGGCCGCACAATGGCACGTCCACATTTGTGGGAGAAGAGTCGGTGGCCGGATGCGGCTGGTGACGTGGTGCCAAGTGAAAAGCTCACTCTAACCCGATTGTTTTTAAGAAGCTGAGGCCGGGCGCCGTGGCTCACGCCTGTAATCTCAGCGTGATTTGGGAGGCCGAGGCTGGCAGATCACGAGGTCAGGAGATCGAGACCATCCTGGATAACACGGTGAAACCCCGTCTCTACTAAAGATATAAAAAAAAATCAGCCGGGCGTGGTGGCGGGCGCCTGTAGTCCCAGCTACTTGGGAGGCTGAGGCAGGCGAATGGCGTGAACCCAGGAGGCAGAGCTTGCAGTGAGCCGAGATCGCACCACTGCACTCCAGCCTGAGCGACAGAGCGAGACTCCGTCTCAAAAAAAAAAAAAAAAAAAAGGAAGAAGCTGAGCAGGCTGAAAAGAGACCGGAAGGAAATGTGTGAACATACTTCTCTTTTTGTGTTTGTCTGCATTTTTCCAAAAGAGAGAGCTCTGTTTTGAAGCCATGGATGGATTTCCTTGTTAAAAGCTGTTGCCAAGCAGCCCTGATGGAGGAGGTGACAGCGGCTGACCACATGACCACGTAGCCGTGTTGCCGTGGGCACGCGATGACCCAGGGCCAGGACGGACCCCACACGGAGGAGTGGCAGGGCCGCAGATGGAACACAGGACTCCGCTTCCCCCACCTTCCCGAGACGCCTCCCTCGCCCGGTTCAGTGAGTTCACGTGGAGAGAGTGTGCCGTTCGCCCCCAAACCCCGGTGGGCATCAGTGGATCAAGAGGCCTTGCTGAGACCCGGATTTTGGGGCCGCACCACCAACGCCTCTGATCCACGGTCTGGGGAGGGGCCTGGGAATCTGCATTTTAACGAGTCCCTGGTGATTCCGAGGCCGCTGGTCCGGGGACCCCACTCGGAACCACTGAGGCAGACGGCGCTCCTTCCAAACCTGCCAAGGATGAGACATTTACACGAAAACTAAACTCGGAACCTGCTGCAAGGCCACAGTGTGCTGCGAGCTGGGACGACTGTAAAAATAAACTAATCCAAGGAGCAGCTGTGCGTCCTGCTGCCAGGCACGCCCTCGTTCTGAGTCATTGGAGCCCACCCAGGAAGGAGCCGCTGTGTCCCTATGGCTGGTAAAGTGATCCCGGGCGGCCCCAGAACTGCCCCAGCCAGAGGCCGCCCACACCCCCCTGAACCCAGAGTCGACAGGCGCACCCTCAACTGCGCCGTGGGGATGGGGAGGGCAGAGGAGCAGGCCGACCTCGGGGTTGGGGGACCAGCCTGGGGGCATTGTGCTCCCTCTGAAGGCTGCACCCCCAGCGAAGGGTCAGCGGCCCTACCTGCCTTCCGCCGGGCGTCTCTGGACACGTCCCCTCTGCTATGACTTGGCGGCCCGTGGAGGGCTGCGCTCCCTTCACCCCAGGAGGCTGAACTTCTCAGAGCCTGTCACACGTTTTGTCCCCGCTCTGGGCATTTCAGTTGTCTTAATGACTTTGCAGGTGAGTCATTCGGATGACTGAACCATGCTGACTGCTTGTGGTGGGGACATTCTGATCATCTGAATAAAGGCCACCAGGCTCAGCCACGTGTGACGTCAATCCGCCCCTTCCCACATCCCTCGCTGATGGCTTCTGAGCCCCACCGTCCAAATAGAAAGATGAAAAACAGAGCTGGAATTAAACCAGCTCATCCTCCTGCCTTGTTAGGAGGCGAGCTTGGATGAAGAGAGTAATGGAGCTCCAGGCTGATTTCTAAATTCCCATTGCCCTGGCCTCAGGTGGTGGGCAGCTTGGTGACGGGACCACTCCCCACACTCGGAGCCCCTTGTCGAGGCTGAGCGTCTGTTCTGGGTGGTGGGGCCATGTCAGTGGATCCTCATAGGTTGGACTAGCTGCATGTCCTCCTTATGAGTCATAGTGGCTCAAAATCCAGTTTAGCTCTTCCACCGCACATCTAAGTCTGTAACCACTTATGAGGTCAGCGTGTCATCAAGACCTGGCCAGCAACCAGCGGTGAGCGTGGAGGACGTACTTGGCCACCCGGTCCAGCTCTTCAGCTGTCACAGCCGGCTTTCACCCCGCAGCGTGATCATCTGAGACACGTTTTCACTCACAGAGATCAGGATGCTCTTCTGGGTTTATTGGCTGAGGATTAGGGGATTCGGCCAGAGCTACAAAGTCCTCTTTGGGGTGAGCCCCGCCTTGCTGAGGTGTCCTCAGCCATGGACCTGTGGCTGTCGGAGGCGTCCGCGGTTCAGGATGACGCCCTTGGCGGGAGCGAGAGGGGTTTCCACAGCCCCCTTCACAGAGCCTTTGTGTTTTGCAATCATCATTAACCAAGTTCCTCCCTGGGTCTGGCCTGGCCACTCCCCTGCTCCCTGCTGTCCTGCCATTCCCCTGGGCTGCCCCTTCTCGTCACAAAGTCCTGCGCCCACCGCCCACTATTGCGCTCACCCTCTCTGGTCCCCGCCCCTCGTGGTAGCCCCAGAGGTGCTGCTGTCTTTGGGTTCCTTGAACCTGCGGGTGGTTCCTTCTTCCGGGGTCTACTCCCGGCTCAGCATGTTCTGTGCTCTGGGTTTCACTGGTTGGGGGATTCTGGGAGCCCCCAGCTCAGCGTGTGCTGCTGCTGCTGGCACATCCCGGGTGACTACTGTCACAGCACTATAATTTGCTTTTTTTTTGGGACGGAGTCTTGCTCTGTCGCCCAGGCTGGACTGCAGTGGCGCGATCTCGACTCACTGCAAGCTCCGCCTCCCAGGTTCACAGCATTCTCCTGCCTCAGCCTCCCGAGTAGCTGGGACTACAGGCGCCCGCCACCACGCCCGGCTAATTTTTTGTATTTTTTAGTAGAGACGGGGTTTCACCATGTTAGCCAGGATGGTCTCGATCTCCTGACCTCGTGATCCGCCTGCCTCGGCCTCCCAAAGTGCTGGGATGACAGGCGTGAGCCACCGCGCCCAGCCACAGCTCTATAATTTTCTAAGATCCGAGTGCACTTTTCAACAAGTCACCCCTGTTTCTGCCCAGCTCCCCACTAGAGCAGAGCCCCTGCATGGGCGGGACCCCTGTTGGTTCTGGTCTCTACTTTCCCGAGTCCAGAGCAGCGTTGGGCACAGCCGGGCGGGCTGGCAGAAGACCCGTGGGTGGCGAACAGCCCCCGTGGAGGCTCGGTTCACCCACCGCCAACAGTGCCCCGGAGGCTCAGTTCACCCACCGCCAACAGTGCCCCGCGGAGCTCGGTTCACCCACCGCCAACAGCGCCCCGCAGAACTCGGTTCACCCACCGCCAACAGCACCCCGCAGAACTCGGTTCACCCACCGCCAACAGCGCCCCGCAGAGCTCGGTTCACCCACCGCCAACAGCGCCCCGCAGAGCTCGGTTCACCCACCGCCAACAGCACCCCGCAGAACTCGGTTCACCCACCGCCAACAGTGCCCCGCAGAGCTCGGTTCACCCACCGCCAACAGCGCCCCGCAGAGCTCGGTTCACCCACCGCCAACAGCGCCCCGCAGAGCTCGGTTCACCCACCGCCAACAGCGCCCCGCAGAGCTCGGTTCACCCACCGCCAACAGCGCCCCGCAGAGCTCGGTTCACCCACCGCCAACAGCTCCTCGCAGAGCTCGGTTCACCCACCGCCAACAGCGCCTCGCAGAACTCGGTTCACCCACTGCACAACCCTGTTTCTCTCCTGGCCACCCCCTTTTCTGCCAGCTCCAGCCTCCACCCTGTTTGTCCACTCCACGCCCAACCTCGCTGTGCCCTTCAGCCTGGAACAGCCTCGCTGCCTCCCTGACGAGCTCCTATTCATCCTTCACAACCCGGCTCAGATGCCCCCACCTCAGGGAGCCTTTCCCAGAGGCCCAGCTCTGTGAGCCCCACGGTGACCCACACAGACCTCTATGTCCCCACAAAGGGGAACAGCGTGGACGCCAGGAACGCCCCCAAGTCATGGACTGAGAGGGGGGCCCAGGACTTTCGGCGACTCCCGCGTGGGGCTCTGCGTGTCTCCCGAGGCGCCCTGTGATCGGGGCCTTCACTTGCTGTGAAGGTGGGCCTCTCGCCCTTTCCCACCCCTGCTGCACACCTTGCTGCTGAGTGAACGCGTCCTCATGCGCTGGAGCCAGTGCTGCCCCTTGGGCCGTCAGCCCCACCCCTCAAAGCCTCCTGAAAAGGCCCCCGGTCAGAGCTGCGCTGGCGGAGTCTGGGCTGCCCTGTGTGACCGCTGCCCGCCCAGCAGTGCGGGGCGAGACCGGGCCTCCCTCAGCGTCCCCTCAGCACTTGGACAAGCTGCAGAACCCACAGGGAATGGAATGTCTTCCTCCCAGGGGCCAATATAAACAGCAGGGTGCCCGGCTTTCCTAATTTAGTTGTTGGTGGCTCTGGCCAGCCAGAGAGGTCGTTTGAAAATACAATGAGACTAGAGGCCATCACAGCGCAGGAGACACACCCGGGCCCACCATGATATGGACAGCAGCCCCTGTTGGCAGGTTCTTTGCTGGGGACTTTCTGGCCAGCAGGGCCTGGAGGTCACTGTTCTGCCCAGTCAGTGGCTGTGCTGGGCTCACCCGAGCCTGGCCCTGCGGCAGGGAACACCCTCAGCCGCAGTTTCCTCCTCTGAGAGAAGGGCAGGGCCGGTTTCACGTGGCAGCTGGGCCTGCAACTGTCTGGCTGTTCCAGGAGCCTGCTCAGAACACGGACCAGCCTCAGCCATGTCACACACATCCCTGTGCCAGCCTCCACATGTTTCTGACAGGGACACTTGGATGCCCTCGGCCAACAGCGCTTAGAAAACATGTCCTGGGCCTCCATCAACACCAGAGGCCTGCACTGCCATTTCCTGCCCCTCTGCGGATGAGCCTGGAGCCGCCCCCCCTTCCTCCCCTTGGCAGATTGGCCCCCACCCTCCCTCCCTCAGTCCCCAGCCTCCCTGCCCTCTGCGGCTCAGCCCCCGGCTTCCCTCCCCTCTACAGCTCAGTCCCGGCCTCCCCGATATGCTCTCAGGGCACTACAGGCCTGTCTGGGGGCACACATCCTGGCTGTGGCTCCATCTGTGCCTGTGGAACTGCTCTTGTCGCTGTGGTGCCAATGCTCCTCTTCCAGGGGCAGGGCCACGTGCCTCTGCACATCTCCCTGAGTGTGCTGAGCAGGGGTCTTCTGTTTTCTGTTTTTTTTTTTTTTTAGATGGAGTCTTTCTCTGTCACTCAGGCTGGAGTGCAATGGCGTGATCTCGGCTCACTGCAAGCTCCGCCTCCCGGGTTCAAGCCATTCTCCTGCCTCAGCCTCCCAAGTAGCTGGGATTACAGGGGCCCGCCACCACGCCCAGCTAATTTTTGTATTTTTTTAGAGATGAGGTTTCACCATGTTGGCTAGGCTGGTTTCGAACTCCTGACCTCATGATCCATGCCCCTCAGCCTCCCAAAGTGCTGGGATTACAGGCATGAGCCACCATGCCCAGCTCAGCCTCTTCTGTTTTTATGGCTGCTTGTTCTGTGCCCATTTTCCCCTGAAGCCATGAAGATCAGGGAGGGCGACACCTCCCTAGGTAGCCAGCGCCCAGCAACCCCCTGGGGCAGGTGAGGAGAGGGGAGGGGCCGTTTGGCAGCTGCGGTGGCAGAGTCCCTTCCACAGCTCATGGACAGAGACACTGGGGCTGCACCTTTGGGCTCCTGGGGTTCTTGCTGGTCAGCCTAGAGGGACGAGAGCCCTTCTGGAGACGCGGACCTGCCCGTGTCCGGGTGGGGCAGGGTGAGAAACGCCTGCCCGCGATGTGGTCCCCAAGCAGAGTGTGGACCTGGAAAGGGTTTAACCAAAGGCATTGAATAAGTGGCCTCCATGGCCCAGCTGCTCTACTGATGACAGGAAATGTTCTGCCCAGAGGCCAGCCAGGCGTGGGCTCAGTGGCCGGCTCCAGGCGACCAGGCAGGGTCCACCGAATTAGTGTTATAAAAAGAGAAGGGCTGGGTGCGGTGGCTCATGCCTGTAATCCCAGCACTTTGGGAGGCCGAGGCAGGCGGATCACGAGGTCAGGAGTTCGAGGCCAGTCTGGCCAACAGGGTGAAACCGCAACTCTACTAAAAACACAAAAATTAGCTGGGCACAGTGGTGTGTACCTGTAGTCCCAGCTACTCAGGAGGCTAAGGCAGGAGAATCACTTGAACCCAGGAAGCAGAGGTTGCAGTGAGCTGAGATCGTGCCACTTCACTCCAGCCTGGGTGACAGAGTGAGACTCCATCTCAAAAAAAAAAAAAAAAAAAAAGAGAGAGAGAGAGAAGCAAGCTCGCCTCCTTAGTAGTTTTTTTAAAATTGGTTTTAAATAACACAGATCCCTTTAATTTGAGGCTCCTAACATTTTACAAATAAATCTATACTTGATCTTAGCCCAAAGGCTGAGGAGAGATTACTAAAGAATCTAATATTAGATTTATGAAAAAGAAAATCTAACCCCAAGGGATGAGTATTTTCTAAAAATCCTGGAAGGCCAGGGGCCCGGCTGGGATCCCGTGGGGTGGCCGAGAGTGGCCCCCAGGCGGCGGCAGAGCTGATCTGGCCAATCCCCTCCCCAGCAGCTTCTGAGCATCATTGCAACGGTCACCGTCTATCTAGTAAAGCCGAGAACAAGTGTTTGCTAACTGCTCCCTGTTGATTTTTTGTAACTAGGTGGGGAATAGCTCAGACTGTACTAATGAATCAGCTGGAGAACCTGAGTATCTGTATTTCCTGGAAATAAATCTGGCTAATGGTCGATGTGGACTTTTGGGCTAGGATACCCCAAGGCCTTGACCTGAACATCTTTTTGTGACCTACATAAGATCTTATATGTGACTGACTTAGCTGGGACCCACAAAGGGGCGTCTGGTAAACCGGCAGTGACCAACGAAGGGATGTCTAGTCGGCCGGCTGTGACTGATAATGGGGACACTGTCCATCCCAGGCTGACTGAGGCCATAAGCGCTGGATGCTCTCCCAGGCCTGAGACATGAGTAAGTCAGCAGAGGGTTCCAGGGATGCTTGCCTGCCGCCTAATTACAGCAACTGCCTAGGGTCCCTCAGTACCTGTGGGACATACAGGGTATCGGGTTAGTGAGCTTCTGTCACCAATTTGTGCTACAAACATATAGATTATAAAGGAAACCGATGAAGCAGTAGGCACAATTTCTAACACATAATAAAAACACAATATAGTATATTATATTGCAACAGGATGCTGTTATGTTGGATAATAGCGTTATTGAAGGTTAAATTCCGATTTTGAATAAGCAAACAGTGGTTACAGAAGAGCCTGTCTTTTCTGAGGAATTTCATCTGAAATATTTATGGTGAGAGGATATAGGGTCGGCAGGTTATTCTCAAATGTTTCAGAAACAATTGTGTGTGCGTGCTCATATGTGCGAGGGTGTGCGTGCGAATGCACGAGTGTGTGCAGTGAGAGATGAGGGAAAATATTAACGGCTGCTGATCCTGGGCAAAGGGGCGTGGGAGTTGTCGGAGCTAGTTTTTTTGAAACAAACTTAAAAGTGAACCATTAAGATAGGAGAGAGAGACAGCAAAGCTGCGTCATGACAGGTGTCATTCAAGGACCGTGACAGCACAGACGGCTGCTGGGAGAGGCGATGCTTTGCGGAACCCCGGATGCACCAGCACCCCACTGGCAGGGCCCCGGGGACTCTGTGCTCTCTGGTTTCCTGGTGTGTGGGACAAGACAAGGCTGTCCCCCCAATCTGCAGGCTGGTCATGGTCCCCGCCGGCACCACCAGGGCCCCAGGTCGTGCAGCCTGTCTTGCCCGAGGGAGAGCCAGAGTGGGGGGTCCTGGGCGATTGCCCTTCTCAGGGTACAAGGAGGATGGGGAAGGCAGGGAGATGCTGCCCACAGGGCCACACGATGGTTCAGACCCTGGGGACCGCCCCTGTGGCCATCAGACAGAACGTTCGCGATGTGTGTGGTGCCAGACACAGAGTGCCCCAGATCAGGCGCAGTCCCTGCCTTTGTCTGTCTGTCCCAGATCAGGCGCGGTCCCTGCCTTTGTCTGTCTGTCCCAGATCAGGCGCTATCCCTGCCTTTGTCTGTCTCAGCCCTTGTTTGCTGACCAGCAGCCGCTGCTCGGGGTGTGGCACACGAATCCCGAGACGGTCTCAGGCTGTTCTTTGAGACTCATGTGAATGCTTTTCCCGCAACAGGCTAAGTGAGCTGATAACTTATTTCTGTGTGTTAACTGGAAATGCGTTTACACACCAGGGATTTTAACCAGGGAAGCTTCTGTGTGTTAACTGGAAATGCGTTTACACACGAGGGATTTTTACCAGGGGAGCTGCAGTGCCTGCACTGAGATTCCAGTTATTTCCAACCTAATGGGACCTTTGGAATGCATTTCAATGATGGAGTTTTTAAAGCACAGATGTTTGGATTGAACATCAGTTTGGGTATTACCAATTTTATCAGCTGATATTTTATTAATTTTTATACCCACAGCCAAAACAGGTGGCATTGGCTTCTGGCAGCTTGGGCCTGAGGTTATGCAATCGCCAGGGTTTGCTGAGGGCTGTGGTGGTGGTGAGGTCTTCCAGAATTAGGGGAAGGGGAGAAGGCTTGAGTGTGGTTTTCGGATGCGTCGGGTTTAAAAGCTACTCTGTGCTCATGAACTGCAGCTCTGGGAGAAATACTCAGACCCCCTGAATCTTAGTTTCCTTGTCTACAAAATGGGGGTAGTAAAAAGGGCCCCGCTTCTAGTGGAGCATGGAATAGACAGGGGAAATAACATTCAAATGCCACCTGCTGCATGGCTGGCCATTAGGGAGCCTGCAGCAGCATGGTTCTCGGTCTGACGGGGGCTGGGCTTCGCCACTTCCTCGGCTGGGTGCTCTGAGCGGCTGCCCTGCCCACTCAAGTCACCGAGCCTCCCTGGATCCGCTTCCTCCAACGTGGGAAAGGAAGGACAGCTCTGCCATGGCTTTCAGATATGAAAACACTGGACACAATAATTTTAAATATAAATGCAAAATCTCTAATCAAAGAGTTTGGGAAAACGGATTCATCTAAATCAGCCTGAAGTCTAAACATGTGTGTGTTACTGACATGCTCATATTCCCACATGGCACATGTTCCTAGTGTGTGACTTCTGTGTGGTGTGTTCATGAGGACACACATGTCCTTTCTCAGCCACGATTGGAACTCTCCATCCCAAGTCCTGGCTTCAGAGCTCACATCCGTGGGCCTGAGAGAAAGGTGTCTGCCAATAGCTTCAGGCTGAGAATGGGCATATTCTGGACCCCACCTTCCTCTGAAGCACCCTTGTCTGCCATCTGGGAGTGAGAGGCACTCATCCTCCTGCCTGCCCCTTCCTGGTGCCTGATGTCTTGCAAGAGATGCGGATCCACAGGGATGTGCAACACTGATGCTCCCAGAGAAGAACCCCTGGGGAGCTACACCTTGCTGGGCCTAAGAGGTTGTATAATGTGCCCTCTTTTCCTTCCCTCCCTCCCTCCCTCCCTTCCTCCCTCCCTTCCTTCCTTTCTTCCCCTTCCCCTCCCCTTCCCTTCCTTCTTCTCCTTCCTTCACTCCCTCCTTCCTTCCTTCTTCCCTCCCTCCCTTTCTTTTTTCTTTCTTTCTTTTTTTTTTCAGGGTCTTACTGTGTTACCCAGTCTGGAGTACAGTGATGTGATCTCACCTCACGGCAACCTCAACCTCTCAGGCTCTGGCAATCCTCCCACCTCAGTCTCCCAAGGAGCTGGGACTACAGGCGCCAACACCATACCCAGCTAATTTTTGTATTTTTTTTTTTTTTTTTGTAGAGATGGGGTTTTGCCATGTTGCCCAGGCTGGTCTCAAACTCCTAAGCTCAAGCGATCCTCCCGCCTCAGCCTCCCAAAGTGCTGGGATTACAAGCCTGAGCCACCTGGCCACACCTTATTTCATAAGAATGTCTTGGAGAAAGAAAAATAAAAACTCCATCACTTAAACTATGGACACCATAAAATATAAGATGCACCACAATTTCAGAAAAATTAAATACAAAAATGAATCCTAGAATGAAATACAGCATCGCTGCGCTGTAGGGAGAGACTAAGTCCTTTTCAGAAGAGCTGGGGAGCAACACTGGAAGTCGCCATAAGAGCAGGTGTTTGCAAATGCCACTCACGCGATGGAAACCACTGAGAGCCACATCCATGGGGTATTTGAATTATGGCACAGGAGTACAATGGAATACTAGGCAGCAGTTAAAAAGGCGCAGATTGGTCTATGTATGGTGATACAGATAATATTTTAAAACCTAGTTTAATGAAAACAGCCAAAAGCAAACCATGACATATACCATGCTTCCTGTTTGGGGAAAGAAATAGTGTGTGTGGCATAGCACACACATGCAGGTGTGTCTCACATACAGGTGGACAGCCAGGGTGTGTGTGTGGAGGAGGCTCCTGGGAGGAGAGCATGGCCTTGTTATCTCACATAAGCAGGTGTGTCTCACACAGGCACACAGCTCGGGGGGTGTGTGAGGAGGCTCCTGGAAGGAGGCTTAGGCGACCGTGACCGTGTTATCTGGGTGGTTGGAAGCAGCTTTCCCCACACGCCGCCTTTAACAGCATTTGGATTCGCGAAGCTGTGCACACGTCATTTTTATCGCAAAAATGAAACCTGCCGGTGCCGTTTTAAACAGCAGAGTTGGCTCAGTGTCCCCTCAGTGCTTTCTTTGGCTTTTTCTTTTCAACTTTTGGGTGTCTCTGTAACAGGAAAGTGAAGCAAGGCACTGCCAGCTTTTGTTTACGATGCTTGTGGATTTTGTGTTTGTGTGTTTTAATCTATAATCAGTTTGTAAATAGACTCACTTTCTGATTCTCACGGAGGGGTTTGATTTGCGGATGGAGACCGAGTCCACCCTGTTTGAATGCAGCCGCGCCCTGCTCATGCGAGCTGGCCTTCTCTTCCATACAGCAGGGTGGAGAGGGAAGCCCACTTTCCGGTAAGCGGGCAAAACAGGTACTACGACCGTGTTACTTATGCTAGCAACAGTTCCGACTTACCTTAATTGGGTTTCTTTTCCTGAAAGGTAATTCTCAGTTAATTTCCCCACACCCACGGGTGCTGGGACCACACTCCATGGACGTGTGTGACGTGAGGCCCTTCGCCCCCGTGTGCCTGTCTCTCTGGTTCTTCTGACTTAAAGCACCAGTAGCAGCACAGTTAGTCCAGTTATTCGGAAGCTCAGCACGGAGCCACATTGCTGCAGCATAGAAGGCCACGGATTCCTCCATCAGCATGGACTACACTTCCCACAAAACGAACGGGGCATCTCTATGGAAAAAGCAAAGCGTGTCCCTATCCCTGGGACACCTCTACCCCTGGGACACACCTAGCCCCAGGACCCGCCCACCCCCGGGACCCGCTCACCCCGGGACACCACTACCCCTGGGACATGCCCACCCCTGGGACAACCCTACCCCCCCCGACACGCCCTGGGACACGCCCACCCCCCAGGACCGCCAACCCCTGGGACATGCCTACCCCTGGGACACCCCTACCCCCCGCCAACATGCCTACCCTGGGACATCCCTACCCCCAGGACATGCCTATCCCCAGGACATCCCTACCCCCAGGACATGCCTATCCCCAGGACAGACCCACCCCCGGGACACGCACATCCCCAGGACAGACCCACCCCCAGGACACGCCTACCCCTGGGACACCCCTACCCCCGGGACACGCCCACCCCCAGGACACCTCTACCCCCGGGACACGCCCACCCCAGGGACACGCCCACCCCGGGACACCTCTACCCCCGGGACACGCCCACTCCCGGGACACGCCCACCCCGGGACACGCCCACCCCCGGGACACGCCCACTCCCGGGACACCTCTACCCCTGGGACACGCCCACCCCCGGGACTTGCCCACCCCCAGAACACGTCTACCCCTGGGGACACCCCCATCCCTGGGACACGCCCATCCCCGGGACATGCCTACCCCCAGGACACCTCTACCCCTGGGACACGCCTGCTCCTTGCACTGAATGAATGCAGGGGTCATTTCCATCAAGGGGAGGCGGCCGGGGAGTGAGGCGCCTGGAAGTGGTTGGCGGGGCTGGCCCGGGAAGCCTGGACCCAATGCACCTGGGAGCTGGGAGTCCGTGGCCCCCACCTGTGAAGTCCACCAGCCTCTCTTGCCAGTCCACTCACACAGGAATCCTAAGTGGGAGCATAAAGACATCACCACTTTCCCCTTTCAAATCATCCCATAGAAGAAGACGCCCGTGGGGGTAGGGCTTGTATTTTGGATGCCCACAGAGATTCCAACCAACCAGGCTTTCTGCCCCAGTGCCTTCTCTCCCTGAGGCTGGGGCTTCCTCTGGGATTCCAACTCTGCCCAGAGGCGAGCCCTTTAATGAAATCACAACAAAAAGAGAGGCCCTAGCCAAGCGGCCAAGCACAGCGGTAAACATCAGTCAACTGCTGTTTTATTCACACCAGATGCTGCATGGAAAAATCACGTCCAAATTTATTTTAAACAAGAGCAAGTGGTCTCTTTTCCAAGACTCTCTGAGAGAGAACCTCATCACAGGGACAGCGCTTCCTCGTCAGCGAGCCCGATGGGGCAGGCGCGGAAGGGAAAGGCCTTCTCTGCATTTGGACTTGGCCCACTAAGGCAGACCACAGAGAGACGCCGGAGCTGGCAGGAGGCCATTTATGTTCTGGTTTTCTCCGTGAGTTGTTTCAAAAAGGGATTGATCTTAAAATCTAGTGTGATTAAAAAGGTGGGTGGGGTTAAGAGCAAAATATGCTGCTATATGTGTCCCGCAGGCCCCAGTGTGGACTGTTTCTCTGTCCAGGAACACACGACCCACTGTGGACATGGGAGGGTGGGGGGTGGGGGGAGGTGCATTGGCCCTCACGGGGAAACGCATGCCTGGAGGCAGAGGCAGGACAGAGGGTCTGCAGCGGGGGGGCCTGCTGGAGGCCACCACCGCAGTTAGTGTTGTTGAAGTGAGTGAGTAAACAGCATTAGCTCTGCGACAGAATAAAATACAGCGCCTGTCCAGGAGACTGCGGGTGAGTGCCACGCATGGAGGTCCAAGTGCGGCAAATCTACGCAGTGTCAATGTTGATGGTGGAGGACGGAAAATATTCTCGCAGGACAAACAATGTATTTTATGCAACAGTTAGGATTCTGAAATTGGAAACAGAGAGTTAGATGTGGCCAGTCAGGCACAGACCGCAGTGGAGCCTCACAGAGACACCCTCACCCAGGGGCTGCGAGAGGGCCCTACGGGCCCCGGGGTGGAATCGGCTCTCTAGGGGGAAAGTGGCAGAAATGGCTTTACTTCTCCTCTGTGGACAGGCGGTAGAGAGCCGCGCCCAGGTCCTCCAGCTTCTCCTTGTCCTCCAGGTCCTGGTACAAGCCTTTGGGAACGAGGTCCAGGCCGTACAGCAACCCGAACAGGCAGCCTGCAATGGTGCCCGTGGCCGCGCTCTCCCCTGAAACGCAAAGGCAGCAGTTGCAGTGGGCTCCACCTGACCAGGGCCTCTGCAAGACCCCTGGGGCTGGCCGCCCCTAAGGTGGGCCAAACCCCAATTCTGCTGGGGGCAGCTGATAAAAGGGACAGGCAGGCCAGCGCGGTGGCTCACGCCTGTCATCCCAGCTACACAGGCGGCTGAGATGGGAGAATCTCTTGAACCCGGGAGGCAGAGGTGGCAACGAGCCGAGATTGCCTCTCTGCACTCCAGCCGGAGTGACAGAGTGAGATCCTGTCTCAAAAAAAAAACAACAAACCCAAAAACAAACAGGAGGGGGACAGGCGCTTCCCTTCTCCCTCCCTGGGGCAGGCATCTGTGTGAAGCGGTGTTTCAGCACTAAGAGTCAGTGAGGTGCCAGGAAGGTGCAGAAGGAAGGCAGAGGGAGGGGAGCCCGAGGCCGCATGGTCCCACCCTTGAGCTGGGGTCACGGAGGAAACCCCTCCAGGGGCTGAGCCGGCTCTGTGCAGAGGCTTCCTGACCAAACGGGGCCACATTTGTGTTTTCCCAGCTCATGTCTGTGGTCAAGCTCAGCTCCAAGCCTCACTGAAGGGAGGCAATTTCAGCCAGTCTCACAGAACCATAACAGCTGCTCCCACAAGGCACAGGGTTGACCTTACGGGTAGGAGCTGCCTGGAGCTGCCACAGCCACTCTGCTGGGCTTCCTCCTCTCCCTCCATGGCCAGAGACGGCCAGGGCGGCACAGAGCCAGCACGGATGGAGCAGGATGCGAGCCCAGGACCTAACTCCAGGCCACAGTCTGCGACTTTGCACAGAGGCTGCAGAGCAAAGGACAAGATGACGGTGACCTTGGAATGGAACCCTGTGAAGGTGGCCAGCCTGAGGCAGCAGTGGCAAGGGCAGAAGCCCCCACACCCCTACACCCCACCTATTCTAAGGCTGCACTGGCCTCCAGGCTCGTGGACCAGGTGAGAGACTCTTGGTCTGCTGGAGCTCACAGCAGGCACCTGCAGCTGCACCTGTATCCTGTAATGTCCTCACATGAGCACGCTTAGGTCAGCAGGTATACCCTGGAGCCTGTGCCCTCCCAAAGTGGGTTCCAGAAAGGAAGAGATGGACGCACATGCTGGAGCTCAGGAGGTGGCCCCTGAATGCCTGCAGTCCTAGGACACTCCGAGGGGGTGCTTCAGAAGAAGGGTGCTACCCTCCAGGAAGCCACGGCCATTAAGGAACATCTCACCTCCATGAAACATGGCCCGGTGACACAGCTCAGTCCAGCTGTTTCCTGCTGCAAGGAGGGCGTCATAGGCTATCATGGGGGCATCGTGGCCTCGTCTTCCCCCTCGACCTTCCGAGCTCCACTTCCTGTAGGTCTGACAAGAGAGCCGTGGGTCGGGGCGTGTGCCCAAGTGGAGCCACTTCTGGGTATATTACAGCACAAGCTTTCTGGGCCCCTCCTAGTGAACTGCCATTTCATCCATCCACCCTTTTCTTTTTGAGATGAATCTGGCTCTGTCCCCCAGGTTGGAGTGCAATGATACAATCTCAGCTCACTGCAACCTCCACCTCCCGGGTTCAAGCGATTCTCCTGCCTCAGCCTCCCGAGTAGTTGGGATTACAGGCGTACACCAGCACACGTGGCTAATTTTTTGTATTTTTAGTAGAGATGGGGTTAGCCACCCACCCATCCATTCACCATCCATTCATCTATCCACCCATCCATTCATCCATTTACCCACACATTTACCTACCCATCCATTCACCCACGCTTCTACCTACCTGCCCTTCCATCCACCTACCCAACCACCCATCCATATACCCACCCACCCACCCATGCACCCATCCATTCACCTGTCCACCCATCCATCCACCCATCTATTCATCCATTCACCCACCCATTTACTTACCCATCCATTCACGCACCCTTCCACCCACCCATCATCCAAAATCCATCTATCCATCCATCTATCCATCCATCCATTCACCTACCCACCCACCCATCCATCCACTTGCTATGCACTTATTGAGCACCACTGGTGTGCCAGACATTGCCCCAGTGCCAGGACAAGGCTTACCTTTTCCCTCTCTTCTGCATCATAATTGTCGGGGAAGATGGCTTTATTTTCTGAGTCTTTACTGATTTTCCTCTCCTCCAAATAAAATTGCCATTTAGCTTCAAAGTAAAACCAGTGCTCCTGGTATTCTAAACATAAAGAACAAGGGGAGCTGAACACAATGGCATCCATGGAGTGGGGCGGGTGCAGGGAGTTGGGGGTGGGGAGGGTGGGGGCGTGTGTGTGGCGGGGAAGTGGCAATGCCCCCTCTACCCAGCTGCAGGCATGTGGAGAAGCCGAGCACCTGTCCTGGAGTAAACAACTGAGAGACTGTCCAGAATTACCAACATGCTGACATTTGTAGCTGCTTTCTTTCTTTCTTTTTTTCCTGAGACGAAGTCTCCCTCTCGTCCCCCAGGCTGGAGTGCAGTGGCGTGATCTCGGCTCACTGCAACCTCTGCCTCCCGAGTAGCTGGGATTACAGCTGCCCACCACCACACCCGGCTAATTTTTGTATTTTTAGTAGAGACGAGGTTTCACCATGTTAGTCAGGCTGATCTCGAACTCCTGACCTCAGGTGATCCACCTGCCTTGGCCTCCCAACGTGTTGGGATTACAGGCGTGAGCCACCATGCCCGGCCTCTTTTTTCTTTCTTTTTTTTTTTTTTGAGACGGAGTCTCTCTCTGTTGCCCAGGCTGGAGTGCAGTGGCACCATCTTGGCACACTGCAACCTCCGCTTCCTGGGTTCAAGCGATTCTCCTGCCTCAGCCTCCTGAGTAGCTGCAACTACAGGCACCCACCACCACGCCCGGCTAATTTTTGTATTTTTAGTAGAGATGGGGTTTCACCATATTGGCCGGGCTGGTCTCGAATTCCTGACCTCAAGTGATCCTCCCACCTCGGCTTCCCAAAGTGCTGGGATTACAGGTGTGAGCCACCATGCCCAGCCTTTAGCTGCTCTGAAAGGACAGCAAGCAAGATGGAGATGGGGCAAAAGCATTCTCGTTACATTGTTGCATTAGCCCTGTGCCTGCAGAGCAGGGCGTGGCATGTTTCATTACTCCTAACTGAAATCCAAGCCCCTGAATGCTCTAGGGACTTCTTAAGAGGTCATCTGGCCAAGAGGACGCTGACTCAGAAGGGAGTCTGAACCTGCAGCTACACACCCTACAGACCACAGGGAATCGCCTTCCCCGCCGTGGAGCCAGGAGGTGTGCAGCTGCCCAGACCCGGGCCCACTGCCCTCCTGCCTGCCTTACGGTGAGCACCCCTGCCCGCCACACCCCACCTCCTGCTCCCTGGCACCGCGGGAGCCACAGAGGGTGGGAGCCGTGCAGGCCGCTGGTGGCTGTCAGGCCCAAGGGACACGTGTGCCGATCACATGAGGTGACAGGGCACAGATCCTGTCTGCCTGGCCGTGGTTGGAGAGCTCAGGGCGCTGGAGAGCAGAGCTGGAGGGCTGCAGCGGGGAGGCTACGCTCCTGCCACAGAGCTCCAGGCCACAGGGAGGCCAGGAGAGCCCTGGACCAGGACCTGGACGAGGCTCACAGGCACCCGCGACTCAGGCCCTCCGAAACTCTGGGCCAACTTGGTTTCACACAAGGAAAAGTCCAGCCCCCTTAGGGTCTTGTTCAGCGACATGAAATTGGAAGTGAAAGACGCAAAAGTAAGAGGGCAGCGGTCACAGGTGCATCCCATGAACCCACAGGGCCTGAAACTCCGGGTGGAGCGTCAACATGGACCTGGGCGCAGACTGAAAGCACTGCCTCTCACCCGAGTCAGCCGGGGTTGGCCAATTCGGAAACAGACGTCTAAATACAAAAGCAGGGAGCTAATTTGTGAACTGTCCTCACTGCAGAGGGCCGTGTCAGGTGGGCTGGTCAGAAGCCCAGAGCAGTGTTTCCGGAGGGTGTCCTACGGGACTTAACGATCTCTGGATGATTTTAGATGCTCTGTTAAAAAGGTTTCTGTGTCAAGGGAATTCATGAAACTCTGGGTTAAACAAATTTGAAATAACAGATTTATTTGGAGGATTGTTTCTCAGAGCTTTAAACTGGTATCTGTGCATTTCAAATCCCTAAGAGAAAGAATAAAGCTTTCTGAAGAACAGTCAGAAACATTCCATGAACACAAAGGGGAGGAGGTTTTGCTGGTTAGATAATTCCAACTGTTCTCAGAAAATGCTTTGAGGAAAACCGTTTTGAATACCAAAGTTCTGGGAGAACATTCGTTAATATACTGTGAATTCAGTAATGGCGTGGCCCCATGCCTGACTGCTCACCTGTTTCTAAGGTGGGTCAGGGCGACTCTCCTGGGGTTAGGGAGATGACTTAGCCCCTGGCTGCAGACAACAACCTCAGCTGGAAAGAACCCGGCACCACCGGCTTAGCCATCTCCATGTTAGTCAGGCTGACCTCGAACTCCTGACCTCAGGTGATCCACCTGCCTCGGCCTCCCAAAGTGTTGGGATTATAGGCGTGAGCCACCACGCCCGGCCTCTTTTTTCTTTTCTTTTTTTTTTTTTGAGACGGAGTCTCTGTTGTCCAGGCTGGAGTGCAGTGGCACCATCTTGGCACACTGCAACCTCCGCTTAGCCATCTCCCACCGCTCCCACACCAAACGGTAAGAGAGATGAAACCACTGGAAACAAAGTGTGCTGTGGCCTGCCAGGTGTGCTCAGCAGTCACGCTTCCTGAGGACGGCCCGGTCACGGGGAGCACAGAGCAGTGGCTCAAGGAGGTACTGACTGTGTGCGGACGCTGACTTTCTTGCTCCCATCAGCACAGGCCTGGTGGCTGAGCAGCCCCTGAGCTGCGTCCAGGCGGGTATCCGTGCCTGCACCCCCGTGGAAAGCTGTGAACCAGACCCCCATAAGGCGTTTCAGAACACGTGCCTGTGCCTTGCAGGGGAAATAAAGCGATTCACTGGTTTTTCTGTTTCTAGAAGACTTCAGACCAGGCGAGGTGGCTCATGCCTGTAATCCCAGCACTTGGGAGGCCAAGGCGGGTCAGTTGAAGTCAGGGCGACCTGGTGAAACCCCGTCTCTACTAAAAATACAAAAAACTAGCTAGGCGTGGTGACGGACGCCTGTAATCCCAGCTGCTTCGGCGGCTGAGGCAGGAGAATTGCTTGAACCTGGGAGGCAGAGGTTGCAGTGAGCTGAGATTGCATCATTGCACTCCAGCCTGGGTGACGAGCCAGATTCCATCTCAAAAAAAAAAAAAAAAATCAAGAAGACTTCAGCCTGAGGCTGTTTTGAAAAATAAGCAAACCTGATCCTACATTCAAATCCTCCCTCTCCTTCTCAAGGACACACACACTGGATACGTTATTTCCAATTTCCTCAACCATGCAAGGACGCCAAAGGCTGCATGAAGCTGCCTGTGCTCCCCCTGCCGCCCCCTCCCCTCTTAGACGGCACCTTCCGTGGGGTGGAAGAATCTTCCGGAACCGTCACGGATTTCCTAGTCCCATACCTGCTGTCCCTGCCTCTGGCCAGCCTCATGGGGCTCCTGAGGGAAGGGCCCAGCCCTGAGCTCGCCCAAACCGGCAGAAGCAGAGTTTTTCCAGGGGGCACCACAGGTCCCACTCACATCCCAGTGGCTGCCAGTCGCTTGGTGCCGCGGGCTGGGGTGGACGGGGACGGGTGGACCCGCCGGAGGCAAATGTCCCCGGCAGGCTCAGGTCTCTCTGAGGCTCCGGGTGGGGAGGCAAAGCCTCCCAGGTCAGGGCAGAGGCAGACTGGTCAGGAGCAGCATGGGGCCTGCCTTGCGAGGCCAGCTCTGCTCACATGGCCCGGACAGGGCCCTCCCAGTTCCATCTAAGAGCGAAAGTGCCTTGAAGTATTTGGGGGCCCATGGAGGGGCTGGATCTGTCCAGATCTGCTCTGAGTGCGGACTGGGGCCGGGGGAGCGGCTCACCTGCCGTGTGCCGGATGGTCTTCCTGCAGTACTCTTCTGCCAGAGGCACCGCCCGCAGCATGTCTCTCCCCCACTGGACCAGGGGCTTTCCTTGTGCGGCGAACGACACAAACAGGGCCGTGCACAGGGAGCCCAGGAAGCCTGGAGGGCAGGGAAGAGAGAGGGGGCACCATCACCTGGGCCGCTTGGGAGGGCCTGGGGCCGCCCGCCACGCTGCGTGGGACTCCCGAGGAAGGGTTTGCTCGTTTTCCGTCTTTCCCATGTTCAGGTGCACAGTTCGGCGGCATTAACCACGTTCACACTGTGGACATTCTCCATCCTCCCTGGAACTCCCCATCTTCCCAAACTGTAGCTCTGTCCCCACTCCACTCACCCCACCGCCCTCCCCAGGCCCTGGCCGCCCCCAGTTGACTTTTCTGTCTCCGGATGTGACTGCTCTGGGTGCCTGCTCCTCGTGGGACCGCACGCGATTTGTCCCTTTGTGGCGGGCGTGTTCCACTCAGGACGCATCCCCAGGTTCACCCGCGTGGCTCGCCACGGCTTCCCTTCCTCTCCGCGGCTGAATCGCATTCCGTGCGTGGACGAACGCATTTTGATTGCCCGTCATCTGTGTGTGGATGCATGAGCTGCCTCCGCCTTTGGCTATTGGGAACACCGCGTCACGTAGACCTTTAGCATCCGTGGCCGGGGATTATCAGTTAACGAGCCTGTGCAGGAAGAAGGCTGAGGTGGGGGCTCTCCTGACTTGAGAGCGACCCCGCAGAGCTCTGGGTCCGTTGTGCACACTCAGGCGTTTCCTGTGCGGGGCCGACTCACTCGCCCTGCTGGTGCTTGGGGCTTTTCTTGCCTAACTTCTGGGCGTGCATTAGCAGCCAGCAAGCTCATCAGCACAGACAAGCTCAGAGCTCATCTTATAGGCACTGCCTCCCTTATTTTCTTTGGTATGTCAAATTTTACAACTGTTTACTGAAAAATAAATGCATGCGAGTATATATGTATTTAATAAAACACGGTTAAGGAAGAAGTCCGGGAGGCCTGTCCTGGTCCATCTTCCAGGGCAGTGGGGAAAGATGGAGCCAGCGGCTTCTGGGGTACTGAGCTCACCCCGCAGTCCACACAGCCAGCCCTGCACCTCACGGAGCAGGTGGCACTGGGTGCGCAGCTCTCAGGGAACATGGCCACGTCTGGCCCCACTAGGCTCCCATCCACCATTGCAGTGGCCTCATTCCGCTAGTGTGCAAGCCATCAGAGAGGAGCTCGGAAGAGACTGATCTGAATTACGATGATCCTGGCCATAATGAGGCTAACAATGCCCAGGGCTGGCAGGACAGTCCTGGAAATCCCGTGGTCACCGTCTGGGTGGAGACAGCCCTGGAGGGGCTGCCTCTTCCAAAGACATGAGCTCTCTCCTCTCACTGCTAGCCATCGTGGGGACTGCAGCCGCTGCGGGTCAGTAGTGGCAGGAGGCGAAGTGATGGCCATGGTACTCATGATGTAGTTTCAGAGATGCAGTCGTGTGGGAGGACTAGTGACGGCCGTGGTGACAGTACCAGTAGCAGCAGCAACAATGGTGGTGGTACTCGTGACGGTCAGGGTGGGAACAGTGTGGTGCCAGTGACTGCAGCAGTGGTTGTCGTACTAGTGACGGTATCATGTGGAGGAACTGGTGATATCAGTGGTGACAGGACCAGTAGCAGCAGCCATAGTGGTGATGGCTGTACTGGTGACAAAAGCGGAGCAGTGATAAAAGGCGGGGGTGGCACTAGTGGCGGGGGTGGCAGTGGCACCAGTGGCGGGGGTGGCAGTGGCACTAGTGGTGGCGGTGACAGTGTTGCTAGCGACAGCAGCAGTAGGGATGGTGTGGTGCTGCCGATGGGAGCAGCTGTGGTGGTGGCAGTAGTTACAGTGCGAGTGGCCATGCAGGGGAGCAGTGACCCCCGTTGCCGAGCCCTTGCCCCACTGGGCACTGCTCCCAGGGTGTCATCTGCCACTCAGTCCTCACGAGAGCCTGTGAAGGGCATGGTGATCACCCCTCTTGTGGATGGGGCATGTGGGGCTGAGAGGTTGTGTTGCTGTTTTGGAGCCATGTTAGCTTCAGAAGGTTCTGCTGTGGACCCTGTGGGTGTGTCTGAGGCCCACAGCCACCTAGGAGAGGGGCGAGCCTGCTGTCACGGCGCCATTGGCCAGAGGCAGGCTCTGCGGTGGGTGCCGCGTGCGTTCTGACATCCCACTTCTCTGTACACCGGGGCTGTGACACTGCCCTGCCGGGGCTGTCGTGGGGAAAAGATGACCCTAAGCCCAGGCTGGGCCCACGGTGAACGGCCACTCAACACGGCCGCTACATGGAGCATGGTTGCCCGTGACACGCCATGCGGAGACAGGCCGCAGAGACAGGCTGCAGAGACGCTTTCCAGCGGCTGTTGGGCCACTCTTGAAGGCACTCATCAGGGCCTCCCTTGGCCCGGCGGGAGGGCTGCAGCAGCGGCAAGAGTCTATGAATGGTTCTCAAGCCCAGGGCTCTGGGCCGGTCCTGACCCTGCCTACGGCTCTGCCCCCGCGCAGGGTGGCTGCAGCTCTGGACTCATGGGAGCACGCGATGCAGGCTGTAACACAAACTGTGGCTCTTACTGCCAGAGGTGGTTTGAAAATGGAAAAGGGAGTAGAGTTAAAAAGCACTTTGAAGTGTCAATTTCATAAAATCAAACCCTTAAAACATTTTTGGTCATTATCATAGAATATATAAATTATTCATCTATTAAACATGTGAAATAATTTTTTTTTTGAGATGGAGTCTGACTCTGTCGCCCAGGCTGGAGTGCAGTGGTGTGATCTCAGCTCACTGCAACCTCCACCTCCCGGGTTCAAGCGATTCTCCTGCCTCAGCCTCCTGAGTAGCTGGGATTACAGGCATGCACCACCGTGCCCAGCTAATTTTTGTATTTTTTAGTAGAGACGAGGTTTCACCATGGGGGCCAGGCTGGTCTTGAACTCCTGACCTCAGGTGATCCGCCTGCCTTGGCACCCCCAAAGTGCTGGGATTACAGGCGTGAGCCACCGCGCCTGGCCGTGAAATAATTTTTAAAATATGAGTAGGAAATATATTAGCAAATGTTTTAGAAATTTAAATTATTAACACAGATTCTTGTGCTCATTACATTGTTTTCAAATGTCCAGCTTTTTTTTTGTTTTTGAGATAGGGCCTCGCCCTGTCGCCCAGGCTGCAGTGCAATGGCGCAAACACAGCTCACTGCAGCCCCAACATCCTGGGTTCAGGCGATCCTCCTACATCAGTAGCTGGAAACACAGGTGCGTGCCGTCATGCCTGGCTAATTTTTAATTTTTTTGTAGAGATGGAGTCTCCCCGTGTTGCCCAGGCTGGTCTCGTACTCCTGGGCTCAAGTGATCCTCCTGCCTCTGCCTCCCAAAGTGCTGGGATCACAGGTGTGAGCCGCTGCACCTGCACCTGGCAAATGCCCAACATTTTCGGGTCTGAAGGTTTTAATTTTTAATTTGCGCCCAGTTGCAGCACTCAGCTAGCAGGAGTCCAGCACTGCTCCCTTCTCAGCATCTGACTCTGGCCCACCAGTTGGGTCACGTGCCTTCCCTCTTTCATTTTAACGAGTTAGCAAAGTTGCCTGTGAGTCCACTGCTTAGGCCATCTGTCCCCAGGGTAGTAAAGGCACGCACCTGCTTTGCTGCAGACTCAGTGGGGGTGGGACGGCCAGGCCGGCAGAGCTGCGTGTTGATCGAAGGCCGGTTGCTCACCGCTGTTCTCACGGAGGGGTGGGCAGCTCTGCCCTCCTTGTTGGGATGCCAGTCACAGCAGATACCAAAAGGTAATCTTGAACGAGGCTAGCGTGGCTGTTGGATGTGCGTGGGACTGGGCGGTGCCAGGACTAAGGGCCAACTGCAGGTCAGGAGTTTTGAGTCCTTTTTGCTTTTTTTAAATGGAAGCCAACCGAGCCGCCTCCTCATTACCTTTCAAAGTCAGGCCTAGAGTCAGGCGCTACCGCAGCCACCCCAGCCTGGCCTCTCAGAGGCCTGCCCTCCACAGGACGGGCTGCGGACGGGGACAAATCCCAGTGAGCAGCTGGCCAGCTGGCACAGACCACAAGGACGGAAGTGCCGTGTTAAGGGGGCGACATGATCCAACCCGCTTCACCCTCACACAGCCCGATTTGGGGGTGTGATTCACATGTGGCAGTCGCCCCGTTACAGGTTAGAAACCTGTGGCCCGTGGGGTGGAGCCGCTCCCGTGGTTCCCGTGGTCTCCTTGGCTCCCTTGGCCGGCGGGTGGTGGGGCCAACCCAGGGCACAGCAGGAAAATGCAGGAAGTATTGTACAAACCCTTGTCCCCAGGGTCCCCCCGATCCCACCTGCACCCAGGCACTGGTGCGTTTCTTTGTCTTTTGTTCTGACACAAATGATACCAAAACCACTGAATTCTTCCCTTGCACAGTTTCTTCAACATCACCGTGCTTATCGCTAATCCTGCTTTTGGGCTGAAAACAGGCCTTAAGCAAAGCAGATTAAAAAATAAGCCAACTCCCCCAACAAATAAAAAAATCGATGTGAACCCACAAGATTTCCAGCCCAGTGTCCCGGGCAGGGCGCCCTCACAGCAGGCAGCCGGCAGGTGCAGGGTCAGCTTCTGTCTCCTTTAAGCAGACGTGCAGATGGCGGCAGCTCCAGGCCCCCGCCCCCCACCCCACACTTAACCTGTGAGGTGGTTGTGGGTCATCCGGCCGCACTCCACGCTGACCTCCCTCCCACCCCCCGCCCACACTTACCTGTGGGATGGTTGTGGGTCATCCGGCCGCACTCCACGCTGACCTCGATGAGGGTCTCCAGCCGCTCAGGCTTCCAGTACCGCAGGCCGATGCACATGGCCTTGGTGGCCGCTCCAAACCCTGAGCCTGTGTGGAGAAGGAAGAGCTAGTTTAGACTTCTGCTCCAATAATTCCACCCCTGACAATCTAGCTTTCATGAATAATTTTAAAAGTAGAAAAATTTGTGTAATAACATGTTATCAGAGTGTGGTTTAAATGAGCGAGCCATGGGCAGGCCACTCAAGTCCTGCAGCAGAAAGGAGATGGGGCAAATTCGGTTGCATCCAAGTGTCGGGTGTTAGTCACTAAAAACAGAACGTTTGATGGCCTGGAGATATGCTCGTGATTTGCAGCATGCTTTCAACGAGATGTTTTCCCTGTAAAAACAGCTTCATTGAGTTATAACTACATACAACAAACTAGGCATAATGAAACATGCACGACCCTAAGATTTTTATACTGGTGTACCGCGGGACCCAGCACCCAGGCGCAGGGTGAACATAGGTGTACCCCGGGACCCAGCATCCACACGTAGAGTGAACATAGGTGTACCCCGTGACCCAGCATCCAGGTGCAGGATGAACATAGGTGTACCCTGGGACCCAGCACCCAGGCGTAGAGTGAACATAGGTGTACCCTGGGACCCAGCACCCAGGCGTAGAGTGAACATAGGTGTACCCTGTGACCCAGCACCCACACGTAGAGTGAACATAGGTGTACCCCGGGACCCAGCATCCACATGTAGAGTGAACACAGGTGTACCCCGGGACCCGGCACCCAGGTGTAGAGTGAACACAGGTGTACCCCGGGACCCGGCACCCAGGTGTAGAGTGAACATAGGTGTACCCTGGGACCCAGCACCCACATGTAGAGTGAACACAGGTGTACCCCGGGACCCGGCACCCAGGTGTAGAGTGAACATAGGTGTACCCCGGGACCCGGCACCCAGGCGTAGAGTGAACATAGGTGTACCCTGGGACCCAGCACCCAGGCGTAGAGTGAACATAGGTGTACCCCAGGACCCGGCACCCATGCATAGAGTGAACATAGGTGTACCCCGGGACCCGGCACCCAGGTGTAGAGTGAACATAGGTGTACCCCGGGACCCAGCACCCAGGTGTAGAGTGAACATAGGTGTACCCCGGGACCCGGCACCCAGGTGTAGAGTGAACACAGGTGTACCCCGGGACCCGGCACCCAGGTGTAGAGTGAACATAGGTGTACCCCGGGACCCGGCACCCAGGTGTAGAGTGAACATAGGTGTACCCCAGGACCCGGCACCCAGGTGTAGAGTGAACATAGGTGTACCCTGGGACCCAGCACCCAGGTGTAGAGTGAACATAGGTGTACCCCAGGACCCGGCACCCACGCATAGAGTGAACATAGGTGTACCCTGTGACCCAGCACCGAGGCGTAGAGTGAACATAGGTGTACCCCGGGACCCAGCACCCAGGTGTAGAGTGAACACAGGTGTACCCCGGGACCCGGCACCCACGCATAGAGTGAACATAGGTGTACCCTGTGACCCAGCACCCAGGCGTAGAGTGAATATAGGTGTAGCCCGTGACCCAGCACCCAGGCGTAGAGTGAACATAGGTGTACCCCAGGACCTGGCACCCAGGTGTAGAGTGAACACAGGTGTACCCCGGGACCCAGCACCCAGGTGTAGAGTGAACATAGGTGTACCCCGGGACCCGGCACCCAGGTGTAGAGTGAACACAGGTGTACCCCGGGACCCAGCACCCAGGTGTAGGGTGAACATAGGTGTACCCCGGGACCCAGCACCCAGGTGTAGAGTGAACACAGGTGTACCCCGGGACCCAGCACCCAGGTGTAGAGTGAACACAGGTGTACCCCGGGACCCGGCACCCAGGTGTAGAGTGAACACAGGTGTACCCCGGGACCCGGCACCCAGGTGTAGAGTGAACACAGGTGTACCCCGGGACCCGGCACCCAGGTGTAGAGTGAACATAGGTGTACCCCGGGACCCGGCACCCAGGTGTAGAGTGAACACAGGTGTACCCCGGGACCCGGCACCCAGGTGTAGAGTGAACATAGGTGTACCCCGGGACCCGGCACCCAGGTGTAGAGTGAACACAGGTGTACCCCGGGACCCAGCACCCAGGTGTAGGGTGAACATAGGTGTACCCCGGGACCTGGCACCCAGGTGCAGGGTGAATACAGGTGTACCCCGGGACCCAGCACCCACATGTAGAGTGAACATAGGTGTACCCCGGGACCCAGCACCCAGGCACAGAGTGAACATAGGTGTACCCTGGGACCCAGCACCCAGGTGTAGAGTGAACATAGGTGTACCCCGGGACCCAGCATCCACACGTAGAGTGAACACAGGTGTACCCCGGGACCCGGCACCCAGGCGCAGGGTGAACATAGGTGTACCCCGGGACCCAGCATCCACACGTAGAGTGAACACAGGTGTACCCCGGGACCCGGCACCCAGGTGTAGAGTGAACATAGGTGTACCCCAGGACCCGGCACCCACGCATAGAGTGAACGTAGGTGTACCCTGTGACCCAGCACCCACACGTAGAGTGAACACAGGTGTACCCCGGGACCCAGCACCCAGGTGTAGGGTGAACATAGGTGTACCCCGGGACCCAGCACCCAGGTGTAGGGTGAACATAGGTGTACCCCGGGACCCGGCACCCAGGTGCAGGGTGAACATAGGTGTACCCCGGGACCCGGCACCCAGGTGTAGAGTGAACACAGGTGTACCCCGGGACCCGGCACCCAGGCGCAGGGTGAACATAGGTGTACCCCGGGACCCGGCACCCAGGTGTAGAGTGAACATAGGTGTACCCCGGGACCCGGCACCCAGGTGCAGGGTGAACATAGGTGTACCCCGGGACCCGGCACCCAGGTGTAGAGTGAACACAGGTGTACCCCGGGACCCAGCACCCAGGTGTAGGGTGAACATAGGTGTACCCCGGGACCCGGCACCCAGGTGCAGGGTGAACATAGGTGTACCCCGGGACCCGGCACCCAGGTGTAGAGTGAACACAGGTGTACCCCGGGACCCGGCACCCAGGCGCAGGGTGAACATAGGTGTACCCCGGGACCCGGCACCCAGGTGTAGAGTGAACATAGGTGTACCCTGTGACCCAGCACCCACACGTAGAGTGAACATAGGTGTACCCCGGGACCCAGCACCCAGGTGTAGAGTGAACATAGGTATACCCCGGGACCCAGCACCCAGGTGTAGAGTGAGCATAGGTGTACCCTGGGACTCGGCACCCAGGCGCAGGGTGAACATAGGTGTACCCCGGGACCCAGCACCCACACGTAGAGTGAACATAGGTGTACCCCGGGACCCAGCACCCACACGTAGAGTGAACACAGGTGTACCCCGGGACCCAGCACCCACACGTAGAGTGAACATAGGTGTACCCCGGGACCCAGCACCCACACGTAGAGTGAACACAGGTGTACCCCGGGACCCGGCACCCACACATAGAGTGAACATAGGTGTACCCCGGGACCCAGCACCCAGGCGCAGGGTGAACACAGGTGTACCCCATGACCCAGCACCCAGGTGTAGAGTGAACATAGGTGTACCCCAGGACCCAGCACCCAGGCGCAGGGTGAACACAGGTGTACCCCGGGACCCAGCACCCAGGTGCAGAGTGAATGCCTCTGTTGACCCTGAAGCCGCCGGTGCCCTCTGCAATCCGTCCTCCTGCCTCTCCCAAGCCCCACTGCTGCGACCGTGCGTGTTACTCGGCGTGTTCCAGGCCCTGTGTAAACAGAATCACGGAGAACGTGCCGTGCTTTCCGCCTGGCTTTTGTCACTCCTTATAACTGCTCTGAGAAGCGCCCACGTTGTTGGGGATCAATAGTGATTCCTTTTTATGGCTGAATAGCTCCCTCTTGCATTGATCTGCCATGGCTGCTCTATCTGCAGACCTGCAGTTTGGGCTGTGTCCAGTCTGGGGCTCTGAGCATGAGGCACCAGATCCTGGTGTGGACAGAGGCTCTCTTCTCTTGGGCGAATGCTGGGGCAGAGCCTCCAGATCACGTGGTGATGAATGTTTAACTTTTTTGTTTGTTTGAGATGGAGTCTTGCTCTGTGGCCCAGGCTGGAGTGCAGCAGCCTAATCTTAGCTCAGTGCACCTCCGCCTGCCAGGTTCAAGCAGTTCTCCTGCCTCAGCCTCCTGAGTAGCTGGGATTACAGGCACACACCACCATGCCTGGCTAGTTTTTGTATTTTTAGCAGAGATGAGGTTTCACCTTGTTGGCCAGGCTGGTCTTGAACTCCTGACCTCAGGTGATCAGCCTGCCTTGGCCTCCCAAAGTGCTGGGATTACAGACATGAGCCACCACGCCTGGCAGAATGTTTAACTTTTAAAGAAACTGCCAAATGGGTTTCCAGAGTCAGAGTGGTAGAACCATTTGATGTCCCTCCAGTAGATCTTCCACAGCCCTGACAGCACTTGCTACATTTTTAAAAATTTTAGCCATTCTGTTAGTTATGTAATGGTATCTCATTGTGGTTTTATTTGCATTTTTCTAATGACGGAAGATGGTGAGCATGATTTTGTGCTTATTGTCCACCCATATATCTTCTTTGGAGAAGTTTTGCCCATGTTTTATTCTTTTAAAAAAATTTTATAGTTGGGCATGGTGGCTTATGCCTGTAATCCCAGCACTTTGGGAGGCCAAGGCAGGCAGATCACCTGAGGTCAGGAGTTCGAGACCAGCCTGGCCAACATAGTGAAACCCCTGTCTCTACTAAAAATACAAAAATTAAGTGGCATGGTGGCACGCACCTGTAGTCCCAGCTACTCTGGAGGCTGAGGCAGGCGAATTGCTTGAACCCAGGAGGTAGAGGTTGCAGTGAGCCGAGATTGTGCCACTGGGTGACAGAGCGAGACTCCATCTCAAAAAAAAAATTTCTTTTTTATAATAGAGATGGCATCTCAGTATGTTGCTCAGGCTGGGCTGGAACTCCTGGGTCCAAGTGATCCTCCTGGCTCAGTCTTCCAACGTGCTGGGATTATAGGTGTGAGCCACCACACCTGGCCCTCTTGTCCATTTTTGTATGGGGTTGCTTGCTTTCTTCTTCTTAAGTTGGAAGAGTTCTTTATGCATTTTGGACTCAAGTCCTTATCAGATATCTGCTTTGCAAATATTTTCTCCCAGCTTTGACTTGCCTTTTCATTCATTAAATAGAGTTTCCTGGAGAGCAGAAAAATGAATTTGGGAAGTATTCCTCTTCTTCAATCTTTTGGAAGAGTTATGTACAATTTATATTATTTATTCCTCAAACATTTGGTAAATACCCTGTGAAGCCATCAGGGACTGAAATTCTCTTTCCTTTTTTTTTTCTTTTTTTGAGACGGAGTCTCACTCTGACTCTGTTGCCCAGGCTGGAGTGCAATGGCACAATCTCAGCTCACTGCAACCTCCGCCTCCCGGGTTCAAGTGATTCTTGTGCCTCAGCCTCCTGAATAGCTGGGACTACAGGTGTGCACCACCACGCCCAGCTAATTTTTGTATTTTTAGTAGAGGAGAGGGCTCACCATTTTGGCCAGGCTGGTCTCGAACTCCTGACCTCAGGTGATCTGCCGGCCTTGGCCTCCCAAAGTACTGGGATCACGGGTGTGAGCCACCGTGCCCAGCCTGGGCCTACAGTTTTCTTTGTATTTTTTTTTTTTTTTTTTTCCTGAGACGGCGTCTTGCTCTGTCGCCAGGCTGGAGTGCAGTGATGTGATCTCGGCTCACTGCAACATCCACCTCCTGGGTTCAAGCAATTCTCCTGCTTCGGCCTCCTGAGTAGCTTGGATTATAGGTGCCCACCACCATGTCTGGCTAATTTTTGTATTTTTAGTAGAGACAGGGTTTTGCCATGTTGGCCAGCCTGGTCTCGAACACCTGACCTCAGGTGATCTACCCGCCTTGGCCTCCTAAAGTGCTGGGATTACAGGTGTGAGCCACCATGACTGGCCTTGTAATTTCTTCCATAAGATGTAATACTATTTAGATGACCTTTCTCCTCTTGAGTGACCTTCGGTAGTTTATGTCTTTCAAAAACATTTGTCCTTTTAATCTAAGTTGTTAAATGTATTGGCATAAAATTGTGAATAATATTCCCTTATTTTCCTCTTAATTTCCGTAGACTCTGGTGATTTTACTCCTCTCGTTCATAGTGATGATTTGTCTTTCTCTTTTTTCCACATCAGTCTAGCTAGAGGATTCTCAATTGTTTTGATCTCCTGAAAGAACCAGCTTTTGGTTTTATTAATTTGCTCTACTCTTTTTCTGTTTTCAATCATTGATTTTCATGCTGATCTTCACTATTTTCTTTCTTCTGCTTTCTTTTGGCTTAGTTTGCTATGAGTTTTCTGGTTTTAAAACGTGAAAATGAAAGCCAATGGCTGGAGACCTTCATGTTGAAATCACTGCCTATAACTGTGGGTTTCTCTAGTTCGCTTTGCAGCATTGTCAGTTTTTGCTTCATATATTCTGAAGATCTGTTATTAGGTACAGAGACATCTAGGTTTGTTATGTCCCCCTGATGAACTGATCCATTTACTAGGATGAAATTACCTTCCTTATTCTTGGGAATATTCTTTGCTCCAAAATTTTACTGTATGTGTTACTAATATAGTAACTCCAGCTTTCTTTTGATTAGTGTTAGTGTGGTATATTTTTCCATCTTTTTTTTTTTTTTTGAGATGGAGTCTCACTCTGTGGCCTAGGCTGGAGTGCAGTGGCACGATCTCAGCTCACTGCAACCTCCGCCTCCTGGGTTCAAGCAATTCTCCTGCCTCAGCCTCCCAAGTAGCTGGGATTACAGGGGCATACCACCACACCCAGCAATTTTTGTATTTTTAGTAGAGACAGGGTTTCACTATGTTGGCCAGGCTGGTCTCGAACTCCTGACCTCAGATGATCCACCCGCCTTGGCCTCCCAAAGTTCTGGGATCACAGGTGTGAGCCACTGCACCTGGTCTATTTTTCTTTTTTAGAAGCTTTAATCTATTTACGTCTTTATATTTAAAGTGTTACTGAAGTGCAACAGGAGATTTTTGGTTGTTTGTTTGTTTGCTTGTTTTTAGTGTATTCCTTGGCTAGGCACAGTGGCTTATGCCTGTAATCCCAGCATTTTGGGAGGCCAAGGTGGGCGGATCACTTGAGGCCAGGAGTTTGAGGCCAGCCTGGCCAACATGGCAAAACCTTGTCACTACTAAAAATTCAAAAATTAGCCAGGTGTGGTGGTGGGCGCCCGTAGTCCCAGCTACTTGGGAGGTGGAGGCAGGAGAATCAGCTGAACCCGGGAAGTAGAGGTTGCAGTGAGCCAAAATTGCGCCACTGCACTCCAATCTGGGCGACAGAGCAAGACTCCATCTCAAAATTAAAAAGTTGTTTCTTATAAGCAGCACATAGTTGGGGGCTGGGACCTGCTTCTTTATCTAATGTGACAACTTCTGACTGTTATTGGGGGTCTTCACACCATTCGCATTTGGCGTCATTATTATTATCTTGTTTGTTTTCTACCTGTACTGTCTAGTATTTGTCCCTCCTTCCCCCTTTTCTGCCTTTTTTGGGTTGAATGTTTCTCAAGGGATTCAATTTTAACTCTTTTGCTGGGGCTTACTATTGCTAACTCTTCTGTGATTTCAGCGGTGGCTTTTGGGTTCATGGTGTCCGTCTGCAGCTCGTTACAGCTGTGGGATGACACTGTGGCATACACGGTGTGGGAACCTCACCGTCATCGGCTTCCATCTCTCCCCTGCTAGCCTTCGTGCTATTGTTGTTGTACATTCTACTTATATTTTATAAACCATACCGTTCATTATTATTTTTAAGTCAATTATCTTTTAAAGATATTTAAATAACATGTTTTAAAATCTTACACATTTCCCCATACAGTTACCATTTCTGTAACACTCTATCCCGCTGCGTGGGTCCATGTCTCTATCATGCCATGTCCCGCCACTTGGGTCCGTGTCTCTATCATGCTCCGCCCCGCCGTGTGGGTCTGTGTCTCTATCACGCTTTACTCCACCACACGGGTCCGTGTCTCTGTCACGTTGTGTCCCGCCGCGTGGGTCCGTGTCACTATCACACTCTGTCCCCACCCTGTGTGTGAGTCTGTGTCTCTATCACGCTTTACTCCACCGTGCTGGTCCGTGTCTCTGTCACGTTGTGTCCCGCCACGCGGCGTCCGCGTCTCTATCACGCTGTGTCCTGTGGCGCGGGTCTCTGTTTGCATCCAGTGCGGTTTTCCTTCTGTCTGAGTGACTTCCATTAGCATTTCTTGTTACATGACTCTGTGGGTGATGAATTCTTTCAGCTTTTGTTTGTCTGAGAAAGGCTATTTTGCCTTCATTTCTGAAAGATATTTTTTTCAGGGTGTAGAATTCTAACAGGCCAGGCATGGTGGCTCACACCGTAATCTCAGCATTTTGGGAGGCTAAGGCAGAAGGGTTGTTGAGGCCCAGGAGTTCAAGACCAGTCAGGGCAACAAAGTGAGATCCTCTCTCTACAAAAAATAAGAAAAACAGGCAAGCGTGTTGGCACGCATCTGTTGTCCCATCTATGTGGGAGGCTGAGGCAGGTGGATTGCTTGAGCCCAGGAGGCTGAGGCTGCAGTAAGTGGCACCCGTATCTGTGCCACTGTGCTCCAGCCTGGGTGACAGAGCAAGGCTCTGCACTATCCCCAGAAAGAATGCTAGGTTGAAGTGTTGTATTTTTTTCAGTAGCTTAATGATGTGGCTCCACCGTCTTCTCACTCACATCGCTCTGACAAGGCATCTGCTGTCATTGTTACTGTTGCTTCTCTGTGTGTGATGTGTGTCTTTCTTCTCTGGCCTTCAAGATTCTTCTTGAGTATTACTTCAGAGCAATCTAACTACTGTGTGCCTTGCTGTCATTTTCTTCATGTTTCTTGTGCTTGGAATTGATTTTCTTGTATCTGTGAGTTTATAGTTTTCATCAAATTTGGAACAATTTTGACAATTATTTCTCCAAGTATTTATGTTGCTTTTGTTCTCCTCTGTGCTGAGGACGCAGACACATGCGTCAGGCTGCCTGAGGCCGCCCGCGGGTCGCTGGTCCTCCCTTCATCTTGGATTCTTTCTCTTTGTGTGTCTCACCGTGGATAGTTTCTGCTGCTTGCCTGCAAGTTTGTTAACCTTTTCTTGGAAATGTCTAATCTGCTATTGGTCTCAGCCAATGTATTCTAAAATGAGACATTATAGTTTTTATTTCTAGAAATGTGATTTGGATCTTTTCAAAAATGCCTTTCACGTCTCTACTTAATTTTTTGAACACATGGAGTATCTGGCATTTTATGTCCTTGTCTGAGAATTCTGACACCTGTGTTGGGCCTTGTCAGTTTGGACTTATTGATTTTCCTTGTCAGGAACTGGATTCTCCTGATTCTTTGCATGCCTCATATGCTGTTGAGTCCTGGATATTTTTATATTCCTATAACTATTCTTGACCTTTGTCTTGGGATACAGTTAATTTACTTGAAAATAGTTTGATCTTTCTGGGTTTTGCTTTTAGGATTTAAGTCTTGGCTGGGTGTGGTGGCTCCTGCCTGTAATCTCAGCACTTGGAGACTGAGGTGGGCAGATCGCTTGAGCTCAGGAGTTCAAGACCAGCCTGGGCAACATGGTGAAACCCCTTCTCTACAGAAAAAAAAAAAACAACCAAAACATTAACTGGGTGTAGTGGAATGGACCTGTGATCCCAGCCACTCAGGAGGCTAAGGTGGGAGGATTGCTTGAGTCTGGGAGGTCAAGGCTGCAGTGAGCCATGACTGCACCACTGCACTCCAGCCTGGGTGATGGAGTGAGACCCTGTCTACAAAATAAATAAATAAATAAATGATTAAAAAAAATTTAAAGCTTCGCTGGGCATGGTGGCTCACGCCTGTAATCCCACCACTTTGGGAGGCCAAGGCAGGTAGATCACCTGAGGTCAGGAGTTCGAGACCAGCCTGAGCAACATGGTGAAACCCCATCCTTACTAAAACACAAAATTAGCAGGGCATGGTGGTGGGCATCTGTAGTCCCAGCTACTCTGGAGGCTGAGACCGGAGAATTTCCTGAACCCGGGAGGCGGAGGTTGCAGTGACCCAAGATCGCACCACTGCACTCCAGCCTAGATGGCAGAGCAAGACTCCATCTCAAAAAAAAAAAAAAATTTAAAGCGTGCTTTTCAATAGATACCATTAAGAAAACAAAAAGGCAAGGCATACAATGGGAGAAAATATTTATAATATATAGAGCTGACAAAGGAGGGGCCCCGCCTGTGTTCCTTGAACAGACGCTCGTGCTGGCTGGGCTGACCAGGAGGGGCCCCTGCCCGTATTCCTTAAACAGACGCCCGCACTGGCCAGGCTGACCAGGAGGGGCCCCTGCCCATAGTCCTTAAACAGATGCCCGCGCTTGCCGGGCTGACCAGGAGGGGCCCCTGCCCATATTCCTTAAACAGACGCCCGCACTGGCCGGGCTGACCAGGAGGGGCCCCCACCCGACAAAGGGACTCTAGGCAGATCCGGCCTCACTGAAGCCACCTGGAGATGCTGGGGGTTAGTGGAAGGCAGATGGTTAGGACCGCAGGGTCCCCAGCAGGGTGGCTTTAGGGGGAGAGGAGAGGATTTCCCTGACCTTTTTCATTGAACGGTGTGTGCCAGGCGAGAAGGTAGTTATTGGGCTTTAGCTGAGCACAGCCTTCAATGGTAGCTGGGTCTGGCCGGCGTTCTGGAAGCTTCTCAACGATTTCCACATAGCATCTCACCATCTCCCGGTACAGATCATCCAGGCACCAGTAGTCTGCGGAAGAAAGGGAGGGCAGACATCAGAGCCAGCTGTGGTGTGAACTGTGGCCTCCCTCCCGCGGGGTCAGGCACCATAGTCTGGGGAAGAAAGGGAGGGCAGACACTGCAAACTCTGCCTCCCGGGTTCACTCCGTTCTCCTGCCTCAGCCTCCTGAGTAGCTGGGACTACAGGTGCCCACCACCACGCCCGGCTAATTTTTTTGTATTTTTAGTAGAGACGGGGTTTCACCATGTCGGCCAGGATGGTCTCGATCTCCTGACCTTGTGATCTGCCCACCTCAGCCTCCCAAAGTGCTGGGATTACAGGCGTGAGCCACTGCACCCAGCCCCACCGTGCCCCTTTTCTAATGGTTCCATCTATGTGGCCACAAACAGAACCGAAACTGGCCTACTCTATGGGCTTGTGACGCCGATGGTGGAGGCCAGTGTGCCCAGCTCCAGCTCCTTCTTCTCTTGCCAGAAACCCAGGTGCTGCAGGGACAGCTGCCACCAAGCAGCATCCCCAGCCCCACAAGCAGTGTTCCGGAAACAAGGGTGGGCTCGAGGCCCTGAAAGACCCTGGGGCACGAGGGTGAAGGAGCTGGACACAGCAGACACCAGCCCTATGCCCAGCACGCGGGAGGCCCAGACGTCCTCCCACAGCAAGGGCTAGTTCTTATTTGCCATATTCCCTGATAAGGCTCAGTGAGGTTATGTGTCTTGGCCAAAGCCAGAGCTGACAAAGGTGTTTGCCTGCAAAGCCCGAGCATTTCTGTGATTAAGTAACCCGCAGTGTGTGGATGGAGTCCACACAGCCTCTAAAATCAGAGCCCTGGTGCCTGGCCATGCCAGGACAGGCTGTGGCAGGCGGATGCCCACCAGGTGGGGCCGGCGAGGGCGCCCCTCCCAACGGCCACTTTAACACCCAGCAACTTGTTTTCATTTTGTACTAAAACTGCACTCTGGGCTTGCGGGTCAGCCCCGGGAGACGCCACTGCTCCCTTTTCCTTGGTGATGAATTCCCCACCTTTGGGGAGGGGAGGGGTGGGAATGAATGGGGAGAGGGAGGCGAAGATGGAGGCTTGGCCCACCCTCCATGGGGCAGAAATGGCACTTGGAAGCAAAAGACCTTCCTGCTGGTGGCTGGGGCCTTTTTCAGCCGCATCAGAGCCAGATGTCCTAGCATGGATGGGTTGGTGAGATTAGGAAGGGCACTTGGCAAAGTCACTCCTCCTCCAGGACATGAAACCTCTGTAGCTGCAAACCCCTGGCGAGAGCATACAGGGCCCCCATGGCTGCAAACCCCTGGAGAGAGCACGCGCGTGTAGGGACCATGGCTGCAAACCCCTGGAGAGAGCACGCACGTGTAGGGACCATGGCTGCAAACCCCTGGAGAGAGTGCACAGGATCCTGAGGCTGCACACCCCCCAGAGAGAGTGCTTGGGGCCCAGCGGCTGCAAACCCCACAGAGAGAGCGTGCAGGGCCCGGCGGCTGCAAACCTCCTCACCTCCTACCACAGAGAGAGTACGCAGGGCCCCACAGCTGCAGGCCCCCCCTCCCCCCTCCCCCCCAGAGAGCACGCAGGGCCCGCAGCTGCAAACCCTCCAGAGAAAACAAGCAGGGCCCCTTGGCTGTGAACCCCCTAGAGAGCGCTCAGGGCCCTGCAGCTGCAAACCCCCCAGAGAGAGTGCACAGGGCCCAGTGGCTGTGAACCTCCCAGAGAGAGCACTCAGGGCCCCATGGCTGTGAACCCCCCAGAGAGAGAGGGCTCCCGTGGCTGCAAACCCCCGGAGAAGTGCTCAGGACAAGGACTGTATGTTGTGTCCTCCTACCACCAGTTCCCTGACCCGGCCCAGCAGAGGCCTCTGAAGAGAGGGGCAGTCCTGGGAGGCGTGGCCGGCTGGCCTGTGCACAGTGTTGTCTACATGCACGGTGTTGTCATATGGGCACGGCGTTGTCTATACTCACAGCATTGTCTACTCTCACGGTGTTGTCTACATGCACAGTGTTGTCTTATGTGCACAGTGTTATCCACATGCACAGTGTTGCCAACACACCTGGTGTCTACATGCGCAGTGTTGTATGTGCATGGTGTTGTCTACACACATGGTATTGTCTGTCCTGCATGTATGATATTGTCATAAATGCATAGCATTGCGCTGTGTAAACACAGGGTGTTTACATGCACCGTGTTGTCATACAGGCATGGCTTTGTCTATATGCACAGTATTGTCTACACGCACAGTGTTGTCTACATGCACGGTGTTGTGTGTGCATGGTGTCTACATGCACGGTGTGTGTGCATGGTGTCTACAGTCACGGTGTTGTGTGTGCATGGTGTCTACATGCAAGTTGTATGTGCATGGTGTCTACACTCACGGTGTTGTGTGTGCATGGTGTCTACATGCACGGTGTTGTGTGTGCATGGTGTCTACATGCACGGTGTTGTGTGTGTATGGTGTCTACATGCACGGTGTTGTGTGTGCATGGTGTCTACATGCATGGTGTGTGTGCATGGTGTCTACAGTCACGGTGTTGTGTGTGCATGGTGTCTACATGCAAGTTGTATGTGCATGGCGTCTACACTCACGGTGTTGTGTGTGCATGGCGTCTACACGCACGGTGTTGTGTGTGCATGGCGTCTACACGCACGGTGTTGTGTGTGCATGGCGTCTACACGCACGGTGTTGTGTGTGCATGGCGTCTACACGCACGGTGTTGTGTGTGCATGGCGTCTACACGCACGGTGTTGTGTGTGCATGGCGTCTACACTCACGGTGTTGTGTGTGTATGGCGTCTACATGCAAGGTGTTGTGTGTGCATGGCGTCTACATGCACGGTGTTGTGTGTGCATGGTGTCTACACTCATGGTGGTGTGTGTGTATGGTGTCTACATGCACGGTGTTGTGTGTGCATGGTGTCTACACTCATGGTGTTGTGTGTGCATGGTGTCTACACTCACGGTGTTTTGTGTGCATGGTGTCTACATGCACATTGTATGTGTATGGTGTCTACACACATGTTGTCTGCACACATGGTGTTGTGTGCATGCACAGTATTGTTTTACATGACGCCATGTTCATCACCCCAGTTCTGAGTCAGGGAGGAGAGAGAATGTGGCAAGACTGTGGTTTGGGAGACACGAGTCCTGCAGTCTCATAGGAGAGGTGTGAGGGCTGCATTCCTGCAGGAATTAAGGTCACCTTCGCCTGCACCCGAAACCCCTGGATGGGGGTACAGCTGCGTGGCTTTGTCCAGGCTGTGTCTAAACCCAGTGTGTGCCCCTCACAGTCACCGGCACAGTGGATCCACAAACAGCCTTTCTCAACTCAGTCCTGGGTTAACAAGCCTAGCCCTTCCTGAGTCCCCTAAAAGGATTCATTTTATTCTGGAATTAGACATGAAATGTCTGTATTCAACTGAAATTTAGCCTTTTCAAAGCAAACAGAAGCCATAAAACAAAATGGCACAAACAGCATTGTCTTTTCAGGTTAGAATTTAAGCGAGAAACAGATTTTCAAAGCTGCTACCCTTGGGCTTCTCCCCGGGTCTCTTTCCTTTGGGACACTCCACTCCTGTCTCCTGTCTTCCCTGTCTGGTCTCCTGAAAGACAAATCAGTTTCTAAAGCTGCCTGAGGGGCCGGGTGCAGTGGCTCACACCTGTAATCCCAGCACTTTGGGAGGCTGGGATGGGCAGATCATAAGGTCAGGAGTTCGAGACCAGCCTGGGCAACATAGTGAAACCCCCGTCTCTACTAAAAATACAAAGTTAGCCCAGCCTCTCAGGAGGCTGAGGCAGGAGAATCGCTTGAACTCAGGAGGTGGAGGTTGCAGTGAGCCGAGATCGCGCCACTGTACTCCAGCCCGGGCAAAAGAGTGAGACTATGTCCCAAAAAAAAAAAAAAAAAAAAAAAAAATGGTGCCTGAGTCTCCCAACCCATGTCTCAATAAAGAAAAGGCAAAATACTAACATCCAGTGATCTTGTAGCAAAATGTCAACTGTTTCCAAACGTTTTCTGCCATGAGCTGAAGTGCCACTCCCAGTTATCAGGGCCCCGGGAGAGGCTGAGAAGGTGCTGGCCCTGTGCCCTGGAGGCTGTGGCCAGGTGACACCTCCCGCCATCCTGCTGGGCCCTGAAGTTGGCTGAGTGAGCCTCAGGGCAGAGACATGTCAGATGTGCCTTCGGCCACACGGGCCTGCACCAACTTCCCACACTGGCCTAAGTGCTTCCTCACACTTTGCTGGTTGCTCCGTTTAATCCTCTGTGACCTTGTGAGGGAGGAAGGCCCTGGGAGGGAAGCCACTTCCCCAGTTTTCCCAGGGAGTGGGGGTAGGGAGCTGGGAATGGCCAGCTGCATACCCGAGCAATGGCCGAGCTCTCTGTGCGAGGCCGCCCCTCCCCAGGCCTGGCACACACACACACCTGCTAAACGCTTGCCAAGTGACTTGGTGATAATGCGCTGGCAACATGGGCTTGTCGTTTCAGGGCCATGGATGCCACCTCTCCTATGTGTCTTGTAGAGCGCTAGACACGGCTACTTCCTGGTTCAGAGTCTGCTCTCGTGCCCTGTTCAGAGAGGCTCACCCGGAAGGAGGCAGCCCCAGTCAGAGAGGCTCACCCGGAAGGAGGCAGCCCCAGTCAGAGAGGCTCACCCGGAAGGAGGCAGCCCCAGTCAGAGAGGCTCACCGGGAAGGAGGGACCCTGTTCAGAGAGACACACCCGGAAGGAGTGAGCCCCGGTCAGAGAGGCTCACCCGGAAGGAGGGAGCCCTGTTCAGAGAGACACACCCGGAAGGAGGGACCCTGTTCAGAGAGGCTCACCCGGAAGGAGGCAGCCCTGTTCAGAGAGACACACCTGGAAGGAGTGAGCCCCGTTCAGAGAGACACACCCGGAAGGAGGCAGCCCGGTTCAGAGAGGCTCACCCAGAAGGAGACAGCCCTGTTCAGAGGCTCACCCGGAAGGAGGGAGCCCCGTTCAGAGAGACACACCCGGAAGGAGGCAGCCCGGTTCAGAGAGGCTCACCCGGAAGGAGGGAGCCACACAGGCTGCCCCGACCCTCAGACCTGTGCTCACTCTAGCAGCAGAGCCAGGGTTTGCCAGACCACACAGCCCCGTGGCTCGTGGGGTGAAGGACTTTTCAGTGCAGCTTACTTAAAGCTGCCAAACGTAGTTCCATTTGTAAAAGTCTGCCTGTCTTTGGAAAGCATGCTGAAGAGCCCCTGCACACTGCAATTGTTAGGATACCTGCAGGCCACCGTGATCTCAGCAGTCAGGGAGGATGCTTACGAGCACAGGGGCCAGATTCTCTGGTTCCCGTCCAAGCTCTGCCACTCGCTGGGCTGTGTGGCACTGGGCAAGCGCCTGAACCTCTCTGTATGTCAATTTTTTCTCCTGTAAGATTGTGATAAAATCAGCCTCCACGGTGATGTGAGGAGCATGTGTGGAGGATAACATGCGTGAAGCAGCTGGAACAATGCCTGGTACAGAAGTGCTGTGGAGTCAGCACTCACCATTGTCGTTTTGTAGAGATGGAGTCTTGCTATGTTTCCTAGGCTGATCTAGAACTCCTGGGCTCAGGCAATCTGCCCACCGTGGCCTCCCACAATGCTGGGATTGCAGACGTGAGCCACTGTGCCCAGCCCTCACCATTGTTAACACAGCTTAAAGACCCCCTTCCATAGGCTACAATTTGTTATTTAAAGAACAAAGATAAACTTAAGTGAAATTTCGACTTTGATTTTTAGTGAGTTGAAAAAAATCTGCTTGCTTTGGTTTCTAGAGGGGTAAGCTGTAGGGACCAGCCCCACAGGGTCGGTGGGTCTCTCCCTGTGTGCAGTGACGAGAGAGTGTAGAAATAAAGACACAAGACAAGAGATAAGAGAAAAGGCAGCTGGGCCCGGGGGACCACTACTACCAATGCACGGAGACCGGTAGTGGCCCCGAATGTCTGGCTGCACTGTTATTTATTGGATACAAGGCAGAAGGGGCAGGGTAAAGAATGCGAGTCACCTCCAATGGTAGGTAAGGTCATGTGGGTCACGTGTCCACTGGACAGGGGGCCCTTCCCTGCCTGGCAGCCGAGGCAGAGAGGGAGAGGAGACAGAGAGAAAGACAGCTTATGCCATTATTTCTGCATATCAGGGACTATTAGTACTGATAGTACTAATTTTTCACTAATTTACTACTGCTATCTAGAAGGCAGAGCCAGGTGTACAGGATGGAACATGAAGGCAGACTAGGAGTGTGACCACTGAAGCACAGCATCACAGGGAGACGGTTAGGCCTCCGGATAACTGCGGGCGAGCCTGACTCATGTCAGGCCCTCCACAAGAGGTGGAAGAGCAGTCTTCTCTAAACTCCCCTGGGGAAAGGGAGACCCCCCCCCCCTTCCTGGTCTGCTAAGTAGCAGGTGTTGTTCCTTGCCACCTTTTGCTACTGCTGGACCACGATCCGCCTGGTAACGGGCGTCTTCCCAGACGCTGGCGTCACAGCTAGACCAAGGAGCCATCTGGTGGCCCTGTCCGGGCATAACAGAAGGCTCGCACTCTTGTCTTCTGGTCACACCTCACTATGTCCCCTCAGCTCCTATCTCTGTATGGCCTGGTTTTTCCTAGGCTATGATTATAGAGCGAGGATTATCATAATATTGGAATAAAAAGTAATTGCTACAAACTAATGATTAATGATATTCATATATAATCATATCTAAGATCTATATCTGGTATAACTATTCTTGTTTTATTATACTGGAACAGCTCGTGTCCTCTGTCTCTTGCCTCAGTGCCTGGGTGGCTTGCCGCCCACAGTAAGCAATTCCAGGGGTGATCTTGGATGCGTATTTTCTCATGACCCACAAACTAGACGCTGCAGCAGCACAGTGAACCCTCCCTTCCAGTCCACAGCTGAGGACCCTGAGAGCTTAGAGCAAACTTACTTCCTCCTTAAGAATAGCGCCCCATGGTGGCTCACGCCTGTCATCCCAGCACTTTGGGAAGCTGAGGTGGGTGGATCACTTGAGGTCAGGAGTTCGAGACCAGCCTGGACAACGTGGTGAAACCCCGTCTCTACTAAAAATACAAAAATCAGCCGGGCGTGGTGGTGGGCACCTGTAGCCCCAGCTACTCAGGAGGCTGAGGCAGGAGAATCACTTGAACCTGGGAGGTGGAGGTTGCAGTGAGCTGAGATCACGCCACTGCACTCCAGCCTGGGCGATGGAGAAAGACTCCGTCTCAAAAAACAAACAAAAAACAGTGCCCTAAACGTCCGTAACCCTTTTAACTGTGTGAATTTCGTGTCCTGTTGGGCCGATCTCCGTCGGTGCACTTTTGGAGTGTCCTGTGCCGCTGCCCTCCCTGCGGGCCTGGCAGGACCAGACCCACAGCCATGGACGCTGCCATTTACAAAACGCCCACCAAGTGCTACCAGAAATGGGACATGCAGAGCTGGTATGAGCGCACACACGGCATCAGACGCCCAGAGGAAGCCAAACTCAAGAGTGAGCTCCAGCCGTCTACGGTGAAAACAAGCCGGAGCTGTGTCCCACAGGTGTCTGTGTGTGGGGTGCACCTGTTCTGGGCTGCGGGGCACAAGCATGGGGTTGCTGGTCCTAAGGGCACACGAGTGGCCGCCTGGAAAACCAGAAGCAGGAGCTCCTGGACGCCAAGGCTGTGAACAGTCGGACGCCTCCCCGTCTCCAGCAAGCCGGGAGCCTTATCTTATCGCCGGCGCTTCAGCTCTCCCGTTATTTAGGGACCGGCCACAGGCTCGATGGCATTCCTCTGCTGTGAGCACAGAACTAAACTGGGCACGTCCATGGCAGATGAACAGAATGGTGGAGTGAACGCATAAGTGAGATTTCATTGACTTAGCTGCAGCCCTCAGATTTTAATTCTGCCATGATAAACAGCACCCACGGGGTTTTGAAGAGCAAATGCCTCGTAGGAAAGCTGGACTGCATGTCTGTGCACCTGCCATTTCCCTGAAATTCATGCAAAAGCTTGATCCTAAAATCAATTTGCTACTTAAAGGTATTTTAAGAAGCTTTGTCTCCAATCTCGTCCAATCAAGTTTATGTCATTTTCTTAGAACACATTTGTGTATGGGCAACTCTCCAAGCTGAACCATTTTGGGAGATGATATTCTAACTTTAATTCATTGGAATTTAGAACTAATCCCCAAACAGTATTAATGGGTTCACATTTCAAACTGGCTTATTTTACATCCCTTTGTAATGAATTCAGAACAAGAAGGCTTAATCTCTGCAGCGAGAAGTGAGCCCTCACCCTACTCCCACCAGCACGGCCGAGAGAGGCTTCACTGGCTTTAACTCTATTAGAAACAGAAGGTGCTAGGCCTAGTTAACGCTTTACAAATACAAGTGAAAAGTCACGTTTAAAAACTGAATCTTAATAACTGCAAAGTAAAGTAATACTGTCACCCTCAGAGAAACCACAGGAGAAACGTGATCTGCCGCATATCAAATTTGAGGGACACTCAGATTAAATTGCCACTTTTAGCAGCGGTATCAGGTAACACCATCCGCTGAAGGACCGCACTGCCTTCAAAGCTCTCGGAGGCTTACTGGGAGAACTCGAGCAGCCAGTGTTCCCTCCAGCCCGCACACCGGAGCGCGGTGGGCCCAGCCTACCTGTGGTGAGGGCCTCGGCGGTTGCGATGTGCATGATGGTGTTGTCACTCACGGGCCATTCTCCTGGCGAGAGTACGAGGTGGTCCAGGCCCCCGGAACGTTGCAGCTCCTCCTGGATCTTCATGCCTACAGTGCTGTTCTCCTTGCAGACATTTCTGTAGCCAAGAGCATCGCCGACGCTCCCCAGCAACATCGCAGCCTTAAATTTCTCCATCCCAGGAGGCAGCTCCTCTTCCCCAACAGCTGCGGAGCGTCCTGGCCTTTGTCTCCTCCTCAGCCCGCCTGACTTTTATAGTGGTCACTGTGTCACTGTCAGGAGCGTCCTCTGATGGCCAGGCGCTCCTTGTCTATCTCTGCAGGTGGCACCAATGAGAGGACCTTTCTGTCCCCCACGTGGGAGGTGTCAGTTTTCTTCTGCGTCTGGACAGGCACCAGCTCCTCAGCAGAGGAGCCTGCTAGCTTCTGCCGGCAGCCGCAGCACATTCAGAGCGTTGACAGAGCAGGGGCTCCTCTCGCTGTCCCTGGAAGGAGTGCGCACACTTCCCCGTGTGTGGCGTGGGGTGATGCGGGAGCAGATGTGTGCAGGCGTGCCTGTCACTGCCGCCCGCTGCGGGGCGTGCCCTCACCCCTCGGGCAACAACCCATCTGCTGTCTCTACAGTTCTGCCTTTCCTGGACATTTCAAATACAATGTGTGGCCTTCGGTGTCTGGCTTCCTTCACTCAACATAATGTTGAGATTAATCTGTGACATGCGGTTTTATCATTTAGAAAACTTTTCGATTATGAAATGTGTTTTTGATAGAAAACTTTTAAAAAATGCAGTGTAGAGGGAACAAAGTCTATCTAGCTCCTGTGTGAACAATGACGGTGTCTTCTCAGCATGCGGTGTTTAACGGCTCCCAAATAATTGGACTGCACTGAGGGGGAAAGTCGTCAGCAAACCGCAGGCTTCACTAGAACCTCCCATCCGGCCCTCGGTCAGCTCAGTGTATTTACATCATCCCTGCTAGCTCATGAAAAGAATATTAAAAAATATGGAGACGGGGGGTGAGGCAGAATGCACACAGCCAGGGTTCCTGGTTTGAAATAAATTAGGAAAACAGTCCATCTCCCGACCCCACCCCAGGACAGTTCTCCGCAGAGGCCGGGAGCCCAGCAGGGCTGTGTCTCTCCCGTCTCCTTCCTCGGGGCCTGGTTTCCATCAGACCCAGGGGAAGCAAAGAGTTACACCTGGACTGAAGAAATGCGTCTGATAAAAACTCTCGTAGTGTACAGCGAGACAGTAGGAAGCATTTAACCGCCTGGCGTTATATCAGCACTTGTTAAAACGGAGGATCTCAAGCAGTGAGTTCACCTCACCCTCCACTGTCTGCTGGTGGAGGCAGCCATCAGCACAGTCATGCCAGCTAGCATGATCCTGAGATTCAGAAACAAACTTCAAAACCAGCATGCAGGCCGGGCGCGGTGGCTCATGGCTGTAATCCCAGCACTTTGGGAGGCCGAGGCGGGCGGATCCCCTGAGCTCAGGATTTTGAGGCCAGCCTGACCAATATGATGAAACCCCGTCTCTACTAAAAATACAAAAATTAGCCGGGCATGGTGGTGGGCACCTGTAATCCCAGCTACTTGGGAGGCTGAGATAGGAGGATCACTTGAACCTAGGAGGCAGAGGTTGCAGTGAGCCGAGATCACGCCATTGCACTCCAGCCTGGGCAACAAGAGCAAAACTCTGTCTCAGAAACAAACAAACAAACAAACAAAACTCCAAAACAAAAAACAGCATGCACGCAGGGTCCCTATCCAAACAAGACAGACAGGAGGGGCGGCCCTTCGTTCAAACTCTCACCTGTTTTAGGCACAACTGCACTGTGGGGCCGAAGCGTGTGCTGCTGAGGGGATTAACACAGCCCGCTCGCTGAGCGCTTCAGTTCGCAGGCGGCGGAAACCTTTGCCAAGAGCACTAGCTGGCTCCCTCAGCAAACAGGACGGGATAAGGTTAGCTCGTTTATCCAACAAATATTTGCAGAGCCCCTACTTTGTACCTGAAACTGTGGACACAGCAACAAGGATCAGAAGAAAGTTTATTCTTGGCCCCAAGAAGCCTGAGGTCTAAAATGGATATAAACTTCAAGCGAAAATAACACAATGACATGTACAATGTCACTGAGAGGAGCTGGCGTTGTTGATTCCGGAACGCTGGCAGGTGCACCGTGAATCGGCAGGTAGCACATGATCCTCAGACCCCCGTGCTTGGCCGTTTGCCTCCGATAAGGGACGGTTTCCAGCAGTTTGTGCTGGCACACATGACCTCCTGCCCCGACACACTCCCGTAAATCCTGCCTATTGTGAGATCTCTCATTCCTCACATGAGCCACCCCATCAGGTGCACGGTGCACCGCTGAGAGGCAACGCAATGACAGAAGGTACCTGAGGACCTGGTTACCTGGCCAGGGCTGGCGGGCCACACACGGGGGCAGGGGCTTGCCCGCTGGTTGCTAGCTGGGGGCTGTTCTCTCATCCTGGGACAATGACGTGGATGCTGACACCTATAGGCAGACATCCCTGCAGCTGAGGAGAATCGAAAGGAAACCACGCCCGAGAAAAACCAATTTAATGCTTCTGTTCTCAGCATTTCACAGCATGCAGGACTCAAATGGATACAACAGAAGAAAAAAACCCACAATTTTTGGAAAAGCCTTTGTCCAATGATTAATATTTTGATATCTATTGACAATCCCTTAGAACTTTAAATCTCAAAAACAAAAAAGTACTGTGGATCTCCATAGTTTATACAGAATTATGTGAATTCTATAAACTTTTCTGAACAAAACAATTACATGTCAAGAATCCATGAAGCCTGGAAGATACGCTCACGTTTTTGAGGTTTGTATTAATGCCAGTTTTTATTGTATTAGACAAATGCTCTCTGAGAATCGAAGACTTCTAAAGGTAGACAGGCCCAGTTTCCCATTAGAGTTCTGGAAGCAGAGCCTGGGGAAGGTCTGTCACTTGCCCATCACTGGACCAGCCAGAAGCCAGCGGGGGCCAGGCGGGGTCTGCAGGCTGCAGGTCCCTTCCAGTCCTGTCCCTGCTGCCCTCTGTGACCATCTCTGCTAAGAAACATCGACAGTTCGTCCTGCAGCCTCCAAGCACACTAACCTCAGCCATCAGATGTTCCTGAAGCCCAGGGTAAGTCCTGTTCTCAGAAGCCAACCCAGCTGCTTGTCTGGGCCATGCTCTCTCACACCGCAGCTAGGTCATCTGCGGCGACTCTCCTCTGTGCTGGGCAGCAGCTCCAGCTGGTCCACGTCCTGCACAGTGCTGCAGGGGGGCAGCAAGGCACGCCTGTGACATGAGAGTCTCGGCACGTGAGGTAGGGTCAACAGTGATGTCCACAACTCAATACCAGCCCTCCACACCTCGGCAGCACTCGTGGGTCCTCCTCAACCAGGCGGACACGAGAAACAGATGATAACATGGTGCAAGGACAGACTTCAGCTCACCAATCAGATGAAGGTTTTGGGGTTGGGTTTTTTCAGACAACGATGTACATTTTAGCTTCCAAATGTGCACAGGGGCACAAAGGTCTGGATGCTGGGCACTACGGGTACCACAAGAGGATGGAAAGAACCAGCTCATTCGGTTTTATTGTATGTATGTATGTATTTATTTTGAGACAGAATCTCACTCTGTCGTCCAGGCTGGAGTGCAGTGGCGCGATCTCGACTCACTGTAACCTCCGTCTCCTGAGTTCAAGCGAATCTCCTGCCTCAGCCTCCTGAGTAGCTGGGATTACAGGCATGTGCCACCATGCCCGGCTAATTTTTGTATTTTTAGTAGAGACAGGGTTTCACCATGTTGGCCAGGCTGGTCTCAAACTCCTGACCTCAGGTGATCCACCTGCCTCGGCCTCCCAAAATGCTGGGATTACAGGTGTGAGCCACCACGCCCGGCCTTGATTTTAAAATCTATAATTCATCACTCATAAAATAAATGTTTTTCATGGAAAAATGTCTTTTTAAATGTAATTAAAATATATTTTAAAAAAACATACTTTATGAAGCTTCTCAGGCAGGTCAAATAATATTTAAGTAAGAGAGGCCCAGTGATATATAAACGGTGTGAGATAAACTCTGCTGGAATCGTGCCACGTGTGCCGTTGCTATGCAAAGCTACATGGGGATTGAGAACCATAAAATGATTTTCAGATGAATGTCTAGAGAAAATGAAAACAAAAATAGAGCTGGTAAATCTAGATATTTGGTAATTCAAAAAATATAAATCGTGAATTGCTGGCACCAATTTTAAAAAACATTAGACTCTACGACAAGATCCTCTCCCTTAGGGCACATTCTTAACAGCTTTGACGTGTATAAAAACGCAGCGCCCTGCAGAGGACACATGCCGTGTTGCCAGTGCCACCGCAACGTCATTCGGCGGGACGCTGCCGGACGCTGGTTCGCCTGACGCGCGAGCTACGCAGCATGCTCTGCGGTCCCACAGGCGGCGCTATGGCTCTACCTTAGTATTTTGTAAATATTAAAAAATCATGCAGAAATTTCCTAACGCAAAAGCTATGATGACAAATCTCCAAACATCCCAAAGCAGCCGTGTCCCGAGGAACTTCCTGCGGTGTCCACAAAGCAGCCGCTGGCTGTCCTCCGGCAGAATGGGATGGCGCCTCTGGTTTCATGGCTGGTCAAGAATGACTTCTGGAATCAGCGACAATGCACCCAGGAACTGACTGCAATCTCCTTGCAGGATACAAATCATTTCATAATCTTACTCCTGCTTAACTTGCTGCCTAGAAAAGGCTGCGTTTTCCACCTGTGACTACTGGCCGTGCATATTCTACAAAATCATCTATAAGAACGGGCCAAGCTCCTAAAGGAAAGCAAGCAAACAGAAAACCCGTTAGAGCACCGTTTTTATCTCCAAAGCACTGAGTCACACATCAATCCAACATTTACACTTCAAGAACCCAAATGACTTGAGGTCCACACCATTTGTGTTTCACAGAATGAACCAGCCCAAGTTACCCAGTTCTTTCGCCCTAGCACGGCCAGGTCGGGAGCCCTGGTGTGTGTGTGCTGGCATGTCTAGGGGGCTGTGGGCTCACAGTGGCCCCGGATGCTCGGTGAGTGCCCCAGGCAGTCACACCAGCTGCTCAGGAAGGGAGCTAAATGGACCCCCGCGGAGCAGGAGGCATGTTCCTCAGGTCATTGGTATTCTTGCCAGCAGGGGGTGCTCCCTCCTGCGGCTCTTCCCAAGTGGGACCACCCCATTGCTCCCTTCCCCACCCCGGCAGCCCTGAGTGCCCTCTGAGCTCCTGCACTGCTGCCTCAATCCTGGAAGCCGCGCTTCTGTCAATGAGATTCAGTGATCCCTTCTTTCATTTGACAAGCATTTACTGGGTGCCCCTGATCTAGGGACGGTGCAAAGTGTGGAGGACACAAAGAGAAGCAGAAGCTAAAACAGGCAGACAGACACGTAAACCACCCGTTAAAGGCACGGCGCCAGGGCCCAGAACAGATCACTGCCCGCCGAGGGGGCAGGGAGGAAGCAAAGTGGGTGGGAGCCTAGAGGGGAGGCCTTCCACCCAGAGACCATCCCTCTCTAAGGTGGCAGCGTGCCCAGCACACAGCAGGCTCCAAAGGCCCTCCAACGCAGAGTCCTAAACACGGGGGGAGACAAGTATGTGGAGATATATTTATGCAAGAAGACAGGAGCTGGAATCTCCGAGTCAGCCTGAAGAGTGCAGTGTGGAACTGACCTAAGGCATCATGCGGGACTGAGAATCTGGGAGTGGTGGTTTCCCAATACCTAACTCCATGGCTCCACCATGGGGGTCTCTAACTCTTCACATCCAATTCTGAAATGCTTTGGCTTAGAGGACTGTCTTCTTGATTTACACTAAATATAAAACCCTATTTTTCTTTTGTATGATTTACAGAAAATAATAAGGAAGGGGGTAGTATTATGACCACGCCCATCTCAGTGACGGGGTCACCACTCTAGAGGCAGGAGAAGTTAACGTTCTCAGGTGTAAGCATTTCGGTCAATCATCTGAAGCACAACTTCCGGTACCTTCTTCATCGTAGTTAGACATATCATCCGCAATCATGTTTCCAAAGTCCAGCAGGAGGTTCCAGGTGTCCCTTGGAATTGATCTTTTGTGATGTTCCTAATATATGAGAGAAAAAAAAAACCCACCAGGTTTAAAATACAGAGCTTAACTCTCATATATTCTAGTGGCCTAGCGATCTTCAATTAATGTTCATTAATTTGATTAGGAACAAGTACAATAAAATTGTTAAAAGTAATAGCGTTCTGTATAAATGTTAAGTGCTACAACAACGCTAATGTCCAAATATAGAAAGCAGATTTATTTAAGAACAAAACATTTTAAATATTACAATTATAAACTCCTGTTTTGTCACATAGAAGGGCAGCATTTTAATCTCGTTACCTGCCCATTAGCTGCATGTATATATATATTCACGAACAGCTCATAAGCTTGTCTTACATTTTAAAACATTAACTGCTATCAAATTACACATAGTTTTCTGCAACTTGTTTTTTTCCCACTCAGCATAATGTCTGAAACGTATGCGGGCTGACGTGTGTGAATGTGCGTTCCTTTGCGTGGCTCCAAAGCCGTGCTCCATCGCACCAATATTCTGATTTTTTAGTCCGTTCTCCTGTGGATGGTCACTGGCTTTTCCAGTATTCTGCCGTTACAATGACACTGTGAGCGCCTTCATCCCCTTCTCCACGCACAAGAGCGTGAGGTTCTCTGGGAAACATCTGTGACTTAGGTTTGACCCCAGGTAAGGCGTAAGGGGGCTGTGGGCACAGCATTACTGACCTCTGGATATTTCGAGAGAAGTAATACAGCACATGATGTAATGAAACACATAGCTGCAAAGACGTCTCTCCATGGCAAACCCACAGGACTGAGTGACGTCACCTTCCACAGACAGCTCCGCCCTCCACCTGCCACACTCTCTGGGTACCATTCCCAGGCAAGGAAGCGGAAGTGACGTGCCCAAGGCCACAGGACTCTAAGTGGCAAAGTCTGTGTCACCTGGTGTCAGGTGAAGGGAGGCAGTGCGGGTCCTGGCCCGGCCGTGGGTTGGGCGGTGGAAGACCACTTCTTTCACTTTCATGGACAGAACAGCAAGAGGTCTGGGCATCTCTGCCATTACCGGGCTTGTGGCCACTCACTTCCAAAAACCCACAGCTGCACCTGCTGCCAGCAAGACGGGCTGGCATGACGCAGCCTTGCCCCGCACCAGCAAAGTGTCTCTCCAGAGGGTCCACAAAGGCCTCTTTTCCTCCTGAGCATGGTGAGACACACTTAGAAATGGCTTCAGACCACAGACACACACAGAGGCTGGGCACCGCCACATACAATCCGCAGTTCCGGAGCCCAAACCAGTCCACAGAAGTGTGGCGCTGGCACCATGTCGAGGATTCGGAGTTCTCAGTGGAAAGACAGAATTACCGTCTAGGTCCTCAGAGGAGACAACACGGGGGCTGCTGGGGTTGCAGAGTCTCCAGGAACCCCAGCCTGAGAGGAGCTTCCCGTGACTGCCAAGAAGCCACGTTCTGAGGAGGCCCCGGAGTGGCCCCAGCTCAGCCCTGCAGTCTCCGGCAAGGTGACAGAGCCAAGTGGCAACCTGTCTGGACCTGCGGATCTTTGTGTGGGATGTTCATCTGCTGAAAACCTCCACGTGTGAGACCTGAGGTGGATGATTACATGCAGCCTCATACCTACCGACTTCCCTCCACAGTGGGCACACAGCGAGATGCAGGAGGACACTTACCATTAAGAATGTGTTCCAGAGATCTAAAAATTTAAACCTTCCAGATAACACTAATTTCCAATACGCAACAGCCATTTCTAAGTCTGGTAAAAAGAAAGAAAGAGCAGTTAGTAAATCTCACTCTCTTTTTCTACTGCACAAAAAACGACCACTTCTTAGCATGTCAATATTTACTTAATAAAATGTGGCAATCTCACCCAAGAGTCATGAGGCTTAATCTCTACGGAAGTGCTCCTGAGAACTGTACGTAGTCTAATTTTATAAATCTGGGGAAACTCTTTTTAAAAGGATTTGTATATTAAGTTATTTGGATATGCACACAATTCCCCCCTAATTAATCAGTTTTGGAGACTTGCCTTTTCACACATATTGGGTGTTCTTTAAACCTGACCTGATCTGGATACTATTAATGCGTATCATTTGTTTTTAAAAATAGGCCACTGGCCTGAGTGTCGAACTGCAAATCAAAGGACCAGTTTAGGAAGGAAGGGACACACTGTTCTCCAAATAGACCTGCCTTGTTGCTATATGAACTAAGACAGAATCTGTTTCACAAGTAATTACAGCGGCCTTATGAGGGCTCCAATTTGTCCCTAAAGTGTCAAGTCAAATCGGCAGCTAGCAGGGAAAGCGTTCTCACTGATGCATCTACACAGGACACTGCGTATCAATCAAAGCCAACGCCCTCTTTTCCCACACGGGAAGGTGGTGATTATTTCACGACTTCTATATAAATCTCTGCTACTGAAGATGTCTAATAGAATATGAATGCCGAGTTTCAGGGCTGTCTCCAATCCATAGTTTGTGAAACACTGATTTATTCTCTGCTCACCAGAAGCTTGATAACGATTTCTTTTTATATGCTTGACACAGCAAGTATATAAAGGGGTTCAGAATTCTATTTTTTTAAAGTGACCGGCCGGGCGTGGTGGCTCACGCCTGTAATCTCAGCACTTTGGGAGGCTGAGGCGGGTGGATCACCTGAGGTCAGGAGTTTGAGACCAGCCTGACCAACATGGAGAAACCCCGTCTCTACTAAAAATACAAAATTAGCTGGGCGTGGTGGCTCATGCCTGTAGTCCCAGCTACTGGGGAGGCTGAGGCAGGAGAATCACTTGAACCTGGGAGGCGGAGGTTGTGGTGAGCCGAGATTGCGCCACTGCACTCCAGCCTGGGCAACAAGAGCGAAACTCCGTCTCAAAAAAAAAAAAAATTAAATAAATAAATAAATAAAATAAAAAATAAATACATAAAGTGACCTCCTTTAATCATGTTGAATAGTGTTCACCACTTTTAGGCAATAAAAGAAGAGTTATATTTATGTAAGATTAATGTGAAAAGCAGATTAATAAAAGTTAGGTAATATGTTAGTTTAAATGCAAAGTACATAACTAAACACTTCTCAAAAGGTTTTTTTCTAAATCTGGTTTAATCCCACTTAAACAGAAGTTATTAAAGTTGGAGCTGTAGCAAGATTTCCAGGGTCGATCATTATTAAAATGGGATAAGAAAGAGGCATATGAGTAGCAAATCCCACTTTAAATAAAACGCCTCTAAATTCCCCGTGTGCAAAGGCTTCATGACCAACTTTATCAGTTTTGAATACCCTGGAGTCTGAATCAGAAAGAAAGAGAGAGTCAGAAAGTGCCAAGTAACTGAGATATGGAACAGCTCTCTAGACCTTACCGATGGGACCCGCAGTAAAATGCTAAGAAGATGATTAGTCTTGTCCTGCTTATAAGTCTACATCCTTATCACTTAGGAAGAACATTAATTGAAATCTATATTCAACTCATCTTAATGATGTAAAGCTTTCACATTGAGAAATGGAGGTGAACCTGGGGAGGAAAAAAAAATAAAGTTTTATGGCACACATTTAATCTAGTTACTTTGGGTTAGTTTTGGTGCTAAAAACTTTTCTTACAAAGGACCTGATTTGTATGTTTGTCAATCACATTATCAAAAGTAAATATATGCTTTTTCAATATTTATTATTATTTACATAAAAATGTTTAATATTGTCCTAATGGACTTAGCCATTTGCAAAACAGTAACAACAACAACAAAAACAACAACTCAGAATGGCAGGACTCGAGAGTGGAAACAAGACCAACAGCTACTCTGGTGGCTACATCTTTATAGCAGCTATTTTCTTTCCCAGAACCTCTAAAAAGTCCCATCTCCTAAGTGAAAACATGTTAGAAGAAGGCATTACTACTTAAAATTCATGCTTGTGATGCTCCACTTAGGATTAGACAATGAAGATGTGTCCTCTATCAAAAAAGTACCTTAGGGCAGACATAAAAATTAGCTCTCATGAAACTTCACTTCCTCAAACATCAAGATTCTCAAAGCTGGCCGGGCACAGTGGCTCACACCTGTAATCATAGCACTTTAGGAGGCCGCGGCAGGAGGATCACTTGAAGTCAAGAGTTTGAGACCAGCCTGGGCAACAGAGCAAGACCCTCACCTCTTTAAAAAAAAAAAACAAAAACAAAAACACAAAAGATTCCCAAAGCCAACTGATTCAAGACTCTAGCCAGTATGAAACTATGTTGTTTCTTACATTAAAACAGAGCCAAGTAACTTTATCCTCTCTATTAGGTTAACCGTTAGTTAAGAGTAAAGCATCATCTTACATAAAAACAATACAGTACAATCTTCACACACACAGATACACATAGACACACACAGATACCCACAAAGAGACACAGACACACACAGACACACACAGAGACACACAGACATATATAAACAGACACAAACACACACACAGACACAGACACAAAGGAAATAAAGGGTAATCTGTGTCTTTTGGCTCCATGTTCCCACGGCAGTCCATGCTTTTTCTGGAACAGTTGGACACTTGTCTTGACCTGTTCAATTTATACTTAATTCCTCACAAGACCGACCACATCATCTTTGGAAATGGTAAACTGACGGCTCTACTTCTGGGCTATAGTCATAAAATTACTCTTCTTGCTTTATTTCTGTTTTTAAAAAGCCCTCAAAAAACTTTTCTAAAAATAGTGTATAATCTATTTGAAGTGTTTACAAAATCTAATCTTTTCCCGAGGAGGCTATTGTTTTCTTTAATAAAATTTCATATTCTCTCAGCTATTGTCATGAAGCAAAGAAACAAAACCAGTAATGCTTCCCATCCTATAGTGAATGATTCTGACAAACATTTCATTTAAGTATCTACAGGAGTAAACAAGTCCTTGTTGTCAGTGAGGAATTCAAGGATAAACTATAAATCTGTTGCAGCTTTCAATGGCCTGTTCTGCCACTGAAAGCTTTGATGCTTAAGGAAATTTATAAAACGCAGGCTGAACATGGTAGGTCCTGAATCTTAAAAATGTTTCCAAACACTCTCTACCCATATACTGACCTTCCTTGAAACATTCATGCACAAAGAAAATAAATTTTGCAACTCTGAACTGGGCAATTAATTTAGACTCTAATTTATAACCTCCCGGAAATTACCATGGAATGAAGTGGTGGCACCGAGTGGAAGGGACGCTGCGCGTTTCCAGGACGGGGCAGTTGGACGTTGCTGCGGGGGACACGGCAGCCTCTGCAGGCCCAGTGCTTCTGCCCAAGCCACCACGCTGCAAGGAGGCCCACGTGGGGCAGCTGGAGGCAGGTGGGAGGCCATGGCGGAGAGCAGCACGGATGGAAGAGAAAGGCCACTCAGCAGAATCTGCCCAAGTTCCTGACCCAATGGATCATGAGCTACCAAAATGACTGTCATTTGAAGCCACTGCGTTTTGAGGTGTTTGCTGCGCAGTCATTACTAACCCAGGCAGCCGGCCTGGCTGAAGCCCCAGGGCCTGTGTTTCCAGCAAGTTCTGCAGTGATGCTGATCTTGCTGGCTTTGCCAAGGGCCTAGAAAAGCTCCATAATACTTTTCTGTATGTGTCAAGTTAACAAGGCATTATAAGATAAAAATTCTTAAAGATAATACCTACATATGACAGTCAGATAAAATGCTAATCTTTTAAACATTTTTCCATGTCAACATTTAAAGGAAGTATCCCCTGCATTGCAGAGTATCAATAAATATAAATGATTATCTTTAATAGAAGCTGAGTTATCCTAAGATTATGCTGAAGATATTAAAGTAACAGTTCAAAATAGTCAGAAAAAAAGTTTTATCATTCACTGAAATTTCAGTGTCCTTCCTGATAAACATTTAACAATAAAAAGTAAATGCCATTATTTTAAAATTTGGATCAGACTAATCCTCACTTTGGAAAGGAAGCTGGATAGACCTCTGAGAATTAAACTGCTCAAAAGTAAAGCATGACCCAGACTTTCCTTGAAAAATCATGATCGTTACACTCAGACCTGAAATGGCCGAATTTTAGAAAAGTGTGAGAAGCAGCATTTCCTGTTTGGGTGACTACTGCCAGAGAAAACTGGGGTGAGGAAACAGAGAGAAGTAAAAAAAAAAAAACAAACAAACCCTGCATGAGATGAAGAACAGCCACAGCAGAAACCAGCACCTGTCAGGAGCACAGGTGGCCCTGTCCTTACCAAGTGACAGAGCCCAAGAACACCGAAGGAGCTCATCTCAAGTCTTCCTCCACATCATTATTCTCTTGTCTATTTGCTTTTTTTTTTTTTTTTTAATACGGTCTGGCTCTGTCGCCCAGGCTGGAGTGCAGTGGTGCAATCTCAGCTCACTGCAGCCTCCACCTCCCAGGCTCAAGTAATCCTCTTGCCTCAGCCTCCTGAGTAGCAGGGACTACAGGTGCACACCACCACACCCAGATAATTCTTGTATGTATGTATGTGTGTGTATATATATAGACAGATATATATAGATAGATAGATAGATAATTTTTGAGATGGAGTCTTGCTCTGTCACCCAGGTTGGAGGGCAGTGATGTGATATCAGCTGACTGCAACCTCCGCCTCCTGGGTTCAAGCGATTCTTGTGCCTCAGCCTCCTGAGTAGCTGGGACTACAGGTGTGTGCCACCAGACTCAGCTAATTTTTTGTATTTTTAGTAGAGATGGGGATTTGCCATGTTGCCCAAGCTGTTTTCGAACTCCTGACCTCAAGTGATCCACCCAGAAGTGCTGGGATTACCGGTGTGAGCCACCACACTCGGCCTGCTTGTTAGTTTCTAGAAAAGAGTGGTAATGGTTTCTTGAGAATACTGATGATAGTTACTGAGTAATCAGGGTCTAAACTAAAATGAGCTTTAACTTTAATGACTATTTTGCCTTAGCCTCTTAGAAAGAAATAGAGTGGAATAGCAAAGATAAAAAATAAAGAGTTTTATTGTAGAAAACCAAATGTTTTCATTTGTTAAAAGTAGACAGAATCTGGCATCTGGTATGTAGCTCATAAATCAAGAGTTATTTTACAAACAGAGTCATTCTGTAGATGCAAAAATACTTTTCAGTGTAGACTTTCCCCTTCTTTTGATATGCTAAGTCATTTCTCCACTCAGAGGCAAAATAATAAATCTTCAGTGCCTTTAGAATAAACATTTACTGCCCCGAGTGTGGAAACTAACTTAAATTTCAGCGTAGGTTTTCAGGGGGCAGGGTGAAGTCTGCAGACCAAGAGCTCAGTCTCCATGGCTGGTACAGTAAATCTCTGGCCACATTTCCTGGAGGCCATGTTTAGTGGTGAAACAGGCTTTTCTCTAGCTGGTTAAGGCTGGAAGCTGAATCCAGGTGGACGGGATGGCATATTGTTAAAGAATCCCCATTGCTGTCACTGTCCTTTGGATTTTTTTTTTTTTTTTTTTTTTTTTGAGAGAGTCCTGCTCTGTCGCCCAGGCTGGAGTGCAGTGGCACGATCTCGGCTCACTGCAAGCTCCACCTCCTGGGTTCACGCCATTCTCCTGCCTCAGCCTCCTGAGTAGCTGGGACTACAGGCGCCCGCCACCACGCCCGGCTAATTTTTTATATTTTTTTAGTAGAGATGGGGTTTCACCATGTTGGCCAGGGTGGTCTCGATCTCCTGACCTCGTGATCCGCCCGCCTCGGCCTCCCAAAGTGCTGGGATTACAGGCGTGAGCCACCACGCCTGGCCTGTCCTTTGGATGTTAAACCTCGTTTTTTCCCCCACACAATATAAAAAAACTTAAAGCACCAGAACCAGTGATGAAGACCAGCCAGTTTAGACCACAAGTAATATTGCTGGTGGTACACAGCAGAGGAGCCCGTTTACTGTATCTCTAGGTAGAAATATCTAGAGGACGTGACAGCCTCTGAGAAACATGATGTTACTATGTGCATTTTAAAAAATATAATACTTGCATGTAATTGCTATAATGTGCATATTGGAGGCAATTTTGAAACTGGTCTGTGATCACCGGTGTAGTCTGTTGTAAATTCAAAGACAGCTTGATGAACTTTATTTTTATTTTTTTACCTATTGTTTTCAGAGTGCCTATTTTGAATTAAAATTTGTGACACCACTGCAAAAAAAAAAAAAGGAGATTTTTAGTCCCCAAAGTAAAATGTCAGCTTATAAAGAGCAGTCTTGGGTACATCCATCAGGATGGCCACTATTCAGAAAACAGCAATTGTTGTCAGGATGTGCAGAGGTTGGATGCTCAGCTTCGTTGCTGACAGGAATGTAAAAAAAAATATGGTGGTTCCTCGTTCCTCAAGAAATTAAACAGAATTACCATACATTCCAGTAATTCCATTTCTGGATATATACCCAAAAGAATTAAAAGCGGGCCGGGCGCGGTGGCTCATGCCTGTAATCCCAGCACTTTGGGAGGCCGAGGTGGGTGGATCACCTGAGGTCAGGAGTTCGAGACCAGCCTGACCAACATGGAGAAACCCCATCTCTACTAATAATACAAAAATTAGCCGGGCGTGGTGGTGTATGCCTGTAATCCCAGCTACTTGGGAGGCTGAGGCAGGAGAATTGCTTGAACCTGGGAGGCAGAGGTTGCAGTGAGCCAAGATCACACCACTGCACTCCAGCCTGGGCGACAGAGCGAGGATCCATCTTAAAAAAAAAAAAAAAAAAAAAAGAATTAAAAGCAGGGTCTAAAACAGATACGTGTACACCCATGTTCATAGCAGTGTTATTCACAATAGCCAAATGGTAAAAGCAACCGAAGTGTCCACTGGGATAAACAAAACGTGGTCTATGCACACAGGGAATATTATTCAACCTTGAAAAAGGAAGGAAATTCTGACATATACTACAACAAAACATTATACCAAGCGGAATGAGCTGGTCACAAAAAGATACATACTGTGTGATTCCACTTACGTGAGGTCCCAAGAGGAGTCAACTCCAGAGACCAGAAGTAGAATGGGGGCTGCCAGTGGCTGGGGGAGAGGGGAGTGGGGAGCCAGTGTTTGATGGGGACAGCGTTTCAGTTTGGGAAGATGAGAAAGTTCTGGGAATGAATACTGGTGATGTTTACACAACACTGTGAATCTACTTAGTGCTATTGAACCGTACACTTAAAAACAGTTAAAATGGTTAAAAGACAAAAGAACAGTCCTGGGGAAATAAACCCCCAAGGACTCCTGACTGGTTTAAACGCGAGACGTGCCACGCTCCATCAACCTCTCCTTCAGACAAGCGGCCTATGAGGACGCAGCACTAAAGGGGGCGGGGGAGGGCCCTGGACAGGCGGGGCGGAGGCAGCACAGTGTGTAACCTTCCCTGAATCTGCGCATAAAAGCAGATGCAGCAATTAGAAAGCAAAGCCAAACACCCAGAGGCAACATTTACCATAAATTTAGGTGAGAAAGTATCACCACAAACCCAAGTTGTAAGCTAGGGGATGAGCCACTGCCAGCAACAGGACCCGTGTGTTGCCGTCATGCCGGGGACGTGGGGGGCACAGGGCCTCTGACAGATGTGAGAACAGGAGGGCCTCAGAGGTGCCTACACGCCGGGACCAGGTAAGGACGAGCCTGAAGTAGGCTGTGGCTGAGGGCAGAGGCCACCAACAGGGAAGTGCCTGGGAGCAGAACAGGCTGGGCGGGAAAGGGACAATGGAGATGGAAAAGAGAGAAAAGCTGAGGAGGGGGGAGGAGCAGTGCCAGACAATCTCAGACAGCAAAGCCGACATTTCTGTCTACTACACGCCTGCACACACACACACACACACACACACACACAGCCAAGAGGGAGCACCATGAAGTCGAAAAGCTGCCCCGAACCATCCTCCTTCTGAAAGACTAGGAAAACTAATTTCACATAAAAATGAGCAACAGAACAGCCCTGAGATCAAATCCCATACAATGCTATCCTGAGAAAAAAGATACTACAAACAGTAGTCACCCCTAGAAAATGAATGCATGCTGGGAAACACACCAACAGAACAGATCAAAAGTGCAACCTTCAGCTGAAACCATGGCTCACGCCTGTAATCCCAGCACTTTGGGAGCCTGAAGTGAGAGGACTGTGTGAGACCAGCAGTTTGAGACCAGCCCGGGCAACACAGTAAAACTCCGTCCCTCCAAAAAAAGTTTAAAAATTAGCCAGGCACAGTCTGCGTGCCTACAGTCCCAGTTAGCTGGGAGGCTGAGGTGGGAGGATCACTGAAACCCAGGAGCCTGAGGGTGCGGTCATGGCCACACCTCTGCACTTAAACCTGGGCAACGGAGGGAGACCTCAACTCTAAAACAAAATGTTAAGCCAGGTGTGGTGGCTCATGTCTGTAATCCCAGCACTTTGGGAAGCCGAGGTGGGAGGATCACTTAAGCCCAAGAATTCGAGGCTGCAGTGAGCTATGATCGCGCCACTCCACTCCAGCCTGGGCAAGAGAGCAAGACCCTGTCTCGAAATAAATCAAAAACTTTTTTTTTTTAAGTGTGATCATTGACTTCAAAATAGGCTAAAGGACATTAAGAAATGAAACAAAACATGAAACACCACAAATGAGAATTAGGAAAACTTAGTAATGAGGAAATCACACTCAAGAATTAGAAACAAAGGAAAATCATTCTGGAAATGACTTTACTAGAAGGCACACGAGGGAGATAAACTCAAAGGCAGCCACACATGGCATAACATCTCAGCCAATGATAGTCCGCGTAAGTGACAGCAGTCCCACAGGATTGCAAAAGTGCATTTTCACTGCCCCTTTTCTATGCTTCAGTGTGTTTGGATACACAAATCCTCACCACCGTGTTACGGTTGCCTACTGTCTTCAGTACAGTCACACGCTGTCCAGGTTTGTATCCCCGGAGCCATGGGCTGTGCCATACTGCTAGGCGTGCAATAGGCTATGCCACCCAGGTTTGCAAACATGCGCCCTGTGATGTCGCACAAGGATGAGACTGCCTAACAATGCATTTCTCAGAACCTATCGCTGCCATTATGTGACACATGATGGGTAACAACTTCAGAAGAGGAAATGGTGAAAAAGGAAGATCATTTTTAAAATAAAAAAGAAATGAAGTACAGATAAAAAGGACTGAGAGAAAGCAACGCACACTGCCGAAGACTTAACTCCACAGAAGACTCTACAGAGGACCCAACTCCACAGAAGACCCAACTCCACAGGGGACTCAACTCCACAGGGAACCCAACTCCAGAAGACCCAACTCCACAAGGGACCCAACTCCACAAGGGACCCAACTCCACAGGGGACCCAGCTCCACGCAAGACCCAACTCCACAGGGGACGCAACTCCACAGGGGACCCAACTCCACAGAATACCCAACTCCACAAGGGACCCAACTCCACAGGGGACCCAACTCCACAGAAGACACAACTCCACAAGGGACCCAACTCCACAGAAGACACAACTCCACAGGGGACCCAACTCCACAGAAGACCCAACTCCACAGGGGACCCAAATCCACAGGGAACCCAGCTCCAAAGAAGACCCAACTCCACAGGGGACCCAACTCCACAGGGGACCCAGCTCCACAGAAGACACAACTCCACAGGGGACCCAACTCCACAGGGGACCCAACTCTACAGAGGACCCAACTCCACAGGGGACCCAACTCCACAGAGGACCCAACTCCACAGGGGACCCAACTCCACAGAGGACCCAACTCCACAGGGGACCCAGCTCCACGCAAGACCCAACTCCACAGGGGACGCAACTCCACAGGGGACCCAACTCCACAGAAGACCCAACTCCACAGGGGACCCAACTCCACAGAAGACACAACTCCACAGGGGACCCAACTCCACAGAAGACCCAACTCCACAGGGGACCCAACTCCACAGAAGACCCAACTTCACAAGGGACCCAACTCCACAGGGGACCCAACTCCACAGAAGACACAACTCCACAGAAGACCCAACTCCACAGGGGACCCAACTCCATAGAAGACCCAACTCCACAGGGGACCCAACTCCACAGGGGACCCAACTCCACAGAGGACCTAACTCCAATTATATGGGTAATAGGAGTTTCCATAGAGACCAAAACCAAATACAAGGAACAGAACAAATGCTTAAACCTATAATTCAAGAACATTCTCCCTGAAATTAAAAAAAGATTAGAAAGTACTTACTGAAAACACTCAGCAGCATATATGAGAACACTGACCATGGACGACCCACAACACCCAGACACATTTTAGTAAAATTACTGGGCTTCAAAGCAAAAGAAAAAATGGCCTTTGTTTGGGTATTTAGGCAAAACAGTAAGCAACTTATAAGACCAAGAAGATTGGCTTATCATCATTCTGTTTGACAATAACGATCTACGCCAGAAGAAAGTGGAGCGACACACTTAAGACATTCAAAGGATCGAAAAGGATTTTTCATACCCAGCACGCAAGGACTCAGGGAATACTGTCCCCAAAAGCACTTCCTGGGGATCCACTGGAGAATGAATTTCAAAACCTGTGAGCAGAGAGACGTCAACAGAAGCCCTGGTGATGAGCAGGGGCTGCTGGGGAACACAGAGCAAAGACCACCCACAACGACAGGGGAGGCCTGGCTGTGTGCCTGGAAAACAAAGGTAAGGCCCAACTATTGTTTTAAGTCGGGGGAGAGTGTATTACCCCCCCAACCCCGCCCTTTTCTTTTCCGCTACTCACAGTAATTCTACTGGTGGAGACAGCATTCGTTTCGTCACTCTGAGCCCGTGGTGTGTGCCGTGTGGGATTGGGCTAACACATCACCATGGATATTCTAACGCTATCCTCACCTGTGCCCGTGAGAACCAGAGCAGGAGAAGGGAAACACAGCTGCAATACAGACAAGCTCAAGTAGGAAAAATAATCTGTAGTCCTGACTGTGGTTTAGAAGCATCCAAATGAACAAAAATAAAAAAAATAAAAAAATAAAAAGCCTGGAAACGACGACTCTGAATGAGCACCAGCCGCGACCCCACCACGGCCTGAAACCAGTTTCCGCTAAAAGAAATCAGGGCTTCTTGGAGAAAAAGCGAATACAGGTCTGGGGTAGAAGGTGACTGGACGAGCCCAGGGCAGCCTGCCGTGCAGACAGGAAGGGAGCGGTCACCAACACCAGAGTACACCAACAGCACTCCATGAGTTCACGGGGACATGAACAATAAACTGACCCTCGGTCGAAGGAAGCAGGGAACGCACTCGCCCCCGAGGTCATCCGGCCTTTCTGAGCAGCCTGCACCTCTGGCACCCAACACCAGGAGACAGAAAGACTTCCTTCTGGGATCATCCCAGCTCACAAACAGAAAGGGCAGGACAGGCTCTCATCAGTTGGCAGCCCTGAGCAAGGCTGGAGGTCTCGACACTGCTGGTGTCCCTAGGTGCCGCATGCGGCAGGCTCCTGAGCCAAGACGCAGCAGACACCGCTACTGTCACCCAAGAGGCAAAGCGAGGGCCCAACAGGCCCCAGGGCCTTGCACAGCAGGTACTGTAATTCAGTAACCAGTGTGGGGCCGAGACGCGTCTCAGCACCTGTTCTCTCTCACCAGCCCCGTCTCTCTCCCGTGTCCCCCTGCGCCTCTGCTCCCGTACCTCTGTCCTTCTGTCCCCCCGTGCCTCTGTCCCTCTGTCCCCCATCTCTCTATCCCGTGTCTCTGCCCGTGTCCCCCCGTGCCTGTCTCCTGGGCCTCTGTCCCCCGTCTCTCTATCCCTCTGTCTCCTGTGCCTCTGTCCCTCTGTCCCCCGTCTCTCTATCCCTCTGTCTCCTGTGCCTCTGTCCCTCTGTCCCCCGTCTCTCTATCCCTCTGTCCCGTGTCTCTGCCCTTCTGTGCCTGCATTCCTTGTCCTTCTGCCCCGTGCCTCTGCCTCTGTGCCTGTTCCTCTGTGCAACTGCCCTCTCAGGTGATCACTGCACACCTCCCAGAGCCCAACCCAGCTTCACCTCCACCTTCACTGCAGTCCCTGAATCCCTGCTGCAGGGTTAGGAGTGACAGTTAAAGCGAATGCAGACTCCCCAAGTAAAAAAAATATTTATTATTGTCCATGCAAATGGGCCACATTAATGGTCCATACAAATGGAGTACAGTATTTTAAAATAAAACGCAAAAGTGGGCTGAATTGTTGGTATGCGGGCTGGGTCTATGTGGCACAGAGAGAACAATTACGAACTGATACAGGACATTTACAAATTAGTTTACATTTTAAAATTTAAATATGTAAACCCAGAAGTTGAGAGACGCTATCAACTGAGATTTTCAGGTACGCGGTATTATAAACTCATCTACCTACATACAGAGCAAAGTGTGGAGAAGAAAAGAAACCAAGAGGGTGGTAACGTTACAGCTGGGCCGGCCGCAGTGGCTCAGGCCTGTCATCCCAACACTCTGAAGTGGGAAGAATGCCTGAGCTCAGGAGTTCGAGACCAGCATAGGCAACAAGGCAAGACCTTGTCTTTACTAAAAATTAAAACAAAAATGAAAATAGCCAGATGCGGTGGTGGACGCCTGTAGTCCCAGCTGCTTGGGAGGCTGAGGTGGGAGGACTGCTTGAGCCCAGGAGATTGAGGCTGCAGTGAGCTGTGATTGCACCACTGCACTCCAGCCTAGGTGACAGAGCAAGACCGTATCTCCAAAAAACCAAACCAAAACCCAAAAACATTACAGTTGGCTGCACAAAAATCATGTTGCTCACGTCCACTGAAAACCTCATTATGATCTGGCATTTTACGTATTTGGATTTCATACTCACCTAAACCTTTCTGCCCTGGGTTCTTAGCGAAGGTGAAGGTAAACTGATAAAAATCTTTAAACTTGGCTGTGTCCTTCAGCTCCTGCTCCAGTCTTGGCAGAAGAGCCTTTAGCTTCTCCATGCTGTCACACCTGCGATGACAGAGAGTGGTTTGTCTTGCAGCAGATGCGCCTCCCTAGTCGACTCCCCTTGTGCCCTGTGCAGGAACTGTGACCAGGCACGCAGCTCCAGCTGGAGACCGTATTTCCCAACTTCCTTTCCCAGGCGCGGCCTAAGGCTCTAAGTGATGATGTAAGAGAAGATGGGGGGGCAACATCTCCCTTGCTAAAAGGAATTCAAAACGTTCTGAGACAGATACTGGTGGCAGCCGCCCAGCTCTGGGAATATACTAAAACCACTGAGTTGTAGGCTTTAAATGAAAGAAAATATGGTATGTGAATTCGATCTCAGTAAAATTATTAAAAGAAAAACCCAAAACCAACATCTTTTGCCCTCTTCTTGAGAAGTGGAACAAGGGCGTGGTCTAACTTGGTAGCTTTGACCACGGAGAGAGGACCCTGCCCTGCGGTGACAGGGCATGAGGTGACAAGATGGCAGAGACGAGGTAATGGAAAGATGGAAAGACCGCATTTCTCAGTGACTTGCAGAATGGCAGTCGCCCTGCCAGCCTGGGCCACTGTTACCTCTGTCCCATCATACAAGCGAAAAACAAACTCATATAAACTTAAGCTACCTTATTTAGGGATCTCTTCATTACAGCAAGTTAGATTTAAAATATCCAGGTATTGTAAAACACAGCTCTATGTTGTTTTAGAATTGAATTTTTCCATCAAAAAGTCAATAACCTTTAAAAACAGTCAACAGCCTCTAAGGCAGAAATCGACAACAGTAAAACAAAGTCTATCTTTGTAATTTCGACTGCACAGCAAAGCACAGAATAAAAGCAACACTTACTCAAGTAGAGTAGACGTAAGGAAAGAACATTGAAGAAAGCTTTAGAGCAGCTAGAAAAGTCCTCGAAGACATACACGGAAAAGCACAAATGTATGACTCAGTCCTGCGCGCAGTCACGGTCAACAGCAGAAGGCGTATGTCACAGTGGTCCCATAAAATCATAATGGCACCTAGATTCCTGCCACCTCGAGGCGTCAGAGCCACTGCAACGTCTAGCACAACGCATGACCATTTCCACCTTCAGATGTGTTTAGACACAGACTTACCATTGTGTTACAGCTGCCTACAGAACTGAGGACAGTCACCTGCTGAACAGGTTCACGGCCTAGGAGCAACAGGCTGCACCACAGACGAGGTGTGTAGTGGGCTGTAGCATCTCGGTTTGTGTAAGTGCACTCTGTGATATCTGCACAGTGAAATTTCCTAACGATGCACTTCTCAGAACGTGTCCCTGTCTCTGAGTGACGCATGGCTGTACTGCAGATGAGGGTGAGCGTAAGCACCATCCACATCAAGGGTGGCGGCTGGGCCAGGTATGGTGGCTCATTCCTGTAATCCCAGTGCTTTGAGAGGTGGAGGAGGGAGGATCGCTTGAGGCCAGGAGTTTGAGACCAGTCTGGGCAACATAGAGAGACCCAGTCTCCACAAAAAATAAAAACTAGCCAGGTGTGGTGGCATGTGCCTGAAGTCCCAGCAGTGCACTGTACCCCAGTTGGCACAACAGAGTGTGACCTTCTTAAAAAAGGGAGTGGGTGGCAGCTGAGGGCTCTTTGCCATTTCAGCCTCCTCTTCCCTCCGGTGAGGCATGGACAATCAGACTTCTGGGCCAGGCCCACTGTGCCCCACCGCCTACTGGAGCCGTCCTTCACCGTGCCTCTAGCTGGATGTAATCAGGAACTCAGCGTGCACCACCTCACGTCTGGCTGTTTCTGCCTTTGTGATGTCCGAGAGGTTCGTTCCTGTGGGTATGCATGGCTCCAGCTGCTCATTTTCTTGGCCATACAGAATTCTTGTTATATACATATTTTATGATTCATAAACGCTACTGTTGGTGAACATTCCGGCTGTTTCTAGTTTCCTGGTTTGGAGTAATGGTGTCAACACTTCTGCACACAGATCACAACATACCTGTGAACGTACCACGTCAGGCACATTCCAGAGTGGATGGCTGGGTCATGGCGTCTGTGCACCTTCCATTTAGTAACTGATGTCAAAACAGTACACTGGAGTCCCCCTCCACGCATTTGCACTCACATTTGCTATCGTGTCTTATTTTAGCACCCAAGAGGGTGGTTTGTTATGGGGTTCTATTTCACTGTGGTTTTCACCTGCATTTCCCCAGTGAATGAGATTAAGCATCTTATACCTTAACTGGCCCTTGTGCATCCTCTTTTGTGAAGTGCTTGTCAAATCTTTTGGTTGTTTTTCAATGTCTTTTTCTTATTGTTTTGTAGAAATTCTTTATATATTAAAGATACAAGCCTTTGCCAGGAATTTTTAAAGAACTTTCACACACAACATGGATTGCCTTTCTACTACCTTGATGTTTCTTAACCAGAAGTTCTTATTTTTACTATAATACACTCTATCGGCATTTTTCTTTATGGTGATTTATTGTTTTTGTTGATGTTTTAAAAATTATCCTATTTCATAGTCATAAAAGACATTTTCCTACATTATTTTCTACAGACTTTTTGCTTTTGCCTTTCAAACTGAGATCTACAATCTATCTGAAACTGATTTTTACATATGGTATGCGGTAGAGGTCAGGATTTATTTTTCCCCAAAATACTAGCTAATTCTCCCAGTATCATTTATTGAAAAACCGTCTTTCTCCACTGAAGTCTAGCTCTGTCATAAACCAGAAGTCCCCCCATACACGGACTTCTTTCTGAGCGCTCCATTCTGCTCCACTGGTCTCTGGTCTATTTATCTGATCTGGCGCTTGATGCCATGTAGTCTTAATTACTGTAGCTTTAAAAGTTCCAATTATCTGGTACAGCAAATCTTCCCATCTTGTTCTTTTTCTTCAAGAACTGCTTTTTGACTGCGCGTTTTCATAGAAATTTCAAATCAGCTTGTCAAATTACACATAAACAAACCCACTATCTATTGGGATTTTTAAATTGAGATCACATTCAATATAAAAAGCTAAGGATAAAATACTGTATTCCAACCTATAAATGAAGTATATTTCTCCATTTATTCAGGTCTTCTTTCCTGTCTCTCGATGAATTACTATTTTCTCTATGGGAGTATCACACATCTTCAATCCAATTTATTCTAGGTATTTTGTATTTTTGAAGATACCGAAAGATGACGTAGATTTTACATGTTACCGTTTTGCTGGTTGTTGCACTTGGTGTCCTGAAATAGAACAGGTTTTTACTTGCAGGCCTTGGATCCTGTAGTTTGGCTAACGTCACTATTGATTTGAATATTTTACCCATAGGGTGGACTAGCTATGATCTCCTGTTTAATACTGAATAGAAACAGTCATTTGGGTTTTGTTCTGTCTCAAAGAGAAGGTGGCTTACAATTCCAGTAAGTATAATGTTTTCCATAGGAATTTTTTCCTTTTGGCCAGATTAAGAACTGCCCCTCTTATTCTTAGTTTTCTATGAGTTTTTTTTTTTTTTTTTAAATGAAGAAACATTGAATTTGATCAAACCCATCTTATGCACTGGGATGATCCTTTTTTTCCTGTTGTTAACCATGGTAAATTAATTACACCGATTGACTCTGTAACATTAAACGGATCTTGCATTCCTGGATATAACCAACTCTGTCATGATGTATCATCCTGGGCTTATCGTCTTGGGTTTTTTGCTAATGACTGGTCAGTTTCCTGATACTGTGTGTAGGATTTTTGCATCTTATAATCATCTTATGCATCTTCTGAGTCTTACAGCTGAGAGTGGCCTATAATTTTCCATTCTCAAATGTTCTTCCTTGGTTTTGTCATGCAGCTTTTGCTGGCCTTAAAAACAAATTGTGAAATCTTTCTTCCTTTACTTCTCTGGAAGAGGATGTTTAAAATTGGGGATTTTCCTTTTCATTAGGAGTTTGGTAGGATGTGCCAATTAAGTCATCCCAAACAGGAGTTGTCTCTTTGAGAAGATTTTAAACTACAGGCTCAAATTCTTAAGAGTTACAGAACTATTAAGATGTTCTATTTCTTCATGTGTCAGTTTTAGTAAATTACATTTTTCACATACGTTGTCAAATTTACTGGCATAAAGCTCTTCATACATGACTTTTTTTTTTTTAATGCTTCTGGCACCTATTATCTCGTCCCCCTTTTCATCTACGTACGTTACTTGTGATTTACCACATTTACAAGTCTTTTCAAATAACAAGCTTCTAGCTTTATTGATCCTTCCTAATGACAACTTCTTTTCTATTTAATTATTCTTGTAAATTAGTGCTTCTTTAAAAATATTAATTCCTTCCTTCTATATTCTTTTTCTATTTCTTGAGATGGAAGGCTTTGCTCACTGATTTTCAGCCTTTCCTTCTTTCTAAAATATGCATTTAATAAGCTGAATTCTACAAGCTTACATATATTGTATTTTCATTATTCAAGATATTTTCTAATTTCCATTGTAATTTCTTTCTCATCCCAAGGGTTACTTAGAGGTATGCAATATCCACACATATCCCTAGTTATCTTTTTGTTATATTCCTAGTTTAACTGTACTGTGGTCAGAAAACATACTCTGTATCATTTCAAACCTCTGGAAATTGTTGCAATTTACTTAATAGCCCAGTTTATTGTCAATTTTTATTAATGTTCTGTGCCTTTAATAAAGTTTTTTTTTTTTTAATTTTAAACACCAGGAGAGAACACGAACATAGTCCCCCACTACCACAAATTATGCAGTCCAGTTTCCCACATTTGGGAAAACCACAGGCGTCAGCACATCCAGAATGCAATGGATAAGCCCAGCTCTGGGAAAATCACCTTCATGATGATGGTATCTCTCCTGCCAGGCTGTTCTGTGTTTTCTTTTGAAAAGAATATGTATTCTTAAGCATCGAAGGCAACATTCTAAATGTTCTCCTAGGCCATTTGTTGTGCTGTCCAAATCTTCTATTTCCTCACTAATTTTTCATTGACTCATTCCATCAGTTACTACGATGTGTGTGAAAATTCCTCACTTTGATCATGGATTTGTATCTTTCTCTTTGTAGTTGCTTATTTTTGCTTTAAATACATTGGGACTCTTCAACAAATACATAAAAACGTAAGTGTGACTGCCTTCTTGGTGAGATAAGCCCTTTATCATTATGAAATGGTCCTCCTTATCTGTAGAGTTCCTGTATGCCTCAAAGCTGTTTTAGTTGTATCTATTTTAAACAATATGAACAGGTGATATTTAAAAATCCATCTGGGCCAGGCACGGTGGCTCCCGCCTGTAATCCCAGCACTTTGGGAGGCTGATGAGGCAAGGTGGTGTGTCCCCTGAAGTCAGGAGTTCAAAACCAGCCTGGCCAATATGGTGAAATCCCGTCTCTACTAAAAATACAAAAATTAGCCGGGCATGAGGCATGAGAATCGCTTGAACTCAGGAGACGGAGTTTGCTGTGAGCCAAGATCGTGCCACTGCACTCCATCCTGGGTGACAGAGTAAGACTCCATCTCAAAAAACAAACAAACAAACAAACAAGTAGGAGTACACTCGAAAATAATAAAAAGTTGAGTAAATAAGCTAGTAACATAAGCCTTTATATTATCAAGTATTATATACTGCACATAACTGGATGCGCTATGCTTTTTATACGACTGGCAGTGCAGTAGGTTTGTCTGTGCCAGCATCACCACACACAGGCAATGTATTGTGCTATGACACTATGATGGCTGGGATGTAGGAATTTTTTAGCCCCATTCTAACCTTACGGGACCACTGTTGTATAAGCGGTCCACTGTTGACCGAAATGTCATTATGTAGTGCATGACTGTAGTTCAGTAAGCTTAATGATTAAGAGACAGTTACATTAGGCCCTTTCATTTACTTTTATAACTTATCTGATAAGCGAGAAACACCTTAAGTTATTAATGAAGCCTTTATCCCAATCCTGTAGGTAGAATAGAAAAATGTTACAAGCAAAAACCAAAATGACATCTTAGTTTTTAACAGAGCAGCATAAGAAATTCTACGTTTAATATACAGTATTATGAAATAACACGAATGAACTGAACCTGGCATTTACTGTCAATTCAAAATTGGAAAGGAAAAAACTCAAAAAGAAGAAAATGAGTTACAAAAGGGATTAATATGAAAAAAATAAAAATGTGAAATGAAATAAAGTGTTAAATTGAAAATTAAAAGGAAACCAAAGGCTTGATAGTGCGGAGAGTACAGACGCATAAGAAATTTTAAAGATACACAAAGAAAATAAGCAGATATGAAATTAGTATGTACAGGTTGCTGAAAAATAATGTTAGAAGTATTTTCATTTCTGAAAACATTTAAGCTAAGAATAGTTGACTTACCCAAGTTCTGTCATGCCATCTAGAAATTCCTTTCTGCTAAATTCACACTGAGTTGCTGCCCTGAACTTCCACGCTATGACCAATACACTGATACTGGCAGGATCCAGGCTCAGATCATCACAAAACTGTTGAATCCCATCGACTCCAATTTTGTTTTCATCTTGTGGATCTGTAGTTAATATCAGGGGAAAAGGAAGTTATACTATTTTGAAAAGTAATTCTAAAATAGGAGGTTTGAATCCTAGCATTCGATTATACTACATAGTTCTAGCAAGCGTGTTTCCAATACATCAATCAATAGGCTGCAGTTTTCTACTACACATGAAAGAAATAGTGAGCAACTAATAATTTATCCAGAAAACGGTCCTATTTTTAAAATCTAGGTTTCTGGGTTTTAGGGAAAAAAAAAAATCACTGAATTTTTTTTGAGAAGATCTGTTCACTAAGAAAAACTTAATTTCCCTAAAGTGAAATAAAAATTTAAGTTTACAGAAATTTAGCTCACCCAAAGGCAAACTGCTATAAAATATACTGTATTGATAAAGTATTTACAATATCTTGAGTTTTTATCACAACTCTGCCAAAGTAAATGAATGATTGATGTTTTTCTTAAGTGATTTCATTTGCTAATTCTAATGGTACTGGACAATAACTACTTCTCAGAATCATTTAGCTTATGTATCCACATTTAATAGCTTAGAAATTCAGGTTCCCCACCCCCTATTTCTAGTTTAGAAATAAAATTAAAGAACTTAGCATTTGTTTATCAGAAAATCAAACAGTAAAATATATTTAAGGCATCCCAGCAAGACTTCACTAAAGCTAGTAATTTCAGACAGATTATATCATATTATCATAATGCGTAGGTAAATTGTTGGTTTAGAAGGTAAAAGTAGAAAACCTGTAGCTTCTCTGCTCAAAGAAAGATTAGGTATGATAAACTTTTCTTCCCCTTCACACAAAATTTAACTTTGGTCATTTAAGTAGTATACTACCACATATATATAGTTACCAAAGAAAAATTGGTGGCTGGGCACGGTGGCTCACGCCTATAATCCCAGCACTTTGGGAGGCCGAGGCGGGTGGATCACCTGAGCTCAGGAGTTCAAGACCAGCCTGGCCAACATGGCGAAACCCCGTCTCTACTAAAAATACAAAAATTAACTGGGCGGGGTGGCTCACGCCTATAGTCCCAGCTACTCGGGGGGCTGAGGCAGGAGAATCGCTTGAACCCAGGAGGTGGAGGTTGCAGTGAGCCAAGATCATGCCATTGCACTCCAGCCTGGGTGACAAAAAAAAAAAAAAAGAAAAATTGGTAACAAAATGAAGAAAGCCATAAACATCCTTCTAACTCTATTCTCTTATATCAGGGAGAAAACAACCTCAGCATAGTTTATGGGACAGAGGTTCTGTAAAAAAAATCCCCACTTATCACCTTATTCAATTCCATCTCCTAATTCTATACTTCATGAATAGAAATATTGATCTACAATGCTCTGAGCTAATAAACCATCTCAGTAAATTTCATTACAACCGTGTTCAACATTTCAAGTAATTTTGCAAGTACTTGTTCATTTGTATATGTTAATGTCATAACCAATGTTATATTTGTCAACAGTCTTAGAACTACGTTTATTTTTAGAGCCTAAAGTGATTGTACCACGTTTCTACTTTAACTGAGTATAATTGCATGAATAAAGTTAAATAATAATGAAGGGATGAAGCTTCAATAACACCCAAAGACACAATTTTCCACTTATACACAAGTATTTTTTCAAAGGCTGCTGTATATATTTAAATAACTTTTAAAAATCTGCATAAAAATCAGCATATGACTTACAAAATTAGCTCAACAATTAACTTAGCCAAAAATTTTTAAAGTAGACTAAAGCTTAACTAAGAACAATTTTCATTCTTTGGGAACTACAATAAGTACAAACCTGGTTTGTTTTACCACTGACTATGTTTCTGAGCCAAGATTTTTTAAAGCAATTTTCAACTCACTTTTCAGACCTAAAAAGAAAGACTAAAGCACACACACAGTATTTTAAAAAGTAAAAAACGAAAGTAATAAATAAACAAGAACTTGGCTGGGTGCGGTGCCTCATGCCTGTAATCCCAGCACTTTGGGAGGCCGAGGCGGGTGGATCATGAGGTCAAGAGATTGAGACCATCCTGGCCAACATGGTGAAACCCCGTCTCTACTAAAAATACAAAAATTAGCTGGGCGTGGTGGCATGCACCTGTAGTCCCAGCTACTTTGGAGGCTGAGGCAGGAGAATCGCTTGAATGTGGGAGGCAGAGGATGCAGTGAGCCGAGATCATACCACTGCACTCCAGCCTGGTGACAGAGCAAGACTCCGTCACATAAACACACACACACACAGACAACAATAAACAAACAAACAAGAACTTAAAGCCAAGGAAATTATTGTATATTTGGGCTAACACTTGTTTAAATGAGAGTCAGGGCTTGGTTTTGTTTTAAAGTTTTAGAAAACTTAGCCTTAAAAACTGCTAGAAAGAAAAAGCAAAATAAGTCAGCTCTTAGACTGCTGCCTGTCCCTCTGCATTGGACATGAAATTTAAAGCCTGCAGAGGGGCGTGGATCTGCGTATGCTCATCACGGCAGTCTCAGTTCAAGGCACATTTTGACAAGAAGCATTTTGACAAGAAGCTCCGATCCAAGCACTGATGTCAATAAAAATCACAATCTGCAACAAAAAGTTTCTTTGCTGCGAGCTTTTCCCAAAGCCTCTCTAATCACTGAAGCTATTTCAGGGCTGACACGCCACTACCCGGGCAAGGAAAACACTAAGGTTTACCCTCACTTCAGATCATCTTCATGATTTGCTGTTGTTCTTAACCTTCTCATCATCAATATTTCAGCCTAAATAGAAGTGCTTGAAAAAAATACTGTATTAACAGACACAGTCACGCCAAGACACCAAGCCTCCCAGCAGCAGCTTTTCCCTGACAGGCTGTGCAGCGTCAGACTCACCGCACAGAACAAGCGGGCACGGGCCTGGCCCTGCCCCATCGCTGACTCCACTCTTCTCGCCCTCCCCACCCCCACCAATCACAGTCCCAGCCCCATTTACACAGAAGCAAGTGGATTCTGCAGCTGAGCGCCGAGCGCTGAGCGTGGGGAGGAGAAGCAACGGCAGCCCGGAGACCTGCCCCGGCACCAGAACCCTGGAAGTGCAGCGCGCAGGCCGCTCGCGGAGGCCGACATCCGTCCGGCTTTGCTGCAGTCTCCTCTTACCTTTGTACCTGCCGTACAGCCGCTCCAGCTTCTTCTTGTCCACAGCGTTCCGCATGGACTCCCTGTGGAGCGAGTCTGGGTTTTGGAAGAAGCTGTCCGTGGCCTCGTCTAGTCTCCACTCATTCTGCGTTAAGCAGTAGATAGCAGTTCTCTCGCCAGCCTGAGTGCACGCCATAAACTGGCGGACCTTGTCCTTCTGAGACGATTTAAGCTTATGCTTTGGGATGCAAAAGAAGTAGGAAAGCCAATGAAGCCGCTCCAGGTTTGTCCCAGCTTTAGCCTAACGCCTGCACTTTAACTGGGCAGAATTAGAGACAAAGCCTTGCTCTTCATCAGTTACAAAGACTGCACAGTCTTCTGAAAATGGAAACAACAGCATCTATACTGTAACAAACAGGCAGTCTAAGCTTCAAAAATTATGAGAATTAACATTTTATACAAAATACATTCTGATCTCTATCCAGTTCACTCTGCATGAAGTGTGACTATCATTTTTCTCTAAAACTCTCAGTAACTCTGTAATGCACATCTAGCCTCTGAGGACACAGGGCAAGGACCTTACGGCACCAGCGGGGGTCACAGCTGCAGTCTTCTTTGGTTTCAATAAAGTTCAGGCTTTAATGAATGGGAAGAGGCTGTGCGGTTTGGAGATTTTTTTTCCCACTTTAAATCACAGAATCACATTGATGAAAATGTACACAAATAACTAAGAATAGCGTTAAAAGTAATTTATGAAAATTTCACAAGCAGGCACAAAAAAACCTGTTATGATTAAATGGAAACAATAATACTAATAACAAGAATGCCTCTGTATACCAGACAGAAATAAAATGAAAAAATAGGACAGAGGCTCTGGGCAGGCAATAAATAACAAAACTGCCAAATAGCTGTACTATATATAGTATATAATGAAACAAAGTAACATCTTGACACTTTCAGATATAGGAGGGCTGAGTTTCCACTTATCTAAAGTAACTTGATGATGTAATCCCAGCACTTTGGGAGGCTGAGGCGGATCACCTGAGGTCAGGAGTTCAAGACCATCCTGGCCAACATGGAGAAACCCCATCTCTACTAAAAATACAAAAATTAGCTGGGTGTGGTGGCATGCGCCTATAGTCCCAGCTACTTGGGAGGCTGAGGCAGGAGAATCACTTGAACCTGGGAGGTGGAGATTGCAGCGAGCTGAGATCGTGCCACTGCACTCCAGCCTGGGCGACAGGGCGAGACTCTATCTCAATAAATAAATAAATAAATAAATAAATAAATAAAGTAACCTGATAAAAGCAACACTGGAAAAGAAAGTGATACACTAACTTCTCTAAATCCAAACAGACCCTAGAATCCACTGGATGCTAACGTTTTACAAAAATGCTTTACACAATAATATAAGCAGGAAATTTTTTACTCAAAACGATTTATACTCAATCTTGTTCAAATAAAGATGAGACAACTTATAAAAACACATGGAATGATTTATAACATAACTTAACAAAAGTATATAGAAGGATAACAAGGTGTGGATAAGGAAGGGGTGCCATTAGTACAAGGACGTGCCTGTCACATGTAAGAGCTGGAAATCAGGCTCCAAGCTTCCCCAGTGCCACAGCAAAGAAAACACGATTAGTTAGGAAAATCCGTTTTCATAAGATCTAAAACCTTACCAGCAGCTCAGAAGTGGTACAGATACAGACCCTTCTGGCCTAAAACCTGAGGAAACGTCTTCTGCGGCTCCTCACAAAGTTCAATGTCCCCTCACACATACCAATTCCTCACCAAAATGCCAACCACGTACAGCAGAGCCAGCTTCCAGAAGTTTTTTTTTTTTTGAGACAGGCAATCAAAAAGCATGCTGATGCCAAAATACCAGAGGACGATTCTGCAGAGGCATTAAGATAACGCTGTCCAGATACATACTCTCCCGTGTGCATCTGGGATCCTGGGTCCTGAGGCCTTTCAGGAGTCCCACAGAACTACCTTCCCGAGCGTCCTAAGCCGCCACCAGCCTTGCTCACTCTCATTCTCACAGAGTGCACAGCAGAGGCCTCCGTGGGCTGCAAGGCCTGTGATATCACAGGAATGAACGCGAGATTCGAGAGCCTATCTTTTATCAAGCCAGACATTAAGATATTTGCAAAAATGTAATGGGTTTTTATTGCTAATTAACTATAGAAATATTTTAATACTATTTTAATTTCTAATATGGTCAATATTGATGACTATTACCCACACAAACAAGAACTCTCATTTAAGAATGACTGGGGTTCCAATCATTCTTAAAAACATATAGGAAATGTGCTACATATATACCATGGCATACTACATAGCCATAAAAAGGACCGAGATTGTGTCCTTTGCAGCAACATGGATGGAGCTGGAGGCCATTTTCCTAAGTGAACTGGCGCAGGAACAGAAAACCAAATGCCACATGTTCTCACTTGTAAGTGGGAGCTGAACACTGAGCAGGCGTGGACACAAAAAAGGACCAACAGACACCAGGGCCTGCTTGAGGGTGGCAGGAGGGAGAGGATCCCAAAACTACCCACCGGCTACTGTGCTTAGTACCTGGTTGACGACATAATCTGTACACCAACTCCCATGACACACAGTTGACCTTTATAACAAACCTGCACATGTACCCCTGAACCTAAAAGTTAGAAAACAAAAAACAAACCCAAAAACCACATCGAACTCCTGAGACTAAACACTTAAGAGAATGGCTAATTCAGGTGATGCTAGGCAATTAACATTTCGGCTACTCAAACAATGAGTGTTGAGCATTTGGGAGTCTTGGATCCCTTTTGGAATCTGAGGAGTCACAGGTCCGCCCTCCAGGAAAACATATATGGCCCTCACACGTGCAGGCAGCTTTGCATAAAATTTCAGGGGTTTCACAGATGGCTTAAGCCCATCTGCAAAGTCCTCACAAGGGGAAGGTAGAACTCAGATTAAGAACGGATGAAGAAGATCAGAAGCCTTCATTCAGCCAACTTTGTCTCTTAATGTTCCAGACAGCAGCCATCTCTGCCATCTCAGGCCTGTGGGTCTGTTGCCAAAGCAGACAGCCGTAGGCTGTGTTCCAATAAAACTCAATTTACAAAAACAGACAGCTAGCCTGTGGGCTGTAGTTTGCCGACCCCGATCTAGATTCTAGAGGAATAAATGGAATACATATTCACTACATTATTTCCTGAAACTGAGCTTTTGAAAAGAACTAAACAAAAAATTCAAGGTTGTATTCTCTGGTAAGATCAAATTTAGCTAAATTAAGGCAGATCCCATAGTCTCTGACCGTAAGCTGACAAAAGATACAGCTAGAGTCTTTTTATGAAGTTGACAGCCTTCCCAAGGGAGGGTGAGCAAAGCCAAGAATTACCTCAAAAACCTTAGGATAAAGACAGAAGTGCAGCCCCCAAAATGGTCCACCACCAGGAACAGCCATGACGCCCTTATTATGGAAGTGGTCATCGTTGCTAGATTTAAAAATCTGCCATGGTTATACAACAACATTTACTATATCCATATAACGGAACATAATTCGGCCATAAAAAGGAATGAAGTATTGATACATGCCACATGGATGAACTTTTGACACTGAGTAAAAGAAACCAGGCACAAGAAGCCACACAGTGTATGATTCCATCCACACAGCGCACGACTCCAGCTGCACAGTGTACGACTCCAGCCACAGTGCACGAGTCCAGCCACACGGTGCACGACTCCAGCCGCACAGTGCATGAGTCCAGCCGCACAGTGTGCGATTCCAGCCACACAGTGTACGATTTCACTTATATGAAATATCCAGAATGGGCACATCTATATAGAGAGAAAGGTGAGTGGTAGCCAGGGGCTGGGGCAAGGGAGGAGTTGGGAGTGACTGCTAATGGGTACAGTTATCGTTCGGGGTGACAAAAATGTTTTAGGACTAGATAGAGGTAGTGGTTCCACAAATTTGTGAACGTACTAAACACCACTGAATTGTACACTTTAAAATAGTTAATTTTATGTTATATGAATTTCACCTAAAAAAATTCAACATTGTACCCTCAGACCCTCCAAGACCAATCAGCAGACTAATATACTCTTCGGCGACTGAATTATTTAACCAGCATTATACAACTGATGACTCCACACCAGGAATGTGCAAATCTGGAAGATATGATGGTGTCTGATCTTGAGCTCCTGCCGATAACCCCTTGAAGCCTCCCCTAATGTGTGACAACACCATAACACCAGCAGCCTAATTTCTTGGAACTCTAGAAGAACAGATGCAGGAGCACATGGATCCAGGCCACTCAAAATGGCTTTGAATCACTACTGTTAGCTAGAGTGGACAGAAGTCGGTATCCAGAAACACGAAGAGCCCCCTGCAATCTACTCAAATTGTCTGATGTCACAAGATACTCCAGTAAACCCTGAACCACACGGTGGTGCCAAGGCACTGGTTCTGAAGGAGCAAGAGAAGCTTTGGGGTCTAGGCTTAGTCCATTAACAGGCCTCTGGTCAGTCAACAAAGCTGCAATCATTTGATGTCACCCCTTACAGGTTTCTCCATAAAATAACAGTGATTAAAGCAATGATCGATAGCTAAGTCTAAAGACTAGGTGCTTCATGTCCAAAAGTGACTGAGAGACCCAAGTTACCTCTTGTGAAAAAGGGAACTGGCATAAAGCTTCTTAGGAAACAAAAAGGCTCGTCAACTAAAAAACTACAGGGGAGAGAAGGAAGCCGAGTCCCTCTAGACAGGACTAAACCCAGATCAAATTTACAAAGGCCCAGACATTGGCAGTAAGCTTTGAGTGCACCAAGAGAGGACTGAACCCAGGTCAAATTAACAAAGGCCCAGACGTTGGCAAGAAGCTTCGAGTGCACCCAGACAGGACTGAACCCAGGTCAATCTAATCAAGGTGGATACACTGGAACTAGGGCCGCCCTTCAAGCTCACAACCTTCACTGAGGCTTACCACATCATGCAAATTAAATTATTAAGGCCAGCTTTTAAAGTGTGTACATGGGGTGGGGGGAAGGCATTTTCTAGGTTTCATTATTTCTGTTAAAATGTACACAATTCTTGAAATAAAAATCTGGACAATCCAGTGGAAACAGCAAATAAAATCTCTAAACTATAAAAAAGTCTCAAACACTTTAATTGTGACCTTGTGAAATACGACTCATATAATCTGGCACCAAGGATACCCATATGTAAAATGGAAAGAAATTACTCTTAAAATGTCCTTAGGGTCAACTTACCCGGGGCTGGCGGGCCAATCATGTTGATCGAATAAACTACGTAAGTTTATGGATCACTTTCACTCTGTTTCGGTATACAGCACGCTAGAGGGAGGGGGAGTTAAATTCATCCCTGCTCTTGGATCTCCAACCTCGGCAGCAGTGGAACGCTCCTCTCCAGCATCCTGAACATGTTCAAGTTTTCCCCAAACTAAGTTCCTGTCCACTCTGCCCCTGTCCTCCTAAAAGCTGGAGCAAGCTATCTCTACCTGCCCAGGTGTGCATCCTAACTCAGGCTACCTGGCTCCAGCCCGGCCTCCGCAGTGACCCCTAAAGGTCACAAAAGCTCGGCTGCTGCGGTCAGTGGGATCTTTTCAGCTGCTCTTTTGTTCAGCACTGCTGATGGCTCCCTCCTCCTTTAAACTCCATCCTCTTGGTTTCGACACATTCTAGTGTCCTGGTTTCTCCTACCAGCCCCCTCTCAGTCTCCTTTGTGGCTCTTCTCCCATCCTGAAGCTTGTCCTCACCCTCCACTCCCCTCTACACGTTACCGTGTCCCTTCTCCGGTGGCTCTCTGTGCCTTAGCCAGGACAATCTTTCAGCTCCTATACGTCATCATCGCCTACCACTAAGGGTCTGTGCATTCTGTTTCTTCTGCCTGGAGCCGCACACGGCTGGCTGCCCCGGAACCTCACTTTTTCTCTGGCTAATTTCCAGAGAAATTCTCCACAGTTCAACTCACACCCTCAGCATCTGACACCACTCCCACAGCCGCATCCTACAAGTTCCTGGAACCCGTGCCTTAGCCTTTGTCCCAACTGTGGTCAAACAATTGTGCATCTGGTGCCTGTCTCCCCTGCTGGGGCATCAACTCCCTCAACGCCAAGATCATGCCTGGCCCAGCACCAGTCACACCCAGCAGCACCTTGCTGGCCTCTGAACCGATGTGGACTGAATAAATCCCATCCATCACCATTTCCACCACATTTCAAAGTAACTGATGTGCACCTCCAGCAGCCTCCCTCCTGCGCTGCGGAACTCTACCAGCTCCACAGATGCACACCTACAGCCACGCTACAGCTCCCGGCTAGAGCCCGCGCTAGGGCCCCGCTGTGCCTCTCCCTCCCCTCCCGGCAGCAGGGCCTCCCCCGCGAATCTGAGCTTCTCGCGGATTCCTTCCTTGCGCTGTTTTGGTCAACAGCCTCAGCATCTGCACAGACGCCCGCAGGAGCAGCCGAGCCCTCGCCCGCCTCGACTGCCCGTTTCGAAGCCGCCCTGGGAAGCCCCCGGCCTGGGTTCCCGCTCGGCCCCGGCCCCTGCCCCAAGGCCCCTACAGTTCCTCCCGGCCCCCGCCCTCCGCTCACTCCCGGTCGTCCCTCGCGGCTCCGGGTCAAACCCGCGCTCCCCGCGGTCCCGCGCCTCCGACGCCACCGCTCCGGCTCGCGGGCCCGCGGCGCGTTCCTCCCTCGGATCCACGCGGAACGCCCCGCGCAGCTCGCTGGGCTCGGCCTCCCACATCCAGCGCGCCGCCTGCGCCGACCTTGGGGCCCGACCCCGACCCCGACCCCGACGGGCAGAGGCGACGCCGGGCCACCTACCATCTCCCCCGCGCCGCCCGCTTCTGGCCGGCCCCGGCCTTCTGCGCAGGCGCGGCGGCGGCTCCGCCCTCGTCCTCGGACGGCCGCGGCCCTCGGCTCCGGGGCAGTGCCGGGAGCCGGCCGCGGGGACTCCCACTCCCGGCATGCTCAGCGCCGCCCGGGGGCCCACGGGAGCTCGCGCCCCACAGCCCCTGCGCGTCCAGCCCTCTGCGAGGGCCTTGGCTCGCCCCTGCGGGGTCCAACGCCAGCCTGCGGCTGCCAGGCCCCACGCCGGCCAGGAAGTGCTCGCCGCCCGCGGCCGACGGGACCCGCCCACGCCCCGCCTCTTAAAGGGGGCAGTGACTGCGGCTGGGCGGGAGTCCGGGTCGGCTTGGCTGAGCGGGGGCGGTGCTGGGCAGGGCGGCGGCCGCTCCCTCCCGGACTCCCGGCCTCCCGGCCTCCCTGGTCCCGCCTGGGAAGGGATGCAAGGAAGCCCTCCGGCGCTGCGCTCCGAGGCGGGAGACAGCGTCCCCCTCCGCCCCTCGGGTCCTGGCGCCTCAGAGCCCGGCCCAGGCCGCGGAACGGTGATGCTCGGGCCGGACGGGCGGGCGCGGATCCCTGCGTCCCGGTGAGCACCAGGCCCGTCCATCCGGGGCTCTTTCCCGGGGTCCCCTTCCTTCCCTCCCTCCCTGGGGCTCCCCTCCCCTCTCTCCCTCCCCGGGGCTCACCTTCCCTTCTTCCCTTCCCAAGGGTCCCCTTCCTTCCTTCCCTCCCTCCCTGGGGCTCCCCTCTCTCCCTCCCCGGGGCTCCCATTCCCTTCTTCCCTTCCCAGGGGTCCCCTTCCTTCCTTCCCTCCCTCCCTGGGGCTCCCCTCCTCTCTCTCCCTCCCTGGGGCTCACCTCCCCTCTCTCTCTCCTCGGGGCTCCCCTTTTCTTGCAGGTATTGTCTCCCGGGGTCGGGTGGTCTGTGTGGCCTGGGGTCCCGCTCCTCCAGGCCTTGCCTAGGCGCTCTTCGCTGAGGCCCACGTTCTAACCTGGAATGGAACCTGCGTTCCCACCCTGGCCGCCCGGGTGGACTCGGGGCCTCCAGGGCCGGCCGCAGAGATGCAGCCCTGTCCCTGGCCCCCCTCCTGTGACTCCTAACGGCTCCTCACGGTGTCCATGACCCAGGGTGTGGACGCCTGCGCGGGGGAAGCAAGACCGCTGCGTATCGGGTCCCTATTCACTGCCTGTTTTTCTGATTATTCTGTCTTCCAAATTTATCTTATTTACCGGCTTTTTCAAAAGGAGTGTCTTAATGATTGGATTACTTGTGAAATATTTGTAGTTTTTTTCTCCTACAGGCTTGACTTAAATATTCTAAAGCTTTTTTGTGGTTGTTGAGACAGAGTTTTGCTGTCGCCCAGGCTGGAGTGCAGTGGCTGGTCAAGGCTCAAGCGATTCTCCCGCCTCAGCCTCCCCAGGAGCTGGGGCCACAGGGAGCATCACGCCCGGCTAATTATTTCATTTTTAATAGAGACAGGGTCTTGCTGTGTTGCCCAGGATGATCTCCAACTCCTGACCTCAAGCAGTTCGCCCACCTCAGCCTCCCAGAGCGCTGGGAATACAGATAATTGTGTCGTAATACAGCAGTGGCATTAACCACCGCACCTGGTCTTAGGTAGAATTTGAAAACCTTTTTATTTTGAGATGGTTGTAGATCACATGAAGTTGTAAGGAGTAATACAGAGAAATCCTACAGAGTGCCTTTGCCCTGTTTTCTCCAATGGTAGCACCTTGCAAAACCATAGTATATGTGGGGAATTTTCTTTGATCAAATCCCCTGACCTGTTGAGATTGCACCAACTATACATGCACTAGTGAGTGTGAATCTACACCTGTGTGTCTTCTCAATAAAATTGAGATTTTTTTTCACTCAGCCTTGAGATACATCCGCATTGTTATGTGTATCAATTGCTCAAGATGCAGAAATTCTAAGAATTCATTATTTAAAAAGTAATCCCAGCACTTTGGGAGGCTGAGGTGGGTGGATCACCTGAGGTCAGGAGTTTGAGACCAGCCTGGCCAACATGGCAAAACACCGTCTCTACTAAAAATACAAAAATTAGCTGGGTGTGGTGGCGAGCGCCTGTAATTCCAGCTACTTGGGAGGCTGAGGCAGGAGAATTGCTTGAACCCGGGAGGCAAAGGTTGCAGTGAGCTGAGATCACAACACTGCACTCCAGCCTGGGTGACAAGAGCAAAACTCCGTCTCAAACAGCAACAACAACAAAAAAAACACATTACAGGAATCCAAAGTGTCTTTTTAATAACTAGAACAGCTAAAGATGTTTACTAATTTGCTCAAAAAACATGCTACAATTTAGTAGTCAGTAGGATTTTGGAGGCAAGTTTGAAGATAAAATGAAATGAGTTTGAATAAAGGTGATTTGTATTTTAAGGGTCCATAAATAATTTCAGTTTCATGTTATGAGTATGTTTCAGTGGGAAATTTTAGTATAACTACAACTAAAATCCTCAAAGGTTTCTCATAAAAATTATAGCTCCCTTAGAGGGACAACTAATTTTAGGAACCTGATTGAGGAAGGAACCAGAAATGAACATAGAGGTGTCATTCACACATGAGCTGTGTTGAAACTTATTTTTCTGAAGCATAAAATCCATCAAAGAATCACTTTTTGGGATCTTTTGGGGAAACTGGGAAGTGTAAGCAAAGCATCTCAGATTTCTGTCTTGGTTCTGGAAAATACTAAAAGTTCACTTGTGAAGTAGCTGTTGATTTATTTAGCTCCGTTGGACCAACCGAGAGAAGCTTAGCAGTTGAGTGAGTCATTAAAATAACAGCTCAGCTATATGGCTAGGCATGACTAAGTGATTGCCTCATTGTTTGTTTTTAAGGTGGTAAATGTGTACTTAAAGTTGTACACGTGTACTTAAAGTTGTATTGAAACTAACATAAAATTGAGTGATTGGAACAGCACATTATCATTTATCCTATCTTGTTAGGAAGTTACCTGTTCTAGGTAAGTGAATTCTCTGTGGAGTGTGCTTCTCCTTTTGGGAGTCAGTCTCCAAGAATGTTTTGAATTGAACACTTTCTAACCAGAATATAGTCTTTTCTTGGTGACTTTTGCTTGTAATTCTGATCAGTACTGTTGTCTAACACAGTACTGTCTTCAGGACCTGCTGGGGTGCAGACAGTCGCTGAGCCTTCACCGAGTCATCTGGCCTCCAGGCTTTTTTAGTTCTCCTGTTTGTTTTGCATAAGGTTTGTCTCTTTCTGTGGCTGCCATTTCATGGTTTGGGCAGAATGCTGCCTCCAGAAATGCTGCCCTTACTTTTGCTGCATCTAACCTACTTTGCCTGGGAAACTCGATTAAACCAATTAGAATTTGGGTTAGCAGTGAAATGAAAGTATAGATATATAGATACATCTTTTAGTAACCAGGTTTCCAGGTCGGGGAATCTTTGTAATATGTGATGGTTGAGTAGGAATTCCTGAGTAACAGTCCATTGGATGCTGCTATGAAGAATGGTTAGGTTAATATTTTGTTGTTGTTTACTTTAAACTGTAAATCTGCGTAAGTGGTAGGTGTTGGTTTTGTTGCCTTTTTTGGGATAGCTACTTGTGACTGGTGATCTCCTAGTGGCCAAATTCCACGGACTCTACGTTTATTACTCCTTCCTTCCACGGTCTCGGTTTCCCACCTCTCAGCTCGTTCTGCCTTAGTGACCTTTGCTGGCCGCTGTCTCATCCTGCTTTCTGAACAGTGCTCCTGTCTGGGTGCCTTGCCCTACCCCTGCTCATCACCACCTGGACACCACGGCTACAGCCGCACTGAAACCGTCCTCATTCCCCCAGCAGTAATGTTCAGAAAGCAGGTTCCTGTCTGTGCTGTGCCTTGCCAGGATAAATTAATATACATTGTTTTAGGTATTCCTAAAGAAAGGAAGAGAAGGAGACTGAATTGGGATGATAACAAAAAGTTCTAGAGATCTAGGTATTGTGGCATATATATATATATATTTTTAATTCTTGACATCTTGGTAGCACTTGACTGTAGACTGACTTTGGAAATGTGGCAACATTTCAAATGATTTTAAGAAGCCTGCAGAGCTAACAGTAGCTCAGAAGATTTCGTTTCTGGAGTGACGTTGAGCATGGTGTCCCCAAGCAACCCAGTGACCTGTGAGGGGAAGTTGATGGTATTTTCTGGGCTTCGATAACATGGACTTTCTGTTTTTGTTTTTTTTTTGAGACAGAGTTTTGCTGTTGTTGCCCAAGCTGGAGTACAATGGCGTGATCTGGGCTCCCTGCAACGTCCGCCTCCCGGGTTCTAGCGATTAGTAGCTGGGATTACAGGCGTGCGCCACCAGGCCCATATTTTTAGTAGAAACAGGGTTTCACCATGTTAACCAGGCTGGTCTTGAACTCCTGACCTCAGGTGATCTGCCTGCCTTGGTCTCCCAAAGTGCTTGGGATTACAGGCATAAGCCACCATGCCCAACCAACATGGACTCTCTTAAATAGACTTGGTTAATGTCTTTTGCACATGGTGGAGTTGGTAGAGATACGAGGCTGCGTCGCCCCCCAAAAAAATGACCTTTAATCCTTTCTATAAAGATGTAGCTGACCTTTAATCATCTCAGCCCTTCACAAAGCACCATACAAGGTACATCAACATTCAGTATTTGATTTTAATCTCAGTGAAATAAATAGTTTAGATGTTGATATTTATCTAGGAAAAATGAGAATTTCTTCAGAAAGGTGTCAGTTTTTCAGATCTGATTATTTAATACTCTGATCAATAGTAATGAATCATTGTTTAACTATGTGTGACAATAACTCTTTTTCAGCTGAAAATGTGTGTCTGACATGCAAGCTCAGTGGGGCAGAGACCCGTGGATTGCTGTGCCCTGCCCTCCGGACCTGGATCATGAAGGTGTTGGGAAGAAGCTTCTTCTGGGTGCTGTTTCCCGTCCTTCCCTGGGCGGTGCAGGCTGTGGAGCACGAGGAGGTGGCGCAGCGTGTGATCAAACTGCACCGCGGGCGAGGGGTGGCTGCCATGCAGAGCCGGCAGTGGGTCCGGGACAGCTGCAGGAAGCTCTCAGGGCTTCTCCGCCAGAAGAATGCAGTTCTGAACAAACTGAAAACTGCAATTGGAGCAGTGGAGAAAGACGTGGGCCTGTCGGATGAAGAGAAACTGTTTCAGGTGCACACGTTTGAAATTTTCCAGAAAGAGCTGAATGAAAGTGAAAATTCCGTTTTCCAAGCTGTCTACGGACTGCAGAGAGCCCTGCAGGGGGATTACAAAGATGTCGTGAACATGAAGGAGAGCAGCCGGCAGCGCCTGGAGGCCCTGAGAGAGGCTGCAATAAAGGTCAGTCCTAGAGAGGGAGAGAGAGAGAGAGGGAGAGGGAGAGAGAGGTGAAGAGAGAGGGAGAGTGCGTGCCCACATCCTCATCCTAGAGACAGCCCACACGGAGCTGGGGAGCAGACAGGAAGGGAAGGCGTGAATGCTGCTGATGTCGCTCAGGTGTTGTCTTTCACAGGAAATCGCATCTAGAAAAATCTCTCATGTGAGGGAGAATCTTTTCCTTTTGCATAATAGTGTAGCTCTTACTTCTAGAAGGAGCCAGTCTCATACTTTTCTCTATAGAGAAATCCCCTGGTAATTCAAAAAGTTATTCAAGTTGTACTAGTAAACTGATGCAAAGATAAATATAACTTAAATCAACATTTGCTGAGTTTCTGACAGGAGTTCCTTTTAGTGTGAAGTTTGACTTTTCTTCAGTGTCATATATCGAAAATAAAAATACTAAAATTAGTTTTAAACTAATATATACATTTGAATTAAGGACTTTGACCAAGTATGCTTTTAAAATGATGGGAAGTTTCTGAAATTACTGTATCAGATGTTGTATTAGCTGTTTACATTTTTTAAAGCCATCATTTCTTGAGTACCTCTACTATACCAAGCATCATGCCAAGCCCTTTAAATATATAAAGTATCACGTCATCTTCATAGAAAAACCTGTGATATTATTACACAGCATAAACGTTAGAGAAAATACAGACATTAAACTTTCTTTACCAAAATATATTTTGGGGGAGAGAAATATGATTATCAGGCAAATGTATAAATCAAGGTTTTCAATAACACTGATTCATTTGTCTTGCCTGTGTGATATGTGCATGAGCTACTGTGACCCTGTGTACAGTGGAGACGTGAAGATACATTGGTAAGGTCCAGATTTGTGGTGGTTTTATTATAGAGAAAAAACATGAGTTTGAGTAACATTGGCTCCTGGTATGCACACTTCATAACATATCAACAGTATTTTAACATATGCTAGTTATTATCTCCTATGCTGAGATTCTCCAGGTGCCGGTGACCTGCAGCTATACTAGCCCTCCAGTTGCGTGCTTGACCTGCAGCTGTGTGTCAGACCTGCAGCTGTGTGATAGACCTGCAGCTGTGTGTCAAGTCTGCAGTTGTGTGTCAGTCAAACCTGCATCTCTGTGATAGGCCCCAGCTGTGTGCTAACACCTGTAGCTGTGTGTCAGGTCTGCTTTGGTGTGCTAGACTTGCAGCTGTGCATGAGACCTGCAGCTATGTGAGACCAGCTGTGTGCAAGACCTGCAGCTGTGTGTGAGATCTGCAGCTGTGTGCAAGACCTGCAGCTGTGTGTGAGATCTGCAGCTGTGTGAGACCTGCAGCTGTGTGTGAGACCAGCTGTGTGTGAGACCTGCAGCTGTGTGAGACCTGCAGCTCTGTGTGAGACCAGCTGTGTGTGAGACCTGCAGCTGTATGAGACCTGCAGCTGTGTGAGACCTACAGCTGTGTGAGACCTGCAGCTGTGTGAGACCTGCAGCTGTGTGTGAGACCTGCAGCTGTGCGAGACTTGTAGCTGTGTGAGACCTGCAGCTGTGTGAGACCTGCAGCTGTGTGAGACCTACAGCTGTGTGAGACCTGCAGCTGTGTGAGTCTTGCAGCTGTGTGAGAGACCTGCAGCTGTGTGAGACCTGCAGCTCTTTGTCAGTGGCATCAGATGATGTCTCATGACTACTTAGTAATTGAGGCGATGATGTTCTTCTAGGCTCTGGTCCTCTCTGCTCTGGCCTTGTCCCACCCCTTTAGCTAAGAATAAATGTTTAAAAGTAAGATTATTGATTAAATATAATTGTGTAAAATACATTACTAAATTATATTGCCAGCATCATCCATCAGTTCTTCAAATGATTAATGCTGTTGGTTTCTACATGTGTTTTGGAACAGCTTTCCCTTGTAACTTGAATTTGACTGTGCATTGCATTTAGATAGTAGCTCCACATTCAGGTCTCACATCTGGTTTTAAAGTACCGCTGCACTCACACACATGATAGACCTGGAGCACAGTCACTGTTGAGTAAATGAGTTTTGTGTGAATGGATGACCTACAGATATTACATTTACTTTTGTGTAACAAATGTTTCTTACGTGTGTTGATGTACGTACACAAAAACCTTTCCCTAAACATTTGGCTAAGCTCAGTTATGTTTGAATAACTAGGACACGTGACTTCCCTAGCTGACCAGAATTAAGTTATTGACATATGAACAGGGACATTTGACAAAGCAGGAGGATTGATTAAGAAAGTCATGTCCTAGCTTATTTCTTAATATATCTCACTCTTCTTTTCTTACAAATGAATAGGAAGAAACAGAATATATGGAACTTCTGGCAGCAGAAAAACATCAAGTTGAAGCCCTTAAAAATATGCAACATCAAAACCAAAGTTTATCCATGCTTGACGAGATTCTTGAAGATGTAAGAAAGGCAGCGGATCGTCTGGAGGAAGAGATAGAGGAACATGCTTTTGACGACAATAAATCAGTAAGCGTTCCAGAACAGCTGCTTCTTCACCTCCTGAGCCACTCACTAATCAGAAGACATGTTGTTGAAATTGTTCACGTGTATGTTTTTAATGTAGATTGAAAATGAAGACAAACTAAAATGCTTCTCTGTCGTAGAGAAAATAATTTGGTCTTGTAGAAGTAAGCTAATTATCTTTTATTTTCCTTTTATATTTTTAACACCGACAGTCAGTTCCCCTCCTCAGCAGCTTGTCTGCATTTTCCAGAGGCCAGATGGATTGGGACACTGGGACTCTAGTCTCAGGACAGCCTGGACAGTTGGGTTTAATGCTGATCTACTGGGGTGTTACCAGAAACAGGTCCTAATCCAGACCCCAAGAGAGAGTTCTTGGATCAGGGGTAGTCCATAGAGTAAAGTGAAAGCAAGTTTATTAAGAAAGTAAAGAAACAAAACAATGGCAACTCCATAGGCGAGCAGCCCTGTGGGTTATTTTTATGATTATTTCTTGATTACATGCTAAGCAAGGGGTAGGTTATTCATGAATTTTCTGGGAAAGGGGTGGCGGTTTACTAGAACAGAGGGTTCCTCCCATTTTAGACCACATAGGGTAACTTCCAGATGTTGCCATGGCATTTGTAAGTTGTCATGGCGCGGGTGGGAGTGTCATTCCACATGCTAATGGATTATAATTAGTATATAGTGAGCAGTGAGGACGAGCAGAGGTCACTCTCATTGCCATCTTGGTTTTGGTGGGTTTTGGCTGGCTTCTCTACTGCATCTTGTTTTGTCAGCGGGGTCTTTGTGGCCTGTATCTTGTGATATCAGTCTTGGCGACCTCCTGTCTCACCCTGTGACTAAGAATGCCTGTCCCGGACATGCAGCCCAGTAGGTTTCATCCTCATTTTACCCTGCTCATATTCAAGATGGAGTCGCTCTGGTTTGAACACCTGTAACAGGGGAACATTGAACTTCTTATAGAAAATGATCTTCATCTCTGAAGCAGGAATTCAGGCTGCTCATTTGTTGTAGTGTGTTTAAGATTCTAAGAAAAAAAGTGGGACTGATGACGAAAATTGACTGTGGGTCTTGAGGACTCACAAAAAGGTTGGGTAATAAAAACAAATCAGAATAAGATTAGAAAAGAAAGCAGAGAGAATAAAAATAGAGCAGAAGAAACAAGTTGTTTTAAAATCTACTAGTTATGGAATTAGAGGAGAACTCGTATTTTAAGGGCTATGAATTTCTTGAAAGAATGGTGAAGTAGATCTTGGAAAGTAGCAGAAATCCTAAACCTATCCATTCTTAAATTACTTCTTTAATTGAAAAAGAAGTCCTAATTCACTGCTAATGAACACTGATTGATGTATTTTTAACATTCTTCTGTTTAGCGTTCATTCTCCAAAAATTGAAAGCATTTAATGGATTTTAATTGCATAATATTATTATTCTTGCAGGTCAAGGGGGTCAATTTTGAGGCAGTTCTGAGGGTGGAGGAAGAAGAGGCCAATTCTAAGCAAAATATAACAAAACGAGAAGTGGAGGATGACTTGGGTCTTAGCATGCTGATTGACTCCCAGAACAACCAGTATATTTTGACCAAGCCCAGAGATTCAACCATCCCACGTGCAGATCACCACTTTATAAAGGTAGTGAGTCATGGTGGGGATGCCTGCCTTCCCCCAATTCCTGGTTCATGGTGTCAGTATGACCGAGCTTTATCTTCTGAACAAGGCACAGCCTTCCTTCTAGCAGAGATTTTACTAGAATTCCGTACATTATCTGTGATTTGAGGCATCTTCCCTTAATTTCTAATCTTTTTTTCTAAAGGAATAAGATACTTTAATATTTAAAATGAAAGTTAATTTTGTTTTGGAGAATTTGGAAGACTTTGAAATTAGGAGTTACTGTAATGGGATTAAAGCTTTAGTCATCTAAAAACCATTTTCACTAAAATTAAAAATCCTTAAAAGGCAGAGAGGTCTTGGCTAAGGAGTCATATATGGCTTCATTTAGCCCTGGGGTGCAGAGCATGAGAACCCATCCAGCAGTGCCTGGCGTTCCAGATGGAACTGGATTCAGACCTGTTTCCTCCCAGGAACTTGGTCTAGACAAAGGCTATGCAGGGAGGTACTTGAAGCTGAGAGCATCATGGTTCGGGTGGTCACTCAGGAGGGAGTGGCACGACCATGACAGGTGCAGCCCCTCAGGGAAGCTTGGCAAGATCTGATATACTGTCAGGTCTCCAGCAGAGACTGGAGGTTTGTACAGGAGCAGAAACCAAGCCAGAGAATCTAGGCTCAAAGACGGTGCTATCTCAGGCGAGAGGAAGAGGACTAGCCAGAGAGAGATGTGGTCACGATGGAGTGGGTCCCAGGAGGGCTGGGGCTGCCGAGTGACTCTGTCAGTGCCCTCCAAGAAGGGGTGGAGGTATCTGTAAAACTATTCTTTCTCCCTTTGTAATGAATAATCAATTTCCAGGGAGAGATTTTGAGACTGTAAGTATCCTGCTCCTCACTGACCTTCAGGGCTGCAGGTGCAGCAGTGCCAGCGCCCACTAAAGATTCCTGCCTGCACCCGTCATGGCAAAGCCACGTGAATTACAGTTTGGACACCAGCACTGAGAGTTTCCCAGATTAGAAAACTCAGTGGAATTCTAGGACTCAGAATTCTTAGAACACTCTTATGGGGCTTAAGCAAAACAAAAACTTTGCTGTATAGTCAGCCCTCTGTGTCCACGTGCTCTGCATCCTCAGATTCAACCAACTGTGGATGAAAATATTCAGAAAAAAGACCCAAGAATAACAATACAATAAAAATACAAATAAAATATGACATCAATTTCCATTGTGTAGGTATCATAAGTAATCTAGAGGTGCTTTAAAGTATATAGGAAGATGTGCTAGGTTATATGCACATACCATCCCGTTTTGTATCAGAGACTTGAGCATCCGAGGATTCTGGTCTGGGGGGCAGGGGAGGATCATGGAACCACTGCCCCAAAGATACCGAGGGGTGACTGTAATCTTTAGGCCATGAAAAACTAACTCCATCTATTCCCAGAATACACTCTTCATATTTTCAGCTTCTCTGGGATCCTCAGCATGAGGAAAATCGGTGGTTTTGTCTTCACCCTTCATTCCCATCAGGTGAAATCGGGGAACTACGTCCTGTTCTGTGCCTCAGCCAGCCAGCCCCCTTCTTACCACTGTTATCTTATACTTCTGTTTCTTATTTATTTTATTCTTCAGGACATTGTTACCATAGGAATGCTGTCCTTGCCTTGTGGCTGGCTATGTACAGCCATAGGATTGCCTACAATGTTTGGTTATATTATTTGTGGTGTACTTCTGGGACCTTCAGGACTAAATAGTATTAAGGTAAGAACAAAATTGGATTGTTTTGGTATCTGTTTAACAGAATATAAAAAGAGAATTCATGAAGACTAAAAAGTATTGAATGTGATTAATGCAGATACCAGCTTCGTATAAACCATTTCAAAGATGTCCTTTCAGGTGTCACGGGAAGTCTCTGAACCCTCAGGAAGTCGCTGTGCCTGTTAGTGAAGGGGCGGTGTTACTGGAGACAACGCCCCTGCTCGTTTCCATTAGTTTTAAGGACTCCATTTCCAGTAACGTGCTGGACCAGGTTATTCAGACCACCTTTCACGTGCTGAATGTAACCAAAGTGTTGCATTAACCGTTTTTGTTGTTGTTGTTGTTGTTGTTTTTGAGACAGAGTCTCGCACTGTCACCCGGGCTGGAGTGCAATGGTGCAATCTTGGCTCACTGCAACCTCCGCCTCCCGGGTTCACATGATTCTCCTGCTTCAGCCTCTTGAGTAGCTGGGATTACAGGTGCACACCACCACACCTGGCTAATTTTTTGTATTTTTAGTAGAGACGGGGTTTCACTATGTTAGTCAGACTGGTCTTGAACTCCTGACCTCATAATCCGCCCGCCTCGGCCTCCAAAAGTGCTGAGATTACAGGCATGAGCCACCCTGCCTGGCCCATTAACTGTTTTTAAGCATCCCATTCACAACACATGGAAAAGCTGATTAGCCCCAGTCGAGGCAGTGGGCAGTGGGGCTGTTTGCTGGGCCCCGTCACACTGATGGCACTTCTGACAGGGAGGAAAGGTTCCCAAGCTTCCAGCTGTCTCCCCACAACACTCACGGTGCGAGCAGCGTGGAGAACGGGTGCCAGAGTGGGTGCCATGAGTCCCACTGGAGGGAGGCGTGCCAGGGGGTGGGACGGGGAGGAGTGCAGCCTGCTCCCTCCAAGCCTCTTTCCCTCTGCTGCTGGTTGAGCCTGGGACTAGGCCCAGGAGCCCCAGGGCTTTCTCCAGATCGCAGGGCGGCAGGAGGGGTCTGAGGAGCTCGAGCCCCAGCTGGTGAAGAGGAGCGCGCCCAGCACCCTGGGCCTGGGGAGCGGCTGGCCGGCAGAGGAGCCGCAAGCCCACGTGTGGGGGCTCCCAGGACAGGGCTCGCCTTGGCAGAATGGCCTCTGGGAAGAACGGCTGTTTCAATGTAGTTTTTGGAGTAGGTCTTTTTCACGTGATTCAAGTATAAAACACCAGAGGTGAAAAATCACTTCCTGCCCTTTGCAAATAAAAGCAAATACAAATTTCCTTCCTTCTTTTTCTTAATAGCAAAGGTGCTCATAAACCAACAAATAAGGTGAAGTGGCTGGGTAACACATACAACTGGATGCTGTAAAAATTATAATTCTTAATAAATCAGCTAAACCATGGAAAATAATGTAATTATAAATAGACCAAGATAAAAATCAAAGCACATACTAGCCAAAAGTGAGAAGTGGTTAATCGAAGTACACTGTGTGATTGTGTGTGTGTGTGTGTGTGTGTGTGTGTGTGTGTGTGTATGTGTGTTTTGGATACTTCCACCGGGCATACTAGGGCATGATTGTTGAGTTAAGTATACTTAATATGTTAAACATGTACAATTATATGGTTTTTCTTTTGTGTTTTTCAGTCTATTGTGCAAGTGGAGACATTAGGAGAATTTGGGGTGTTTTTTACTCTTTTTCTTGTTGGCTTAGAATTTTCTCCAGAAAAGCTAAGAAAGGTAAGGACCTCATCAACCTGTTACTGCAGCTAAGGAGCTTCACATCATGTGGTTTTGGTTCATACACTTTTAACACTTGTTGATGAATTCACTATCAAATGTTTTTAGAATAGAATATGATATTTCGGTTTGATGTTATTTTTGGGACAAATTCAGAAAGATAAAAAATATCAGGTTTGAAAGCGTAGAAATTCAGTGAAGAATTGGAATTTGCCTTCACATGGCTAACTTCAGGAAGGGTCTGGAAAGTAATGTGTGTGAACTTTAATAGATGGCTCCCTCTAAGGTGCGAAACTGTTAGAGGGTCAGATGTCATAGAGCTTGCATATTCAGTGTGTTACCCTAGAAAAAACTTTGTCAATTGGAAGTGAGTTAATTAAAAGACACTTTGTTTTTCCAGACACCGCACAAAAGAGGAAAGTAGCTGATTAAAAGCCAGGGTGGGGAGAGGTAAAATGAACACTGTTCATAACAAAAACACCCTGTGAATTAAGATCAGATACCACTTTGCCTGCAGTGCTAGCTGGAAAACTAGCATCGACTTAGCAAAAGTTTTTAAGTGACTGTCAGATGTAACAGGCATTCTTGAACCAGATTCGTGAGAATCACAACTGTACACCCTTTCTGTATTTTTGGGGTTTTTTTTCCACGAAAGACTTGGTCATTTTAAACAAAGTGACTTAATTTACAGTGTCTGGTTTGCCTAATCATTCAGCTCTCTCATGTAGTATTCCTTCTTTTTTTAATTTAAAATTTTTTTATTTCAATAGGTTGTTGGGAACAGGTGGTGTTTGGTTACATGCGTAGGTTCTTTAGTGGTGATCTGTGAGATTTTGGTGCACCTGTCACCAGAGCAGTGTACACTGCTCCCGATGTGTAGTCTTTTATCCCTCGCCACCCACCACCCTTTGCCCCAAGTCCGCAGAGTCCAGTGTGTCATTCTTACACATTTGTGTCCTCATAGCTTAGCTCCCGCTTAGGAGTGAGATCATACGACGTTTGATTTTCCATTCCTGAGTTACTGCACTTAGAATAATGGTCTCCAGTTCCATCCAGGTTGCTACAAATACCCCTTTTTTGTTCCTTTTTATGGCTGAGTAGTATTCCATGGTATATAAATACCACATTTTCTATTGATGGGCATTTGGGCTGGTTCCATATTTTTGCAACTGCAAATCGTGCTGCTCTAGACATGTGCATGCAAGTCTCTTTTTCGTATAATGACTTATTTTCCCCTGGCAGTGGGGTTGCTGGATCAAATGGTAGAGCTACTTTTAGTTCTCTGAGCAACCTCCACACTGTTTTCCTTAGTGGTTGTGCTAGTTTACGCTCCCACCAGCAGTGCAGAAGTGTTCCCTGTTCCCCACATCCCTGCCAACATCTATTCTTTTCATTTTTTGGTTACGGCCATTCTTGGAGGAGTAAGGTATTGCATTGTGGTTTTGATTTGCATTTTCCTGATCATTAGTGATGTTCAGCATTTTTTTATGTCTGTTGGCCATTTGTATATCTTCTTTAGAGAATTGTCTATTTATATCCTTAGCCCACTTTTGGATGGGGTTGTTTGTTTTTTTCTTGCTGACTTTTTTGAGTTCTTTGTAGATTCTGGATATTAGTCCTTTGTCGGATGTATAGATTGTGGAGATTTTCTCCAGCTCTTTGGATTTGTACACTCTTTTTGGAGAGCTGTCTAGCAATTTGACCTAAAAGCCTTAAAATGTACATATGCCTTGACCTGGTAGTTCTTCTAGGTCTCTCTCCAAAGGAAAGAATCAAACATAAGTTTTTAAAAAATTTACCCACAAAAGGTTTCACCTCCTCATTGTAAATTTTTAAGAAACAGTGGAACCAGTCCTGAGCATCTAACGGTCAGTTCAGCTGCGGCGTGACTACCATGGAGTGTTAGGTAGCCACTGCAAAGTAACAAGAGCATCAGCAACAGAGCAAAATATCGGTTGGAAAGCTAAATGTGGGGAAAAAAGGAGCATGTAACATGACCGCGGCAATGTAAAAGAAGCACCAATACATGGGGGAAAAATGGGAAAGAAGCGTTCCGGGTAGCCATGATGACTTCTGGTTTCTTCTCCATATTTTCCAAATTTTCTATAATAAGCAGTCAATACTTTGTCATTAGGAGGAAGAATAAACTTTTCTTTTAAAGGCTTGTGTTTACTTTCAGAAGTCAACTCTGATCTCACTGGCATGTTTTTCTTTATACTCTCTTCCCATTTGCTTCCTCAGTTCATCCTCTTACCTAGAACTTTTTGTTTTCTTTATCTTTCTGTTTTTCCACTAAAAGCTCCGTTTTTCCATCTTCCCATTACTCTCCCTTTCCTGTGTACACTCCTGAAGACAGGCATCCTCATAAGGTGTTCTGAATTAACTTTAGGGTGTTCTCCAGGTACTTTGCATCTTTTTATATTTCTTGTAAATTGTTAATTTCTAAGCTCCATGATTAAAGAGAATTCACCACTCTCCTGGGTCCTAATGAAAAGCTGTGTCATCCTTGCCGTTAATCCTGTGGAGGAGACTGTTGTGGGTGGGGAGGGTAAGGGAGCGTGGGCCGCGTGGCTGCCTGGCCTGTGGAGGAAGGAGCCTGTTACGGGTGGGGAGGGTAAGGGGGCGTGGGCCACGTGGCTGCCTGGCCTGTGGAGGAAGGAGCCTGTTATGGGTGGGGAGGGTAAGGGGGAGTGGGCCGCGTGCTGCCTGGCCTGTGGAGGAAGAGGCTGTTATGGGTGGGGAGGGTAAGGGGGTGTCAGCCAGTGGCTGCCTGGCCTGTGGAGGAAGAAGCTGTTATGGGTGGGGAGGGTAAGGGGGAGTGGGCCGCGTGGCTGCCTGGCCTGTGGAGGAGCCTGTTATAGGGGGTTTGGGGATGTGGCTGTCCAGTGCCCTGTCTCACCAGTGTCCCACGAGACTCCGTAAAAACACAAGGCCTCCATTCCATGGTGCAGCATGGGCGTGTGTGTGTGAGTGTGTGTGTGTGTGTGTGTGTAATTTAGAGAGGTTTGCAGCAAAGGGCAATTTAGGGCCAACCCGTAGGGGAGGTGGGAGGGATGAAGTTCTGGCTGTGCAGCAGAGCGTCAACAAGGCACTGATCTGCCTGGACCTGTGTTCCTCTCCTGTACAGTGAGGAATCTAGAAGGCTCCAGTGTCTTCTGGCTCTGCATTTTCATAGTTTGTATTTTTCTCCACTATAGTATTCACAGTTAAATAAAAAATAATGTTGTATAACGTAAGGTGGAGGTAATTGTGAGCAGCGTGAGCATGTGCTTCATCAGGCCTGCTGTCGTCTAATGGTGCTTCCGAGGGTTTGCACCCGGTTCTGAAGTGCCTGCTTGGTGGTGTAGACTCGGGGGCTTGGCAAGAGGCTGGCGTTCTCTGTTAGTAAGTTGTGCTCAGCTGCCCTGCGTGGTGACAGAGTCAGATGCGTGGAAGGACACTGGATTGGGACTCAGGAGACGTCTGTGAAACTCCTTGCTGACATCTGATTGAGTGGGGCTGGGCAGGGTTCCTTCTGTGTCTGGGATGTGCGGGTGTCTTGGCGCTGACGAGGGTCTCCCGGTCCCAACTCCTCTCACCCGTTGCCGAGCCTGTGCTGCTGTCCCCGGAGGGAGCCGTCGGAGTCTGGCCCCACCCTGGTTCATGGAGACGGCATCCCGCTGTTTTTCTAAGTCTGTGGACTCGGATTGCAGATCTGTATCCACCCAGAAAACGACATTATTAAGCAATGTGTTTATTTTCCCCTTTTTATTACTCAGGTATAAATATCTGGCCAAGCTTTAGAATAACCTGAGATACCCGGAGTGACTTTTCTGAACTGATGAGCCTCCTGCCACGTGGGTTAGCTTGCACACCACACTTATGGGTGGGAAAATAATTTCCTTGGGTTTTTGAAATGTTAATACTTGCCAGAAGGCCCCTCTTAGGACTTCTAAAGATATGATTAGAAACTACTTGGAACACTGAAGCCCCGAAACTGCGCCGTGCATAGTGCTGAGGAAAGCTGCCCACTCTGTTCTCGCCCTTGTAGCTGCTCGCTCCTCTAGCCTGACTTCAACTGTTCCTTAAACTTGATCTCTTAAGAGTCTGTCAGTTTCTGCCTCTCTCCAGATTGTTTCTCAAGTCATTGTGGTTGGGAGTTTCGTTTGCTTCTGTCTTGTATCTTCTCTGTTCTAACTACAAATACCTGTTGAGCACCTGTGGTGTTCCAGGCCCTTCAGGGGCTGCTGGGTGAGGCAGGTATAACGTACGTGTGTGCCTACCCTGCGGCTTGTATTTTGGGATTTCAGGAGAATGTGTCTTGGCGCCGGGGGTGCCAAGGGGCCCTCCCGTCAGCGCCTCCTGACCTTCAGCCCACAGGCAGCCATCTGGGGGGCTTGGTAACCCACAGATTCTGACCTGGGCGCACCTGCAGATGGGGTTTCTGATGCATGCACGGGTCCCGTGTTGAACAGGAAGCTTCTTACTCTCACCTGTGCCCCTGTGGCCTTTCCTGGTGCCGTTTCCCACTGTGGTGTCTGGACACCTTTCTCCCAGGGCCCTCCTGGCTGGAATGTGGGGTAACACAAGATAATAACGTCAGACAAGGTTCACCCTGGTAATGACCTCAGAGATAACAGAGTCTCGCCTGTTCTCTATAGAAACTAAAGCTAGAGAGATTGCTACCCACCCAGGGCGCACAGCGAGTTAGTGGCAGATCAGGCCTCAACTCCATGTGTCCCTTGAGGGTTAGGAAGACCCAGAATTAGAGCTGGCTAACACTGCTTGCAGGAGTAACCCCCACGCCCGTGGCCTCCTCAGGCTGCAGCCAGCGTGGACAGCACGGGTGCTTCCATTGCTCTTCGGCCGTGATATTCGGAAGAGGAAGGGTGTGAGACGCGCTCTGTGATAACCATCACAATTGCCAAGCATAGGAAGTAGAGAAAAGAAATTCAGAGGCAGGCTTTGTGGGACCGACCCTTCCCCTCCTTGTGGAAGGAGAGAGGGGGCCGAGCAGAGTAGAGACTTACCTGAGTCTCCGCAGCCCAGAGCTGTTAAGTGGCATCTGCTGGCCTCCTGTCACATGACATCTCAGTGTTCAGATGAAGTGAGCCCGGGCCTCATGGGGTTGGAAGGCACTGTGCTTCCCCTTTGGGGTCCGGAAGCTCCATGGTGGACAAGCAGGCCAGCTGGTCACAACTGTGGGAAGCTGGGGCGTGTCTGCTCATTTCCCTGATTCTCAAAAAAAAAGTTGTAATTTTGCAAGAAGTGTTATTTTTCACTAAGAACTAGGTGGGGAGGGAAAGGCTCACATGCTCCAAAGCACCCAAGGTACATTGGGGCTGGCGGGCTTGGTGGGTGGGTCCCCCCGGAGCTGCCTGAGTACGTTGGGACTGGCAGGCTTGGCGGGTGGGTCCCCCCTGGAGCTGCCGGTGTATGTTGGGACTGGCGGGCTTGGCGGGTGGGTCCCCTGACACTGCCTGTGTATGTTGGGGCTGGTGGGCTTGGCGGGTGGGTCCCCTGACACTGCCTGTGTATGTTGGGGCTGGTGGGCTTGGTGGGTGGGTCCCCCCTGGAGGTGCCTGAGTATGTTGGGGCTGGCGGGCTTGGCAGGTGGGTCCCCCCTGGAGCTGCCTGTGTATGTTGGGACTGGCGGGCTTGGTGGGTGGGTCCCCCTGGCGCTGCCTGTCTATGTTGGGACTGGTGGGCTTGGTGGGTGGGTCCCCCCTGGAGCTTCCTGTGTTAGGATGGCAGGCTTGGTGGGTGGGTCCCCCCTGGAGCTGCCTATGTTGGGGCTGGTGGGCTTGGTGGGTGGGTCCTCTGGAGCTGCCTGTCTATGTTGGGACTGGCGGGCTTGGTGGGTGGGTCCCCCCTGGAGCTGCCTATGTTGGGACTGGCAGGCTTCTTGGGTGGGCTCTCCCGGAGCCGCATGTGCCCGGCTGCTCCATGACGCCTATGTTTAGCCACACAGCCCCTGCACCCCTTCCTTCTAGGGCCCCCACCCCAACTTTCACTTTCTGTAGAGGGCCTGGAATTAGGGAATTGATGCTTATATTGATTGGGACCATGCAGTGAGGAGAAAAAAATATGAATGAGCACTTCACGTGGAATAGGAGGAGTTCCAGGTTAATTTCTTTGGTTGATGTATCGTATTTATGTTTATATGTCGGTAGTTTTTATTATTTTACGATTGAAGCGTGCTTTCTTCCACCTTCCCGTCTGGTTTAACACAGTGCTGAGTGCACCCCGAGGCACTATAGAGCCGCTTCGAATGCCGAGCCACAGGGCCTGGGTGCACTTCCTGGCTCCAACATTTACTGGCCACGTGACCTTGGGCGAGTCACTTAACCTGTGTGTGCCTCGGTGTTTTCATCTGAAAGTGGGGAAAATGGTCATCTTGAGCTCAGGGTGTTCTGAGGATTAGGTTCTATTCACACACATGGGGAGAGAGTGCGTGTGCGTGTATTGTGTGTGTGCAGCCCTGTGACAGTGCCTGGCACAGAGGAAGCCCTGTGTGAGGATTCACCATGTTCAGATGGTGACCCCAGCGTTGCTTCACAAAAGCTCAGCTCTGCCTCCTTTCCTGGATGCAGAAATGCGTGAAGTCTGTGTGGTGTGGTCATTGCCTGTTGTCACTAAAAAGTGTGTGACTCACTGTGTTCTCTTTAAGGTGTGGAAGATTTCCTTACAAGGGCCGTGTTACATGACACTGTTAATGATTGCATTTGGCTTGCTGTGGGGGCATCTCTTGCGGATCAAACCCACGCAGAGCGTCTTCATTTCCACGTGTCTGTCCTTGTCAAGCACACCCCTCGTGTCCAGGTTCCTCATGGGCAGTGCTCGGGGTGACAAAGAAGGTAGGTGACGGCATGTTCTGAGTGCGTGTCTAATTCATGCTCGTGTGTAGGTGACTTTTGGATTCACAGTTGAGGGCATGTGAGGAAAAATTGCAAAGTCTTATTTCCCCTCTTAGGACTTTCCTAACCATGGTGGATACCAGGGCTTACATTCTGCAAGGAAATGGTGTCCCTGTGAACTCAGCTCCTCCAAACCTCCACTTCTCCACTTGATTAAGAAAAATGCCCGTGAGGATTGATTGAGGGCCAGAGAGAAATTGGACCAAGATTTTGAAAAACCAGTCAGCACTGGAAAATGACCTGTGGAACTGGTGGATTTTAGGAAGTTGCGTATGTTTTGCTGCTTTAATTCTAGCAGGCACTGGGAATTGATACACTTTTGATACTTTCTTCCTGTGAAATCAAGGTGCTTTGGTAACTGAAGGTGTTCCCGACTCTTTGGCTTTGGCCTTAGTTTCATCGTATGTATGAAACATTGCCGCTTCTAAGTCGTGACTGTTTAGTGGAAGCCGACTTGCTCGGAGCCTAGGCAGGACCGTGTCCCTCTGCGGGGAGGACAGTGGAAGCCGACTCACTCGGAAGCCTAGGCAGGACCGTGTCCCTGTGCGGGGAGGACAGTGGAAGCCGACTTGCTCGGAGCCTAGGCAGGACCGTGTCCCTGTGCGGGGAGGACAGTGGAAGCCGACTCACTCGGAAACCTAGGCAGGACCGTGTCCCTGTGCGGGGAGGCTTGGCAGGTGGCTGTTTCTGACAGCCTGCCTACCCACTGGGTAAGCTGTCACTGTTTTGCTCTTATTTTGTAAAAGTCAGTAAAATACGGGGTCGAAATGTCACAGTCACTTCACTCTGACGTTCACCCTGCACAGAACACACAGGCATAGAAGAGAAAATACGGAAAGAGAAAACCAAAGAGGTATGTCTGACCTCTCCCATAAACCGAGAGGCTCTGTGCCGGCAACTGAGAGGCTGAGCAGAGCTGGCCATGGGCCGCCAAGCAGGGTGCTGGAGCATGTGGGACCCACATGTGCCCTCACTGTGTGACAGGCAGTTGGGAAGCATCTGTCTGTGAAAGGAGGCAGGGAAAACTTTTTAAAAATCTGCGGCTTTCTGCGGGGCCTGAGGCGCCAGTAGGACACGGATGCAGCCTCCCTGCTAGACGCTGGACGGGTGGCCCCGGCCATGGGCCTCCTCCGTGCTGGTGCCAGCATCCCTGTGGGCTGGTCCTAGGGTCAGCCCCATCGTGAGACTGGACAGGGTTGGAGGGTCGGGGGCTGAGTGAAATGAAAAAAGACCAAGTGGGGACCAGGAACGACGCATGAAAACAGCTCCTAGTTTAGTGGCCCGCACACGGGACACCCACACCTGTGAAGAAATCTGTGGCTGGAAAAGAGCTGACGGACTCAGCAGTCACAGCGTGAACTGCCCTTATGGACAGAGAAGCTTCACAAAGACTTCAAAATCAGTGCACGGTGTATATACACTCGGAGGTGTGCAGTATATATACACTCGGAGTCACGGAGGCCGGGACTGGAGAGGCAGAGGGCCGGAGTGTAGATGGAGAGGGTCAGTATATATACACTCGGAGTCGCGGGGGCCGGGACTGGAGAGGGAGAGGGTTGGAGTGTAGATGGAGAGGGTCAGTATATATATATACTTGGAGTCTCAGGGGCCGGGACTGGAGAGGGAGAGGGTTGGTGTGTAGATGGAGAGGGTCAGTATATATACACTCGGAGTCGCGGGGGCCGGGACTGGAGAGGCAGAGGGCCGGAGTGTAGATGGAGAGGGTCAGTATATATACACTCGGAGTCGCGGGGGCCGGGACTGGAGAGGGAGAGGGTTGGAGTGTAGATGGAGAGGGTCAGTATATATATACACTCGGAGTCTCAGGGGCCGGGACTGGAGAGGGAGAGGGTTGGTGTGTAGATGGAGAGGGTCAGTATATATGGACTCAGAGCCCCAGGGGCCGGAGTGTAGACGGAGAGGGTTGGAGTGTAGATGGAGAGGGTCAGTATATATAGACTCAGAGCCTCAGTGGCCGGAGTGTAGATGGAGGGGGTTGGAGCGTAGATGGAGAAGGTTGGAGTGTAGACGGAGAGGGTTGGAGAGTAGATGGAGAGGGTCAGTGTACATAGACTCGGAGCCCCAGGTGCTGGAACTGGAAGGGGGCCGGAGTGTAAACGGAGAGAGTCAGTATATATAGATTTGGAGCCCCAGGTGCTGGGACTGGAAGGGGGCTGGAGTGTAGATGGAGAGAGTCAGTATATATAGATTTGGAGCCCCAGGTGCTGGAACTGGAAGGGGGCCGGAGTGTAGACGGAGAGAGTCAGTATATATAGATTTGGAGCCCCAGGTGCTGGGACTGGAAGGGGGCCAGAGTGTAGACGGAGAGGGTCAGTATATGTGGACTCGGAGCCCCAGGTGCTGGGACTGGAAGGGGGCCAGAGTGTAGATGGAGAGGGTCAGTATATATGGACTCGGAGCCCCAGGGGCCAGAATGTAGATGGAGAGGGTCAGTATATATAGACTCAGAGCCCCAGGGGCCGAGACTGGAAAGAGGACCTGGTAGGTTTTCAGAACTCGAGACAGGAGCCCATCTCCAACACTGATGGGATAAGGGGAAATAAGTCCACCCAGGCATGTCATGTTCTGCAGCTGAGCATGAAGTAGAAGGGAACGTCTGAACACTTGGCAGAAAAGACAGGTGGTTTAAAAAGGAACAGCAAATAATTGGGCTGATAGGACACGTCTCCTCGGCAACGTCAGATGGTGGGAGATAGCGGATAGGTAACCCACACCCTGGGGAGACAAGTCATGTGTGCCCAGTGAAAGTACCATCCAAGAGTAGGGGGTAAAATGCAGGCATTTCTGATGTGCAAAGACCCCAGAGCACCGCCCACCCAGCAGTCCCCACAGGGCCCAGACCCAGGCCCTGCAGAGGCAGAGCTGGGCGTGGAAGCAGCAGGGAGACAGAGGGGGCTAGAAGGTGATACATTTAGTCAGTTATGACTGTTAGAAAAGGAGATGTTTGAGTTTGTTTTTTTAAAGGCCAGGCTAAAACTCTAGATAGTAAGAAGATAGGAGGGTTGCATGTTTGGGAGGTAGTTAGAGTCAAGGACTTGGACACTGAAAGGAAATTTACAGTTAGACATGTTAAATGTGTAATATACCCACAGCACAGTTAGAAATTGTAATTTGAAAAAAAAGCTTTGGGAATAAACTTATCAAAAGAGAGCTGTGACCTTTGAGGATAAAGTCACAAATGGAGTGAATTCATGCTCACAGAGTTCATAAAAAGACTCCATTCATAAAGATGTCACTTCTCCCCAAATTTATAAACTCATAGCTGTTCCAATAAAAAAAATCTGGCAGGAGTTTTCATGAAACTGAAGAAACTGATCCTAAAATTCAGTGGGTACCAAAAAGCTAAGAATAGGCAACATTAATTTGAGGTGAGGAGTCCCCCGCCAGCTCTCAAGACTGAGGATGTCCCGGTGGATAGCAGCACCACAGGCTGAGATGGAGCCGGGGGGTCGGGGCCCACAGCCCAGACGCTGCAGAGAAGCTGGGGAGATCGACTTACCAGGAGTGGGAATTAGCTATCCAACGTAAGAAAATGAAATTAGCTTGACTTTAGAACTACGAGAAGGAAATAGAAAATATCCTTATAACCTTAGGGTAGAATTCCTTAAAATATAAAATGCAGAATTCAAAAGAGAAAATACTGATACATATGACACATTTGACTTTGTAACCTTCTTTTTCATACTAACCTCACTATGGGGACAACTGTAACTTTTATTGAAAGGCATTTTTTTTTAATAAGCCACAGGCCAGAGGAAGACATTTCCTATAGTTATTTATTGTTTGTTTAGAGCAAAGGATTAATATTCAGAATGTATCAAGAACGTCTGTAAATCCAAACCAAAAAGTAACCTAATGGGAAAATAGGCAGAATATCTGAGCAAATAACTTACGGGAGAAGAAACCTAAATGATGAACAAAAAGGAAGACATGAGCCTCGCTAGTATTCGGGGTGCAGGCTGATGGGACTGAGATCGACGCCATCCACACAAGCCTGCTGCCAAGCTTTGTTTTAGACCGAGTCTTGCAACAGGAAGACATGAGCCTCGCTAGTATTTGGGGTGCAGGCTGATGGGACTGAGATCGACGCCATCCACACAAGCCTGCTGCCAAGCTTTGTTTTAGACCGAGTCTTGCAACAGGAAGACATGAGCCTCGCTAGTATTCGGGGTGCAGGCTGATGGGACTGAGATCGACGCCATCCACACGAGCTTGCTGCCAAGCTTTGTTTTAGACCGAGTCTTGCTGTCACCCAGGCTGGAGTGCAGTGGCTTGATCTTGGCTCACTGCAGCCCCAACCTCCTGGGCTCAAGTGATCCTCCCATCTCAGCATCCTGAGTAGCTGGGATGACAGGCGTGTGCCACCATGCCTGGCTAAGTTTTTAGTCTTTTTGTAGAGATGGAGGTCTTGCTATGTTACCCAGGCTGGTTTTGAACCCTGGCCTCGAGCAGTCCTCCTGCCTCGGCCTCCCAAAGCGTTGGGATTGCAGGCATGAGCCACCGCACCTGGCCCTGGCAGACATTTTTAACCTGATCTACCATTGGCAAGAATGTGGAGTTGCAAGATCTAAGCATTCTCCATGGGAATGTAAATTGGTTCAGCCACTTTGGAGAACAATTTTGCAATCAGAAAATTCCATTTCTATATACATATCCTAGAAAATTCTTGCAAATTATTATAATTCAAAACAGCATTATTTTTAGTAGCAAAAAATTAATCAACTGAATATTCAGTAACATGCTGGACAGTTAAGATGTATTCATACATTGGAATGCTGCAGAAGCAAATGTGAATTCTGTAGCATGGAGGGAAAGATAGAAGATGTGGAATGCAACATGTTTTATGTGTTTAAAGTCTGAACTTTACATACATGCAAACTTTTACACTAAAAGCAACAAGAAGTGTTTGAGAATGACAGATGTGGCCGGGTGGCTGTGCCAGAGATGGGGAGGCATGCCATCAGAGAGAGACGCAGGGCAGTCGGCTGCTTGTGACATTTCTTCCAGAAGCTCAGTGATGGCTCTGGTTGTTCATGACATGCTTTGTACCTTTTTTCTTGATCCAAAGTATTTTATAATAATTGTTTTTAAAAACAAGGTAAGTGGCTGGGCACGGTGGCTCACGCTGGTAATCCCAGCACTTTGGGAGGCCGAGGCGGGCGGATCACGAGGTCAGGAGATCGAGACCATCCTGGCTAACATGGTGAAACCCCGTCTCTACTAAAAATACAAAAAATTAGCCGGGCATGGTGGCGGGCGCCTGTAGTCCCAGCCACTCAAGAGGCTGAGGCAGAAGAATGGCGTGAACCCGGGAGACAGAGTTTGCAGTGAGCCGAGATCGTGCCACTGCACTCCAGCCTGGTTGACAGAGCGAGACTCCGTCCCAAAAAAAAAAAAAAAAAAAAAAAAGAAATGCAGCTGACTTGTGTGTGTTTATTTTGTGCCCTGCAACTTTGTGAACTGGTTTATTGTAATAGATTTTTGTGTGTGGAATCTTTAGGATTTTCTACATATGAGATAATCTCATCTGCTTACAGGATCATTAAATTCATTCTTCCCAATTTGGACACCAGCCTTGTGTCTTAGAGATGCACATTGAAAGGTATGGTTAAGAGGATGACTGGGGTTTCCCTTAGGAGGGTAGAGTGGAGGTTAGTGTATGAAACAAGGTTAGTCTGCCTGATCATGGAAACTGGATTATTTGTTCCTTGAGATGCACTGTATTTTTCTTTCTACTTTTGCATATGCTTGAAATTTTATTAGAAATTCCTATATATGTCCAGGCATGGTGGCTCATGCCTGTAATCCCAGCACTTTGGGAGGCCAAGGCAGGTGGATCACATCAGGTCAGGAGTTCAAGACCGTCCTGGCCAACATGGCAAAACCTCATCTCTACTGAAAATATAAAAATTAGCCGGGCATGGTGGCACACGCCTGTAATCCCCAGCTACTCGGGAGGCTGAGGCACAAGAATTGCTTGAACCCTGGAGGCGGAGCTTCCAGTGAGCTGAGTTCACACCACTGCACTCCAGCCTGGGCCACAGAGTGAGACTCCATCTCAAAAAAAAAAAAAAGAAAAGAAAAGAAAAGAAATTTGTATATAGCCCAAACTTAAGACTGTCTCACCAGAGCTTAAAGGTGTTAGCTCTGGCCACAGCAGCGGCCTCAGTCACTCTTCTTACATGGATTTTGATGCAAATTCTGCTCCTTTTCTATTTCTCAAGATTTCTAGCCCCTTCGAGGGGCCCAACCCTCGAAGGAGTCCAGTAAATGTGTAACTCCACTCTGCCTTGCCTGTGCTGAAAACACATAGAAAGAGGAACAGAGGAGGCAGGCACCTGGAGGTCAGAATGGCAGCTGGATTGTGAAGAAGGTGTGGTTTGCATGCCTGGCAGTGATGAGCTTCTTAGGCTTCATTCTTAACCTCGGAGCAAGACTCATTGTCCAGCCACAAGCAGCGTTGGCCTCCAGAGGCCTCCGTGGGCAGGGCCTGCCCTGTGAAACTCAGGTCTGCAAGAGAACCTTGAGACCAGGTGCCGTGGGCTGGCTGGTTCACAAAGGAAGACGGGCTCTATCCATTTCCAGGAAGAGCGCCCTTGTCTCCCTGGGAGTAATGTATGTGGGACCAGGCAAGAGGCCAGGAGTGGTGAGGAAACATTCCCTTCTTGTGAAAATGCAAGCGAGGGGAAAGGAGGTTTCCCCCACAATGTGCTAGAATATTCATGCAGCCTTTGTTGTTGTTGTTGAGGAGGAGTCTCGCTCTGTCGCCCAGGCTGGAGTGCAACGGCACAATTTCAGCTCACTGCAAGTTCCACCTCCCGGGTTCACGCCATTCTCCTGCCTCAGCCTCCCGAGTAGCTGGGACTACAGGCGCCCGCCACCACGCCCGGCTAATTCTATTTTTAGTAGAGACGGGGTTTCACCGTGTTAGCCAGGATGGTCTCGATCTCCTGACCTCGTGATCCGCCCGCCTTGGCCTCCCAAAGTGCTGGGATTACATGCAGCCATTTTTGTATTAGTGAATAAATGGAATTCCTGAACGTCCACCAAGAGATGAATGGATAAACTGTGGTCTGTTCTACAACAGTTTTAAAAATGAATCAGAGCTTTGTGCATCAACATGGATAATTTGCAGATATAGTGGTGGTCAAAAACGGCAAGTCGCAGAAATGTTGATTCTGTGAAGTTTAATATTACAAAATAATAAACTCAGTGTTGCCTCCAGATCTATAGGTGTTAACATTAAGTAGAAATGCATTCAAGGGGATGATGAACTTTCAGAATAAGGTCAAGTGGGGACTGTGGGTGGAGGGAAGAGGGGCCCCACAGCACGGGGTTTACAGACCTCCTTGTGGGGAGTGTGGGTGGAGGGAAGAGGGGCCCCACAGCAAGGGGTTTACAGAGCTCCTTGGCGGCACCCTTAGGACTTTATTTCTTTAAAAATCTGAAGCAAATATGTTACAGGTTTAAAATTTAGCAAATTCCTTAGTGGGTATGTGAGCATTTGATATACTCCTTGTTCTCTGTATATTTAAACTGTTTAATAAAAGGAATGGAAAACAGGAAGAAATCAAAATGCTTATAGTAGTGATAAGCACAAAAAGGTAGTGCAGATTTCAGAAAGATGACAATAGTGAAAGTGTTGAGAAATTAGAGAAATTGTAATATTTCAGTGTGGTAATATTTTCATCTTGTCTGGTTGCACTGCTGAAGTTTTGTGCCCGTCACTACTCCGAGCACTTGTCTTCCTCCTGCAGCCCCGTGAAGTCCCTCGTGAGCAGTGTTTCCTGCGCAGGCCCTGTGGGTGTGGACTCGGGGTCCTGCATCAGGGACCTTGGTGAAGACCTGGTCTCTGCTCTGTGGTGCCCATGGCCTAGCGGGCAACAGTTGAGTGTCTGTTGATTTCAGCCAGTTCACTATGATCGGTGCAAAGGAAGAGAACAAAATATTTAAAACATTTACAAAATGCTGGCAGTAATATCATCAAAGGCTATCTCTAAAAAGTGAGATGTAGTGAGAGATTTTGTTTCTTTTAAATAGAAGGGGCGCAGGTGTGAACGTGTTATCTGCGGAAGATGTGGGGTGGCCGTGGCTCCTTTGCATCCCACAGACTCATCTCGCAGCCTCCCTCCCGTCTTGCGAAGGCTGCGAGATGAAGAGAGATGCGGTGACCACAAGCCCATGCGAGCCTTAGGGTGAAAATCGCTGATCTGTGAAGCCTCCGCATGGACAATATTAGTTGGGAGGCAATTTTATCATCTCCTGAATCGTGTAACCCTAAAAGGCACAAAGCTGTAGCCACAACAGCTTAACGTCATCGTCTGTTCAGACTGTTTTAAAATTCTAAGCCAAGATATTTTGTTCACCAAAAATTTAATTTTGTACAATAAGTCAATCAAGCCTTCTAAAACAATTACCTGAATCTCTATCCAGAAAGAGATTTTTGCTGGCATCAAGGGGTTTTGTGTGGTTCTGCTGTTTTTTTAAAATAAGCCTTTTCTATCAGATTGGTCTTTTAAAATCTGTTGATAACAGTAGCTTTTTTTTTTTTTTTTGAGACGGAGTCTCGCTCTTGTCCCCCAGGCTGGAGTGCAGTGGCGTGATCTCAGCTCACTGTAACCTCCGCCTCCTGGGTTCAAGTGATTCTCCTGCCTCAGCCTCCCAAGTAGCTGGGACTGCAGGTGCCCGCCACCATGCCCAGCTAATTTTTTGTATTTTTTAGAACAGATGGGGTTTCACCATGTTGGTCAGGCTGGTCTCGAACTCCTGACCTCAGGTGATCTACCCACCTCAGCCTCCCAAAGTGCTGGGATTACAGGCGTGAGCCACCGCGCCCAGCCGCTTTTTTTTTTTTTTTGTAAGAAAAAGTACCTTGTTCGGGGTGGGGTTGGGGGAATGACAATTTAATTTTTAGAAGCATATTTACAGAGTTCATAGCTGGAACTGTACATTGAAAATTGAGACCTTTGGAGGCTTGTGCAAGTTACTGAATTTGTGAAGAAGGTCTCATTTTCCTTTCTTCTTTCCAGAGTTGTTCCTTAGTCTCTTCAGCTAGTCATGGCTACTACTGTTCTGCCCTCGTGAGCCGGTGTTTGTCTGCCGGGCCCGCCTTGGTCACACAGTGAAGGCTCATTCCGTGTGGTGGCTTGGGTGCGTCTGCACCATTTGGACACCAAGTCTGTGTTGGTCACACAGTGAAGGCTCATTCCGTGTGGTGGCTTGGGTGCGTCTGCACCATTTGGACACCAAGTCTGTCTTGGTCTCACAGCGAAGGCTCATTCCGTGTGGTGGCTTGGGTGCGTCTGCACCATTTGGACATCAAGTCTGTGTTGGTCTCACAGAGAAGGCTCGTTCTGTGCAGTGGCTTGGGTGGGTCTGCACACGTGGAACACACCACGTGACCAGAGGGGCCTGAGTCAGGCCTACCTGGAGTAGCTCAGGGAAGCTGTAAAGGTGAGAAGCAAAGGCTTCTCCATGTGTTTCTGGGACGCAGTGAAATTGGTGTGATTATCCAAGCCTGTCATCTTGTTTGCCATGTCACCTTTTTGTCATGAGATTTTTCAATAATTATATAAATAACAAGTAAGTCGTGGAAGTAAAAGGTGTTCTGATGATTTGCTCTACAACATTTTTAATCTTAAAATGCTTCAGTGTTCTCAAAGAGATTTTAAAGTCTATTCTTAAAAATGTAAAGTGCCGGCCGGGAGTAGTGGCCCATGCCTGTAATCCCAGCACTTTGGGAGGCCAGGGCAGGTGGATCACAAGGTCAGGAGTTTGAGACCAGCCTGACCAACATGGTGAAACCCCGTCTCTACTAAAGATATAAAAATTAGCCAGGCGTGATGGCAGGCGCCTATAATCCCAGCTACTCAGGAGGCTAAGGCAGGAGAATCACTTGAACCCGGGAGGTGGAGGTTGCAGTGAGCTGAGATCGAGCCACTGCACTCCAGCCTGGGCGACAGAGCAAAACTCCATCTCAAAAAAAAAAAAAAAAAAAGTAAAGTGCCAAAATAATTTGAGTTATTTTGGAAGTGTGTACAATGGCAATATTTTGACTTTGGATACTTTTGAGTTGTCGTAGACCTGTCTTCAATGCCTTTCCCCCCACAGGCGACATTGACTACAGCACCGTGCTCCTCGGCATGCTGGTGACGCAGGACGTGCAGCTCGGGCTCTTCATGGCCGTCATGCCGACTCTCATACAGGCGGGCGCCAGTGCATCTTCTAGGTAAACGCTTTGTGTACGCAATTTGTTTTTATAGTTTAAAATCACTTGTGCATAAAAATACTACTTAATACCTTTTCCAAAGAGATGTTCTGAGCTCAGATGGCTCAGGATTCCGTGCACAGTCCCTGGAGCAACACTGCCTTGCTCACGCCCTGGCTCTGTGCTTAGCAGCTCCTCACCACGGGCAGGTGACTTATCCTCACAGTTCCTCAGTCCTGTCTTCCATCAAGTAGGGGTGGTAGTAGTACCCACTGATGGAGTAGTCAGGAGGAATGAATGAGTTCCGATAGAAACATGCTTAGAACAATGTCCAGAACGTAATAAGTGATGTGGAGGGAGGGGGGTGTCTGTATGCATGTGTATGTGTGCACGGGGAGGGAGTATCTGTGTGTGTGTGTGTAGGTAGGGTATATCTGTGTGCTTACGTGGTATGTGTGTGTATGTATTCACGTGTATCTGCATGTATGTGTGGCGCACCTGTGGTGGGGGGGCATGTGTCTGCATGTGTGGTGTGTGTGTTTGTTCTGTGGTATGTCTGTGGGGGGGTATCCACGTGTGCGTATGTGGGGTATATCTGTGTGTTTGCATGTGTCTGCATGCATGTGCGTCTGCATGTATATCTGCATGCATGTGTGGTGTGTGTGTGTGTATGAGAGCTATCATTGTATGGTTGTATATCTGCATGCATGTGTGGTGTGCGTGTTTGTTCTGTGGTATGTCTGTAGGGGGGTATCCACGTGTGCATATGTGGGGTATATCTGTGTGTTGCATGTGTCTGCGTGCATGTGTGTCTGCATGTACATCTGCATGCGTGTGTGGTGTGTATGCGTGTAGGAGAGCTATCATTGTGTGGTTGTCATTGTCACTGTCATCATCATTACCACTTCCCCGATCCTTCTTTTCATTCTCCCAATATCGTATTGCCAAACGTAAACTGCACCTGCTTGGGTTCGTATGGAGAGAGAAGCCAAATGGGAAGAATTAATTTATCCAGAAAGTTGTAGGTTGTGCCGCATATACAAATACATTCCAAGAATATCAGCCAGAAAATAAGGACAGTTGCAAAGTCTAGGGTGCCCTATGAAACTTAAAGTGGGATAGGACTGTAAGCTTGAGTGTGTTTTAAGCCAATATACTATACTTTATGTATGTAAATATTGTGCTTTAGATCTAATCTCCAGAGGCTACCTTTATTGCATTTCTTACAGCAATGAGTACAACTGATCAAAAATTAGGAGACCTTTTTGAAACTTCTTTTGGAACCAGATTGAGGTTCTAGGACCTGTCTCGTGTGCTTTATTTCTTCCTTTCCAACCCGTATGCTTTTGGGTTTCTTCTTGCCTTATTGCACTGGCTGGAATGTCCAGTACTTTGTTGAAAAAGATTGTGTAAGAGGACATCTTTGCCTTGCTCTTGGGAAGCATTCAGTCTCTCACCACTAGGTATGATGTTAGCTGTAGGTTTATTGTAGACTCTCTTTGTCAAGCTGAGGAAATTCCCATCTATTCCTAGTTTGCTGAGAGTTTTTATGATGAATGGGTGGTGGATTCTGTCGATTGCTTTTTCTAAACCAATTGATATGATTATGTAATTTTTCTTTGTTGTTGTTGTTGTTGTTGTTGTTTGAGACGGAGTCTCGCTCTGTCGCCCAGCCTGGAGTGCAGTGGCACGATCTGGGCTCACTGCAAGCTCCGCCTCCCAGCTTCACGCCATTCTCCTGCCTCAGCCTCTGGAGTAGCTGGGACCACAGGCACCTGCCACCAAGCCCGGCCAATTTTTTGTATTTTTAGTAGAGACGGGGTTCCACTGTGTTAGCCAGGATGGTCTCGATCTCCTGACCTTGTGATCTACCCACCTCGGCCTCCCAAAGTGCTGGGATTATAGGCGTGAGCAACCGCGCCCGGCTGTTGTTGTTTTTGAGATGGAGTCTCACTCTGTTGCTCAGGCTGGATGCAGTGTCGTGATCTCGGCTCACTGAAACCTCCACCTCCTGGGTTCAAGCAGTTCTCCTGCCCAGCCTTCCGAGCAGCTGGGACTACAGGCATGCACCACCACGCCCAGCTAATTTTCATATTTTTAGTAGAGACAGGGTTTCACCTTATTGGCCAGGCTGGTCTTGAACTCCCGACATTGTGATCTGCCCGCCTCAGCCTCCCAAAGTGCTGGGATTACAGGCATGAGCCACCGTGCCTGGCCTTCTTTTTTAGCTAGTTGACATGATGGATAACATTGATTTTTGGAAGTTGAACCAGCCTTGCATACCTGGGATAATTCCCCGTTGGTTTAGGTATATAATTATTTTTATACATTGCTGCCTTCAGTTTGCTAATTTATTGAGGATTTTGGGGTCTAACTTCATGAGAGATATTGGTGTGTAGTTCTCTCTTTTTTTTTTTGATACTCTTTGGGTTTTGGTAATAAAAGTCATACTAGGTTCACAAAATGTTTTGGGAAGTGTTCCTTTCTTTTTATTTTCTGGAAAACATTGTATAAAATTGATGTCAGTTCTTCCTTAATATTTGGTAGAATTCTGCAGTAAAACCCTCTGGGTCATGAGATTTCCTTTTGGGGAGTTTTCTTACAAATTTAATTTGCTTAATAGTCACAGTAGATATTCAGAATATCTACTTCATATTGTTGAGTTGTGGTAGCTTAGCTTTTTGAGGAATTGTTCCACTCTGTCTCAGTTGTCAGATTTATATATACAGAGTTTTTGTGTTGTATTCCTTTATCATTCTTTTGATGTCCACAGGGTCTGTAGTGATATCTTCTGTTTCATTGCTTATGTTGATAACTTGCATCATCTTTGTCTAGGGATTTGGCAATTGTATTAATCTTTCCAAAGAATTCGTTCCTTGTTTTATTGATTTTCTTTATTTTGTTGTTGTTTTCAATTTCATTAGTTTCTACCCTCACCTTCCTTCTTGCTTTGGGTTTATTTTACTTTTCTTTTTCTAGGTTCTTATGGTTTAACTTAGATTATTGATTTTAAACTTCTCATCTTTTCTACTGTAAGCATTTACTGCTGTAAATTTCCCTCTCAGCACTGTTTTAGCCGCATCTCATATTTTGATATGTTGTATTTTTATTTTCATTTTGTTCAATGAGTTTTAAAAATTTACTTTGATACTTCTTTGACTCATGGATTGTTTAGAAGTGTTGCTTAATTTCCATACATCTGGAGATTTTCCTGATGTCTTTCTGTTACTGATTTGTAGTTTGAGTCCACTGTGGCGCGAGAACATTTTGTATGATTTCAGTTCTTCTACATTTGTTGAGGTTTGTTTTATGGCCAGTGATACTGTCTGTGGTAAATGCTCCAAAGTCACTTGGGAGGAAAAAAAAGTGTATTCTGTTATTGTTGAGTGGAGTTTTTTTTAATATATGTCAGTCAGTTAACTGCGCTATTTCGTGTTCTTGCTGTAGTTGTATCAGTTGTTGAGGGAGATGGTATTGAAGTCCCCCGTTAGAATTGGATATTTGTCTGTTTCTCCTTTGAGTTCAATCAGCTTTTGCTCTATGTATTTTGGGGCTCTTTTGTTTGGTACATACACATTTAGGATCATTTTGTCTTCCTGGTGAATTGATCTTGTTATCATTATGTAATATTTCTTTTTTTGTTGTTTTTCGAGACATAGTCTTGCTCTGTTGCCCAGGCTGGAATGCAGTGGCGTGATCTCGGCTCCTGCCTCCTGGGTTCTAGTGATTCTCGTGCCTCAGCCTCCTGAGTAGCTGGGATTACAGGCGTGTGCCACCACACCTGGCTAATTTTTGTATTTTTTAGTAGAGACAAGGTTTCGCCATGTTGGCCGGGCCAGTCTCAAACTCCTGGCCTCAAGTGATCTTCCAGCCTCGGCCTCCCAAAGTGCTGGGATTACAGGTGTGAGCCACTGTGCCTGGCCATATTTCTTTTGTTTCTAGTAATTTTCCTTGCCGTGTAATTCACTTTATCTGATATTAAAATAATATTATTTTTTTTTTTGGTCAATGTCTGCAATGGTGTATCCTTTTCATACTTTTCCTTTCAACTTATGCCCTTGTATTTGAAGTGAGTTTCTTGTGGAGAACATATTGTTGGATGATTTTTTTAAATCCACTCAGCCAGTCTCTGTATTTTAATTGGTATGTTTAGACCATTTACATATCAGGTAAATATTGATATGTTGCAACTTAAGTCTGCATTTTATTTGTTTTTTGTCTCGTTACTCTTTTTCTTTTACATCTCTGTGGGTTGACTGCGTGTTTTCAGGGATTCTGTTTAGGCTCATTTATAATGTTTTGAGTGTATTGCTCTGTGTGGTTTTCCTGGTTGCTCTGGGTATCACAGTGGACACATGTAACTTATCACTGTTTGCTGGAATCCACGTTTTACCACTTCATGTGAAATGTAGAAGCCTTATTTCCACTTAGCTCCCTCCCCCTGCCCACATGTTAAATAGTCACGCGCTGCATAATGACATTTTGGTCAGTGATGGGCCACCTGTACAGCAGTGGTCGGGTGGGATTCTCTGGACCTGAACAATTCCTGTTGCCTAGTGAGGTTGCAGCCCTTGTAACGTCACAGGGCAGTGTAATGCCCCCATGCTTGTGGTGATGCTGGCACGAACAAACCTGCTGCACTGCCAATCATATAAAAGGCTCACACACCCAATTAGGCATGGTACGGAATACTTGATAACGACAATAAATCACTGTTACTGGTTTATGTATTTACTATACTTTTTATCGTTAGAGTGTACTCCTTCTACTTATAAAGAGAAGTAGAACTGTCAAAACAGCCTCAGGCAGGTTCTTCAGGAGCTATTCTAGAACAAGCCATCATCATCATAGGAGACGACAGCTCTGTGCCGGTTATTCTAGAACAAGCCATCGTCATCATAGCAGACGACAGCTCTGTGCCTGTTATTCTAGAACAAGCCATCGTCATCATAGGAGACGACAGCTCTGTGCCTGTTATTCTAGAACAAGCCATCGTCATCGTAGGAGACGACAGCTCTGTGCCGGTTATTCTAGAACAAGCCATCGTCGTCGTAGGAGAGGACAGCTCTGTGCCGGTTATTCTAGAACAAGCCATCGTCGTCGTAGGAGACGACAGCTCTGTGCCTGTTATTCTAGAACAAGCCATCGTCGTCGTAGGAGACGACAGCTCTGTGCCGGTTATTCTAGAACAAGCCGTCGTCGTCGTAGGAGACGACAGCTCTGTGCCGGTTATTCTAGAACAAGCCGTCGTCGTCGTAGGAGACGACAGCTCTGTGCCGGTTATTCTAGAAGAAGCCGTCGTCGTCGTAGGAGACGACAGCTATGTGCCGGTTATTCTAGAACAAGCCGTCGTCGTCGTAGGAGACGACAGCTCTGTGCCGGTTATTCCACCTGAAGACCTTGCAGTGGGACAGGATGCGGACGTGGAAGACAGCGACACTGATGGTCCTGACCCTGTGCGGGTTTAGGCTAATGTGTGTTTGTGTCTTAGTTTTTAACCAAAAAGTTTAAAAAGTTAAAAAAAATTAAAATAGAAAAAAACGTATAGAATAAATAAGAAGAAAGAAAATATTTTTTGTACAGCCATACAGTTTCTGTTTTAAGTGTCATTACAAAAGAGTCAAAAAGTTTTTAAAAACCTTAAAGTTTATAAAGTTAAAAAGTTACAGTAAGTTAAGGTTAATACTGAAGAAAGAAAAATATTTTTAATAAACTCAGCACAGTTGGCCAGGTGTGGTGGCTCACACCTGTAATCCTAGTCTTTGGGAGGCCAAGGCGGGAGGATTGCTTGAGTTTAGGAGTTCAAGACCAGCCTGGGCAACATAGCAAGACCTCATCTCTACCAAAAAAAAAAAAATTAGCCAGGCGTGGTGGCGCACACCCATAGTCCCAGCTACTCTGGAGGCGAAGGCTGTAGGATTGCTTGAGCCTGGGAGATAAAGGCTGCAGTGAGCTGTGATCATACCGCTGCTCTCCAGCCTGGACAACACAGTGAGACACTGTCTCAGTTTAGTGTAGCCTGAGTGTACAGCGCCTGTGGCGTCTGCCGTGGTTTACAGTAGTGTCCAAGGCTCTCACATTCACTCACCCTCACTCCCTGACTCACTCAGAGCAACCTCCAGTCCTGCAAGCGCCCTGTACAGGTGTGCCATTTTTACCTTTGATGCTATACTTTCAGTGTGTATTTTCTGTGTTTAGATATGCAAATACTTATCATTGTGTTACAGTTGGCTGCAGTATTAAGTGCAGTCACGTGCTGTGCAGGTGTGTGGTCCAGGAGCAGGAGGCAGTGCCAGGCGGCCTGGGTGGGTCTGGGTTTGTGTAAATGCACTCTGGAATGTCTGCACAATGATGAAATTGCCTTATGATGCTTCTCAGAATGTGTCCCCATTGTGAAGTGGCACATGACTGTATAATTGTTGTCTTTTCTCTTCTTTTATTGAATACCACAGCAGATGGTGTTGTAATGTTTACTGCAGACATCAAATACGATTTTGAAAACTCAGGAGGAAAAGGATAATCTCTTCTTCTCATACCTGTTTTTACCCATTCTGGTGTTCTTCTTTCCCTTCTGATGTTCCCATCTATCTTCTGTAATCATTTCCTCTCTGTGTAGAGAACTTTCTTTGGTCATTCTTTCATGGTTAATCTGCTGGCCACAAATTCTCTAAGTTTTTCTTCGTCTGGGAATGGCCTTTGTCCCCGCGTCACTCCGAGGGCATCTCACGGGATGTGGATTTCCAGGTGGTGGCTCTCCTCATCCAGTGCCTGGGAAGCGCGTGTCCCTGCCCCCGGCTTCTGTGTTCCAGCTATGAAACCTGCTGCTGTTTAGACTTGTGCTTCTCTCGAAGGAATGAGGGGTTTCTCTCTGGCAGCTTTCAAGGTTTTTTTCTCTGTCTTTAGTTTTCAGAAATTGTATTACCATACATCCTGGAGCAGATTTCTCTGGGTTTGTTCTATTTGGATTCAGTTGGCTTCTCGCATCTGTGGGTTTATGTCTCTTGGCTAACAGGAAGTTTTCAGCCATCATTTCCTCACATCCTTTTTCAGTCCACTTGTTCTCTCCTGCGATTGCGGAAACTTAGAAATCTGCTCTTTGGTTAGGGTCCTGCGGGTCTCTGAGGCCTTGACCGTCCTCGGTCCGTTTCTGTGTGTTCAGGCAGATGAATTCTGTCTGTCCTCGGGGTCACCGGTTCTGCCCTCTCTCGTCTCCACTCTGCCACTTAGCCCATCCCCAGAGATTTTTATTATGACTGTATTTTTTTAGTTGTATAATTTCCACTTACTTCTTTTATGTAGCCTTTATTTCTTGGCTGAGATTTTCTATTTTTTATTTGTTTACAGAGAGTGTTTGTGGCCTTTTGAAGCGTTTTAGTCATGGCTGCTTTAACACCCTCATCAGATAACTCCAGTATCCGTTCGTCTCGATGTGAAGTCTGGCGCTTGTCTTTTCTCCTTCAAGTTGTGATTTTCCCGATTCTTAATATGATGAGCGACTTTTCGTTGTATCCTGGGTGGTTCGTGTGTTTATTAGGAGGCTTTAAACCAGTGACTCCCCTGGGGAGGGTGGTGTGAGGCCTGGCCAGGGGGTTCTGCTTCCTGCCAGGCCTCCAGCCCCACCCCGGCCCAAACAGCTGGCAAGCGCTTCCTCATGGCAGGCGGTGGGGTGGAAGAATTTTTTAGTATTTGCCTTTTGCCAGATCTTCTGTTACATCTTCCCTGCTGTCGGTAGCTCAGCCAGGCAGGCAGGAAAGTAGAAGGAATGAAGGGCTGTTTACCTGGGTTTTCCAGAGGTTCAGCCCAGGCTAGAGCCCCAGCTTGGCCATGCTCTGGCCGTGCAAGCCCTGGCAGCTTTCTGTGAATTGGGGAGGACGTGGGAACAGTGCCTACCTGGTGGACCGTGGGAAGACTGAAAGAGAAAACCAGGCAGGGCACTTAGTGCAGCCGCTGGTGGAGGCAGTGGTTAGAGTTCACTCGCTAGAGGGTCCTTGTGATAAGAGGGTCCTTATGATAAGAGGGTCCTTATGATAAGAGGGTCCTTATCATGGCCATTTTCCTTTGATCCAGATGTCTTTAAATATCAGAAAAATAACGCTTTTAGTCCCAACCGCCACATCGGAATCAGTTCTTATTCCTTCTGGCTACAATGTCCAACATAAGTTGAACAACATAATTTGGACAACAGAAGGAAGGGTTGTCATGCTAGCCGGAGATGACTTCTAGTTAAGAGGTCTGAGCATTTTCCACGCACAACCAGTTATTCTCAACGGAGGGCGGACTCTCCATACGAAACAAGCAGAGCCCTGGCAGAGACTGCAGGGCATTTGTAAAACTCAAACACCACGTTGATCTCACTGCCACGTTCTTTCCAGTTACACGCAGGTCTAACATGCTGGCATAAGACATTGTCTTAATCAGAACACTTTTAAAGCTTTTTTTTCCCTTTTTTCCAATTCAAAAAATTAATGCAGTACAGGTATTGATCCCACCGAAATTGTTCTAATTCAGTCATGACACTTCATGTTTACAAAGAGTTGATGACTTGGAAAAATACTCTGTAATGCTGTTAAACTTAAGAAACAGAATCGGGCCGGGTGCAGCGGCTCACGCTGTCATCCCAGCGCTTTGGGAGGCTGAGGCAGGAAGATGGCTTGAGAGCCGGGCGCAGCGGCTTCCGCCTGTCATCCTAGCGCTTTGGGAGGCTGAGGGGGGCGGATCACGAGGTCAGGAGATCGAGACCATCCTGGCTAACACGGTGAAACCCCGTCTCTACTAAAAATACAAAAAATTAGCCAGGCATGGTGGCACGTGCCTGTATTCCCAGCTACTCGGGAGGCTGAGGCAGGAGAATCACTTGAACCCAGGAGGCAGAGGTTGCAGTGAGCTGAGATCACGACACTGCACTCCAGCTTGGGCGACAGAGCAAGACTCTATCTCAAAAAAAAAAAACAAAAGAAACAGAAACAGAGTCAGAATTGTAGACCACGTTCCTCCTGACGCTAACACAGAGCTCCCATTTGACCCAGCTGTTCGCTCCTCGGTATTTACCCGCAAGAAACAAAAACACACATCCACATTCAGACTGATACACGGTGGTGATGGGGGTACAACAGTGTGAATCCACCTGATACCACAGAGTTACACACTCAGAAATGGTTAACATGGTACATTTTATTGTATGAGAGTTTCACCACAATGAAAAACTTGTACCTGAATGTTCAAGCAGCATTATTCGTATAGTTAAAAAGTATTAAGAACTCAAATGTCAATTAGATAACAGGTAGATATACAAAACATACTATATTCAGCAAAGGAATATTATTCAGCCATAATATAGAATGAACATTGATTCATCCTATAGCACAGATGAAGCACGATGCTTCTGAAAGAACCGGACAAAAAGTCCACACGCTGTGTGATTCCATTCATACCAACGTCCAGACTAGGCCAGTCCGTACAGACAGGATGAATTACTGGTTGCCGGAGGGTGGGGAGGTTGGGGGAGATGGGGAGGAAGTGCTGATGGGTACAGGGTTTCTTTTTGGGATGATGAAAGTATTCTAACATGGATTGTGGTAATAGTTGTGTAATTTTGTGAATATGCTGGAAACCATTGAATTGTATACTTTAAATGGGTAAGTTGTATGGTAAGTGAATTATATATCATAGCTGTTAAAAATATATACGATATTTTAATTAGACATAGAAGAACATGAATAGAGACTAGAAATATATATATGTATATATAACAAGGTGTTAATGATTTTCTACTAGTAGACTGGTAGATTTGTACTAAGTTTTTTCTACTATATATACTTTTCTGTAATTTAGGAAAACCTCCCTTTCAATTTTAATAACGAGGGAAAATTTATATTTAAAATATCAAAGAAATAAAATTAGTTGCAACATAATAGACTCTGCTTTCTTATTAAGCTTTATTCAGAATTAACCTTGATCATTCCTAGAGGAAAGAACTCTTTCCCTCAAAATATTTCACAGGTAAAGAACAGAACACAGAAGGCTGTAATAAAGCAAAACAGATGTTTATGCCCATATTAAAGACAGAGGCTTATGTTTCTTATTTTATAAAGGTCTCCTATACCTTAATAAGAAAAATATGAATAACTGAGTTTGAAAACAGGTCAGCAGCAAAGCAGCTATTAGACTTGAGTAAAGTAGGAAACACCCACCCTCACACCAAAGAAGGGTGATGGCACCACCCGCCCATCAGACTGGGCACCATTAGAAGCTGGGTGGTGCCCAGGTTGGGAAGTGGGGTACCTTGGGCATCATTGTTGGGATGGGAATTGGAGCAACTTCCTGGCGGCCCACCAGACAGCACCTGTCATAGTGGGAGGCACCCGGCTCCCTTAGTGAGCACCCACTGCCACCATCAGTGGACCCACAGGCTCCTTGGTCACCGCAGCGCCCAAGAACCAGGATGGCCGTGGAGTCAGTGTGAGAACCGGGACAGCCCTTGCATCTGGCTGAGCAAATGATGGTGCGTCCCGCCAGGGAGCCCTTCCTCACCTGTCCGCTGGCCAGACATGCTGATGGGAAGCTTGTCCACTCACCTGTCCGCGGGCCAGACGTGCTGATGGGAAGCTTGTCCACTCACCTGTCCGCAGGTCAGATGTGCTGATGGGAAGCTTGTCCAAACACGCTGAGACAGTCAGAACAGCCGTGGACACGGCGCCCCGTATGTGCAGATCAAGAGCAGCACACGCGTGGACCTGCAGGTGGCACGGCGCCCTGTACATACAGATCAAGAGCAGCATGCGTGTGGACCTGCAGGTGACACGGCGCCCCGTACGTGCAGATCAAGAGCAGCACACGCGTGGACCTGCAGGTGGCACGGCACCCCGTACATGCAGATCAAGAGCAGCACACGCGTGTGGACCTGCAGGTGGCACGGCGCCCCGTACGTGCAGATCAAGAGCAGCACGCGTGTGGACCTGCAGGTGACACGGCGCCCCGTACATGCAGATCAAGAGCAGCACGCACGTGGACCTGCCGGTGGCACGGCGGCAAGCCGGAATCCTGAGAAACTTGTCACGGTGATTGTCTTTCAAAGAGGTCAGAGTTGAGCGCACTGTGGCTTCTGATTGGCATCTTTCTGAGCCCTCATCACTGTGCATTTAATGGACACTGTGGGAGTCTTCTGGGAATTAGACCTAAATCCAAACCCTGGGGATGGTGGCTGTGGAGAGCTTGTGTAGCCGTTAGGGGCTTGGTCCTGGAGCCAGATACCTGAGTTGTCCCCAGCTCTCTGCACTGGGCGTGTGGCCTGGAGCAGATCACCTGGTCTCTGCCCCTGTTCTCATCTGTGACGTAGCAGTGGGGATCGTACAGCTCTTACCAGGCTGCCATAATAGGTGGCACACAGTGCTCTGCACACAGTGCTCTAGGGGCTCAGGATGCAAGGGTGAGCTCAGCAGAGGACGTTCCCCATGTGGGGAGCTGCTGTTGTGTTTTGGAGAGGCAATGAATGAATGATGCACAAATGAGTGGTAGACAAGACATCCGCAGCAGGGAACCGCCCTGCGAATGATTCAAACAGGAAGAGGAGCTGGTGAGCAGCCGTGAGCCCCCAGACGCACAGGCTCTACCTTTGGAGATGTGGCTGGAATTTGAGGAATGCAGCTAAGCCTGTTGGGAGAAGAGTCTAGGGTAGGGACCTCCCAGGCAAGGGGCTCTGTGGCCTGTGTGGGTGGGCTGGGGCAGTGGAAGGGCATGGCAGGGCAGAGAAGCCTGGGTTCCATCCCAGCGTCCAGGAGCTGATTGAGGGTCCTGATGAGCTGTCTGGGCCTCTGTGTGGAGAGCAGATGGATCAGGAGGAGGCCACTGGAGCTGTGGGGGAAGGGGTGGCAGCCCAGGCAGGGACCACGGTGCTGGGCCCAGGGCCAGACGTGGGCCTGGCAGTGTGGCAAAGCTGTCAGGAGTGCGGCAGGCCTGGTCTGCTTGGCCGTGAGTCTGTCTCCGTTCCTGCCAGGGCTGCAGAAAGGGGCCTCTCTCTGAGTCGCGGACTTGGGCCCTGCAGTGAGCTCTGAAGGACGCTGCCTCCCTCCTTCTAAGTCGCAGACGTGGGCCCTGCAGCGAGCTCTGAAGGACGCTGCCTCCCTCCTGAAGTCGCAGACGTGGGCCCTGCAGCGAGCTCTGAAGGACGCTGCCTCCCTCCTACTGAAGTCGCAGACGTGGGCCCTGCAGCGAGCTCTGAAGGACGCTGCCTCCCTCCTGAAGTCGCAGACGTGGGCCCTGCAGCGAGCTCTGAAGGACGCTGCCTCCCTCCTGAAGTCGCAGACGTGGGCCCTGCAGCGAGCTCTGAAGGACGCTGCCTCCCTCCTGAAGTCGCAGACGTGGGCCCTGCAGCGAGCTCTGAAGGACGCTGCCTCCCTCCTACTGAAGTCGCAGACGTGGGCCCTGCAGCGAGCTCTGAAGGACGCTGCCTCCCTCCTGAAGTTGCAGACGTGGGCCCTGCAGCGAGCTCTGAATGATGCTCCTTCACAGCTGCTTCTGTGGCCGTTGTTGATCCCTTCATTCCATCCCTTCATTCCATCCCTTCATTCCATCCCTCTCTGCTTCAAGCCCAGCTCTGCTGTGGTTCCCCGAAGGAATCATGGCAGTTTGAGATTTGCGTTTCCAGCACTTCTGCTTTAAGCCAGACTGCAGAGGCTGACGCCCTTGGGAATCATAGGTTTCCTCCACCGAGGAAACTTTCACCAGAATTGTGGCCTGAGTGGTGGAAGGCTAAGGTTAAATATAGGTATATTTGTGAAGACGGCAGATAGTGGATGTCCGCTGGCTGAGATGGTGATCTATTCTGAGATCTGGGTAGTATATTCTAAACAGAACATAGCAAAGGATCACTTTCTCTGTGTCTGAATCACAGACACAGACCTCAGAGCTGGCTGCCTCGGGAGTGCCTTGCTGACGGTCGCTGGAGTTCGTCCATCAGGCGACTGCGGTGGGGCACGGAGAGCAACCGCTGCCTGGCGGAGACTTTGATGTGCGGCTGAGGCCTGGCGAGGAATTTTATCGTCAGGCATCAGCTGAGATAGGAACGCTGTCAGTCGAGAATTTTCACATTCTAGAATACGCATTCACCCCAGAGTATTGACTGCAAACCAATGCAGCTTCCACCTTTGGCTCAACACAACTTAATTTCTGAGATGAGTATGATTCATAGGTGTTTTTGTATTTGAAAATAAAGATGTGTATGATTCAGGTAATTTATTTTGTAGCATGTTAAAGAAAAAAACTGAAAGATTATTTTATTGAGTTTTAGAGAACTGTGTTTTGGAAGTGAAATCACGTCTCTTTTTTCTTTCCCAGCATTGTCGTGGAAGTTCTCCGAATCCTGGTTTTGATTGGTCAGATTCTTTTTTCACTAGCGGCGGTTTTTCTTTTATGTCTTGTTATAAAGAAGTATCTCATTGGACCCTATTATCGGAAGCTGCACATGGAAAGCAAGGGGAACAAAGAAATCCTGATCTTGGGAATATCTGCCTTTATCTTCTTAATGTTAACGGTAATTCTCAAACTATGTGTTATTTATGTAATCTGATACATAATCTCTTTCACTGAAATCTTGTGATCCATTCTTTACCTTTCCATTTTAATAATGGTTAAAATATTTGAAACATTTACTAGTATTTTTTATTTTATACACACTTTCTTATACTACCCATCAAAATATAATACAGGGAGCTAAACCCGTTTAACTGGTTTGACTCATACTCTTAAGCACTTTGCTAAAATAGTGTTTGTGAGTATTTCATTAAAAACAAATCCGTGGGCCGGGTATAGTGGCTCACACCTGTAGTCCTAGCATGTGGGGAAGCTGAGGCAGGAGAATCACTTGAGCTCAGAAGTTTGGGAGCAGCCAGGACAACAGAGTGAGAACCCCTCTGCTACAAAAAATAGAAAAACCAGCTGGGGCGTGGTCGCGCTCATGTATAGACCAGCTGCTGGAGAGACTGAGCTGGGAGGATGGCTTGAGCCCAGGAGGCCAAGGCTGCAGGGAGCTGTGGTCGCACCACTGCACTCTAGCCTGGGTGACAGAGCAAGACCCCATATCAAAAAAAAACGGCCGGGTGTGGTGGCTCACGCCTGTCATCCCAGCACTTTGGGAGGCTGAGGCGGGTGGATCACAAGGTCAGGAGATCGAGACCATCCTGGCTAACATGATGAAACCCCGTCTCTACTAAAAGTACAAAAAAAATTAGCTGGGTGTGGTGGCGGGCGCCTGTAGTCCCAGCTACTCAGGAGGCTGAGGCAGGAGAATGGCGTGAACGCGGGAGGCGGAGCTTGCAGTGAGCCAAGATCGTGCCACTGCACTCCAGCCTGGGCGACAGAGCAAGACCCCATATCAAAACAAACAAAACTGTGATGATAAAAAGCGCCATAAACACTAATATCAAACCATGCTACTCTGTCTTAAATTTTCAAATAGCTTTGCACCTGAAATACAAAATTAAGTTTGGAAAAACAGTTTTTAACTGTGTTGCTCACAAGCTAATTAACTGTATAAGTTCTGCCATGTGAAAGGTTAAAAAATAAAGTTCATTTTGGAAAGTGGGCTTCTGCTTACCGAGACGACAGTCTTTACATGAGAGTGGCGGGAGATGCTCCTGGACCCCCATAGAGTCTCAGTAGTCCTGACAGCGCACCTGGGCACCGTCACCATTGTCCCAACAGTGCACCTGTGCACCGTCACTGTTCAGCCCGGCAGGTGCTCTTCCTGCTGTTTATCCCAGAGAAATGAAGCCGTGTTCACACAGTAGCCTGTACACAGGTGTTTATAGCAGCTTTATTCGTATTAGCCATAAACAGTCCAAAGGTACTTCAGTGGGTAAATAAATGTTCAACAAACTGAGCTATGTCCATACCACGGAACGCCACCCAGCAGTAAAACCACCGGCACACACCTCCGAGAACTGCGCAGAGTGGGCAGGCAGCCCCCAAAGGCTGCGTACTGTGTGGTTCTTTTTATGTCACATTTATGAGGCGAGAAGATTCTGAAGTTGAGGAAAGGCTCGTGGTTCCCAGGAATTGAGGATGGGCAGTCTGGGGAGGGGCTGGGGATGGCACTCGCTGTCTTCGCTGTGTCTGTATCGGCACCTGAGTGGGGGTCTGGGGAGGGGATGGGGATGGCATTCGCTGTGTTTGCTGTGTCTATATCGGCACCTGAGTCGGGGTCTGGGGAGGGACTGGGGATGGATGGCACTCGCTGTCTTTGCTGTGTCCGTATCAGCACCTGAGTGGGATCTTGTGCTGTAATTTGGCAAGATGTTACCATTGGGGAAACTAAAGGGTAATGAGGACTTTGTATTACTCTTAAAACTGCAGGTTAATATATAATTATCTCAAAATAAAAAGTTTCCGGCTGGGCGCGGTGGCTCACGCCTGTAATCGCAGCACTTTGGGAGGCCGAGGTGGGTAGATCTTCTGAGGTCAGGAGTTCGAGACCAGCTTGGCCAACATGGTGAAACCCCGTCTCTACCAAAAATACAAAAATTACCTGGGCATGGTGGCGCCTGCCTGCAGTCCCAGACACTTGGGAGGCTGAGGCAAGAGAATCACTTGAACCCAGGAGGCAGAGGCAGAGTTGATAGAGCAAGACTGCCTCAAAAAAAAAAAAGTTTCCATTTAAAAAAAGTAAATTAACAAAAATTGTTTCTTATATATAATTGCCTGCTAATGTTTTGTAAACCTGGGAGGAAATTATGATTTGCTTCTGGTTGTAGTGATTTTAACTATTTCAAGAGTGTGACTTATTTAAATTCTTACATTGTTTTATCCATTCCAGAGTATTTTTCTCTTTGAAAATAACTCCCAGCAGAATTGTCTTATCTGGACAACTTCCGTGTTGCCCTCCCAGTGGCTTCTTCCATTACAGTGACTCTGCCCGGCTCTCAGGTTTTCTCGCTCTCTGGGCAGCCCTCACCGTGCACCTGCTGCCAGCTGCTTGGGGTGCTGGGCCTTCTGCACATCTGCACCCGATGCCACAATGTATTCTTTCCACTGTTCAGTCTTAGGATTCGTTTCCATTTAGAGCTGCTGCCCATTCTCGTGTTTCTGGAAGGTGCTTTCACTGCTGATGAGCCTAGTAGAGTGCCTGTGGAGGTAGGGTTGCAGGGCCACAGTAAACAGGAGCTCAGCCGTAGCCATGACGTGGGTTTCCCCAAAGTCGCCATGCCAGCCCGTCCTGCTGCTGTGCCGTGAGCACGCCGTGCCCCACAGCCTCCTTGCACTTGCTCCAGGAGTGGAGCATCTCAGGGCTCTGATGGGGGCTCCAGCGTCCACTTCCCGATGGCTGGTCCCTCAAGCCCTTTCCAAAGCTCAGTGGCACCTGGGTGTTGTCCTGGCGGTGTTCCTATTAAAGCCTCCAGGTCGTTATTCTGTAGGGTGAGGATTCTCTTCTCATTTGTAGGAATTATTTTTTATATGCCGGCAGATTTTTTTGTCCTTCTTAAAAATTTATTTACTGAGATGAAATTCACATAAAATTCGCCATTTTAATCATTTGAAAGTCAGCCTTCAAAATGTTTTGCCACCATCACCACTACCCAATTATATCCACCTCCCCAAAGGAATCCCCATGGCGCTCAGTTCTCCCCCCAGCTCCTCGAGGCCATGGAGCCACTTCCTGGCCCCGTGGGCCGCTGCTTCTGGCCGTGTCGCGTGGCGGCTTCCGTGTCTGGCTTCCACTTAGCACCACGTCCTCCAGGCCTGGCCGCGTCGCCGTGCGCACCAGCACTTCGCCCCTTTTTATGGCTGAAAAACATTCCATTCCAGCATGTCAGATATGTTTTTGCAAATGTCTTGCAGTTTGTGACTCGCCTTTTCACTCTCTTAACGGTGTCTTTTGATGAACAGAAGTTCTTAATTTCAGCATCATCGCTTATGAATTGTTTTCTTCGTGGCTATCTTCTGTGTTCTGTGTGAAAGATCCGCCTGCCCCTGGGTCGTGAAGATGCTCTTTACTGTTGTCAGTGAGCGTTCTGCTGTGCTTTTCTCATTAGATCTTCAGTCCACCCAGAGGTGAGCTTCGGTTGTGTTGGAAGTGAGGGAGTGGATGAGGATTCATTCATTCACATGCGTTTCTGAATGCCATGCGTTGAAAAGACCTCCTTCCCCCCTTCTATAGCATCACCCTGTCAAAAACCAAGTAGCCGTGTGTGTGTGCGTGCATGTGCATGTGTGTGTTCTTTGTGCATGGCATGTGTACCTGTGTGCATGCATGTGTGTGCTTTGTGGTGTGTACATGTATGCTTTGTGGTGTGTGTACATGTGTGTGCTTTGTGGCATGTGTACATGTGTGGGGTATGCTTTATGTGATGTGTGTACATGTGCATGCATTCGTTTGCCTTGTGTGGAATGTTACATGTGCATGTATGTGTTTGTGCATGCATGTGTGTGCTTTGGTGTGGCATGTGTACATGCATGAATGTGTACTTTATGTGGTGTGTGGTTTGTGTACGTGTGTGTGGCATGTGTGCATGCATACATATGTGCTTTGTGTGGTGTGTGTGTGGTATGTGTTCGTGTGTGTCTGCTTTGTGTGTGGTGTGTGTACCCGTGGCACATGTGCGTGTGTGTGTGTGTGCACATGCCCCTCTGACTCTGCCCACCTGCCCTCGGCTGCACCGCAGCTTGATCTCCGTGTTTGGGTCCAGCTTTGTTCTGTGCTAGGGTCGTCTTGGCTCTATTCGTGCTCTTTCCAAATTCCACTCGAGTTTTTAGATTCAGCTGGTCAGTTTCACACACATGAGTCTCTTGGCGCTCCTGTGCGTCTGTTGGCCAGGGGAGGGAGCATCCGCCGCTCCGCCGTGCTGAGCCCTTGGCGCTGTCATCTGAGTCTTCCGTCTTTCGTGGGTCTCTGTGTCTTGCAGTGTCAGGTGCAGGCCTTCTTTTGGGTTGAATCCTCAGGATGTGATGTTTTTGTTGCCATTATAAATCGTAGTTCTTTACAAGTTTCTTTTCTTTTCGTCTGATGCTGCTATCGTCTACAGTTTTGTTTTCTCAAGATAAAAATCATCTTTCAGGTTGGCCGGTGTCAGCCGTGCGTCATCCGGAAGGCTGCCATAAGCCTGCGTTTCGCAGAGCTGCGCTGAGGCTCCCGTGTCGCGGCCGTCCGGCCGGCGCGCTGATGTGGCTGCAAACCTGGGTATCAGATCAGCCGCCGTGGACACGCCGATGCTTCTCGCTGGCTTCGTGCCCTCCCGGGGCTGTTGCTTGTCGTCCTGTCGCTTTCTCTCTGCTTTGAGGCTGGTAGTGGGAATGCGTTTCTAACACTCCCACCGGGCTATTCTGATTCAAGGTCAAGAAAATGTATCACAAATATTTAAAACAGTTGGAAAATATTCTCATTCAAAAATTTCAGCGCAATCTGTATGGATATTTGTTTCAAATATTTTTAAACAATTTTTTTCTCCCAGTAAGGTTAATTCAACTAATAGCAGCCTCCACATGTCACCTCTCAGACCCAGCAGACGACCCAGGACCAGACACACACACGCTCTGTTTGTGCAGCTTCTGTGTTTTGTCGTGGTGGCTCTGCTGGGTCTCGGGGTGGCCTTGGGATGGGGGTGACCCTGGTGCACTGTGGGGTCTCATGTAAAGCTGCGTCCTGCCTCTCTCAGGTCACGGAGCTGCTGGACGTCTCCATGGAGCTGGGCTGTTTCCTGGCTGGAGCGCTCGTCTCCTCTCAGGGCCCCGTGGTCACCGAGGAGATCGCCACCTCCATCGAACCCATCCGCGACTTCCTGGCCATCGTTTTCTTCGCCTCCATAGGTAATCTTCCTTCTTTACATTATGATTGTGTTGGTTAAACGTATGCAGAGTGGTTCTGTAATATGTTTACGTGCATATATATTTATATAGCAAAAATGGTTATCTTAAAAATTAAGTGTATTCAGCATATTTCAATTTGGATTGCTAGTAGCCAGAAACTGTTTTCTGCTTTATAGAGCGCAGAGAAATCTTATTTTATTATACTGTTTCTTCTGTCCAGCTTTTCCTTTAGGCTCAGGGTACGTGTGTGGGTCTGTGACACGGGTAGTGAGTGTCACAGGGCTTTGGTGTACAGATGATTTTGCCACCCAGGTAATAAGCATAGGACCCTCGGCAGTGTTTTAATCCTCACCCTCCTCCTCCCAGCCTCCACCTTGCCCAGGCCCCAGTGTCTCTTGCTCCCGTCTTTGTGTCCACGTGTACTCGGTGTTGAGCTCCCACTTGTAAGTGAGAACATGTGGTATCTGGTGCTCTGTTCTGGTGTTAATTCCCTGAGGAGAACGGCCTCCAGCTGCATCCGTGTTGCTGCAAAGGACGTGATTTCATTCTGTTACGGTTGCGTAACATTCCCTGATGTATATGTACCACATTTTCTTTATCTGGTCCACGGTTGATGGACAGTGGGATCCTTGGAATTCACAATCTGGGCCGATTCTGTGTCTTTGCTGCTGTGAATGGCGCGGTGATGAACGTGTGAGTGCGTGTGTCTTTATGGCAGAAGGACGTATGTTCCTTTGGGCGCAAACTCAGCAGTGGGATTGCTGGGTCGAATGGTAATTCTGTTTGCAGTTATTTGAGAAATCTCCAGACTTTCCATCGCGGCTAAACTAATTTACTGTCCTACCAATGGTGTCTAAGTGTTGCCGTTTCTCCACAACCTCGCCAGCGTCTGTTGCCTTTTGACTTTTTAGAATCGCCATTCTGACTGGTGTGAGATGGTATCTCATTGTGGTTTTGATTTGCGTTTCTCTAATGACCAGTGATGTTGAGCATTGTTTCCACATACGTGTTGTGTTGGCCGTGTGAATGTCTTTTGAGAAGGGTCTGTTCCTGTCCTTCCCTATTTCCTAATGGGGCTGCTTTTTGCTTGCAGATTTGTTTAAGTTCCTGATAGATTATAGATATAAGACCTTTGTCAGGTCCATAGTTTGCAAGTATTCTCTCGCATTCGTAGGCTGTCTGCCCTGCTGAGAGCTGCTTTGCTGGGCGGAAGCTCCTTGGCTCACTTGGTCTCACTTGTCAGTTTGTTACCGTTGCGATTGCGTTTGTAGTCTTCTTCATGAAACCTTTGCCAAGGCCAACGTTCAGAGGTTTTCTTACAGGGATTTTACAGGGTTCGGCTTTACATTTAAGTTTTTGTTACACCTTGACTTGATTTTTGTATGTGGTGTCAGGAGGGGGTCCGGTTTCAGTTTTCTGCATGTGGCTGGCCAGCGATCCCAGCACTGTTTGTTGAGTGGGGAGTCCTTTCCCTGGTGCTTGTTATCGTAGGCTTTGTGGAAGAGCTGATGGCTGTGGGTGTGCGGCCTGATTTCTAGGTCTTCTGCCTGTCCCGATGGCTTGTGTGTTTCTGTGCCAGTGCCATACTGTTCTGGTTGCTGTAGCCTGTGCTAGAGTTTGGAGTCAGGTGGCCTCCGGTGCCTCCAGCTTTGTTCCTTTTCTTGGAGTTGCTTTGGCTGTTGGGGCTCTTTATTCTGCAGGAGGAAGATTATGCCACGCACACGATTGCTGATCACTGCCATGCTTTATTACCGCCGAGATGTGTGGATGATACGCACACGATTGCTGATCACTGCCATGCTTTATTACCGCTGAGTTGTGTGGATGCCATGCACACGATTGCTGATCACTGCCATGCTTTATTACTGCCCAGATGTGTGGATGATACGCACACGATCGCTGATCACTGCCATGCTTTAATACCGCCGAGATATGTGGATGATACGCACACGATCGCTGATCACTGCCATGCTTTATTACCGCCGAGATGTGTGGATGATACGCACACGATTGCTGATCACTGCCATGCTTTATTACCGCTGAGTTGTGTGGGTGCCATGCACACGATTGCTGATGACTGCCATGCTTTATTACCGTCCAGATGTGTGGATGATACGCACACGATTGCTGATCACTGCCATGCTTTATTACCGCCGAGATGTGTGGATGATACGCACACGATCGCTGATCACTGCCATGCTTTATTACCGCCGAGATGTGTGGATGATACGCACACGATCGCTGATCACTGCCATGCTTTATTACCGCCGAGATGTGTGGATGATACGCACACGATCGCTGATCACTGCCATGCTTTATTACCGCCGAGATGTGTGGATGATACGCACACGATCGCTGATCACTGCCATGCTTTATTACCGCCGAGATGTGTGGATGATACGCACACGATCGCTGATCACTGCCATGCTTTATTACCGCCGAGATGTGTGGATGATACGCACACGGTCGCTGATCACTGCCATGCTTTATTACCGCCGAGATGTGTGGATGATACGCACACGGTCGCTGATCACTGCCATGCTTTATTACCGCCGAGATGTGTGGATGATACGCACACGGTCGCTGATCACTGCCATGCTTTATTACCGCCGAGATGTGTGGATGATACGCACACGGTCGCTGATCACTGCCATGCTTTATTACCGCCGAGATGTGTGGATGATACGCACACGGTCGCTGATCACTGCCATGCTTTATTACCGCCGAGATGTGTGGATGATACGCACACGGTCGCTGATCACTGCCATGCTTTATTACCGCCGAGATGTGTGGATGATACGCACACGGTCGCTGATCACTGCCATGCTTTATTACCGCCGAGATGTGTGGATGATACGCACACGGTCGCTGATCACTGCCATGCTTTATTACCGCCGAGATGTGTGCTCTCAGTGGGCATTGAAAGCGGCCAGATCACCTTCAGGGGAGAATGCGTGTTATTCTCATCACCTCCTCATCACAGGCACTGGTGCCCACACAGGGCAAGTGGTGGGAGCTCAGGGTCAGCCACAGAAACTAACATGTCAGTGGCAAATTTGGAGGAAATACTAACTTTGACACAGAAAGTTTAAACTGAGCACAGTGAGATGGGCCGCTCTGGAAATCTCCCTTGTCAGGGTCTGTGGAGCAGCCTGGAGTAGTGATTTGAGAGGGTGGAATCACAAGGGATCTGGTGTCGGGCCACATCCCTGGCAGCTGTCCACTCAGCACAGGGTCTGAGATGCCCTGTGCTTTACAGGGGCCACAGACTCAGCACAACCTCAACCAAACGGAAAATTCAAAAGCTGATTCTGAATTTTATGTGGAAATTTGAAGGCCATAAATAGCCGAGGCAGTCCTGAAAGCAGCACAGAGTTGGGAGGCTTGGGCCCCTTGTCGCAGGTGAAATAGGACCATTCAGCAGGGGCTTCGTGACCTCCTGACCCCAATGCAGCCTCACGAGTCAGTGTGTCCCGGGAGAGCCTCTCGGCTGCCATTTGATCCCCTTGCTCTGCACCCCCGGCCCTCCGTGTGTGTGACCCCCACCTCCTCCCCCTGCCTCCCGCCCTACCTCTGTCTGTGACCCCCACCTCCTCCCCCTGCCCCCAGCCCTCCCTGTCCGTGACCACCTCCTCCCCGTGCCCCCCGCCCTACCTCTGTCCGGACCCCACCTCCTCCCCCTGCCCCTCGCCCTCCCTCTGTCCGTGACCACCTCCTCCCCCTGCGCCCCTACCCTCCCTGTGTGTTACCCCCACCTCCTCTCCCTGCCCCCACTCTGTCCGTGACCCCCACCTCCTCCCCCTGCCCCCGCCCTCCCTCTGTGGGTGACTCCACTTCCTCCCCCTGCCCCCCGCCCTCCCTGTCCGTGACCCCACCTCCTCCCCCTGCCCTCCCTCTGTCCATGACCCCCACCTCCTCCCCCTGCCCTCCCCCTGCCCATGACCCCCACCTCCTCCCCCTGCCCATGACCCCCACCTCCTCCCCCTCCCCCCGCCCTCCATCTGTGTGTGACCCCCACTTCCTCCCCCCGTGCCCCCAACCTCGCTCCTGGTGACTCCTCCTCAGCAAGCTAAATAAACTGATTTCCTGATCTTCCTTTCACTTCTTTTAGACGAGGACTAATAAAATGGATCAGGCCTGACCTGATTTTTCCCACATTGCTCCAGCCCCAGGCTGCCCTGGCCGTGGCGTGTGACCTGGTGTCTTGTCCGCCGGGGCTTTGTTGAGTGTGCATGTCTGAGAGCTCCTGTTAAAAATCTAAAATTTCATAAATATGTGATTTACACAGACATGCTTGCCTTGTCTTCAAACTAGAGTTCTTTTATGTTGAGAACCCTTTCTATTCACATCATTCTACGTGTTTTTGCTCTAGTTTTTGGTACTGAGTATATCAGGGAATTCAAGTTAATTTTTCTGCCATCTGAGAACTTGTTTATAGCTCACTTTTTTCTCTAACTCGGCCAGGACCTTATTTTTGTTCTGGAGTCCAGGCAGCACGTAGACGGCATCTGCCCGCTTCAGACGGCACCTTTGCCTCTGTGCGTGGGACCCGATATCCACTTCAGGGCGGCAGAAACCCGGGTGGAGCTCCCAGTTCCAACAGATGTGTCCGGGCTGCCTGCCCGGTGCAGCCGCAGAGACTCCTCTGCAGGTCAGCCACAGCCACAGCCACAGCCACCTGCAGGCTGGCAGGCGTCGCTCTCAGGTTCCCGCCCCGAGGCTCGTGCCCGCTGGGTGAGGCCCAGGCTGTGCTTCTGAGTCGAGGCTGCATCTGAAGGGTGTGAAAGGGGCAGGGCAATCTTTAGGCCCTGAGTGAGGAAGGGCTGCTGCGCCGAAGGATGGCCCAGAAGGCACCACAGAGCAAGGTCGGGGTCTCGTGGACGGCACGTGGCAGTGTGGCTCCGGCCCAGGTTTCGGAGCAGGTGGTCTTCCCACTAGATGAGGGTTCGCCAGCTGCGGCCCAAGGCCTGCTCACCACCTGCCTTTGTAAATGCAGCTCTATGGAAACAGCCACGCTTGCTCATTTACTCTTTATCAGCAGCCGCTGTTGGGCTACTTATTAGCTCGGGCCATCAACAAAATCCTCCAGACCGGGCACTCAAACAGTAGATGATTATCTCTCACCGTTGTGGGGGCTGGAAGTCCAAGATCCAGGTGTCTGGCGAGGGCCATGCCTGCTCCACAGATGGTGCCTCCTGGCTGTGTCATCCGTGGCTCAGCCGCCATGGCCTGCGCGGAGAGATTAGGTTCTCACGCATGTGGCCTCATTTTGCCTTAAGTAGCTCCCGCAGACCCTGTCTCCAGATACAGCCACACTGGGGCTGGAGCCTGAACGTAGGAGTTCGCAGGACACAGCTCAGTCCACAGCAGGTGTTCGTCCATAAAGCACGAAGTGTTTTCCATCTTGGCCTTTGTGGAAGATGCCTGCCCAGCTCCCTAATTCCTAGTCACTCCAGCTTTATCGACAATGTCAGTCATTGGGTGTGTCTTGTGAAATTTACAGCAAGGATTTCATCCTCTTCTCATGTTCCCCGCATTCAGAAGCAGGCAGCTGGCTCTGGGACAGTGCTGGGAGCTGCCTTGCTGTTGGGCGTCCCTCCCTGGTGGATGCAGGTGTGCGCCCCCGCCAGCCTCGCTCACCTTCACGCCATGGCCTGGTGCCTGTGCAGGCAGCGTCCTTAGCAGCCCTGAACCAGGCACATACCTCACATGGCAAATTTCCTTTACTCAGCCTCCAAATCCACATTCACAGATGAGGAAACTGAGGCACACAGAGATTGAAACATCGAGCTGGGTCCACAGTGAATGTGGTGCTCCTGGGTGCTGTGGAGCCGGTGGGGCCCAGGAACCCAAGACTTGAGCCCAGAGCCCACATAGTTTCTCAGTGCTACACCAAGTATAGGTTTGATGTTTGTTTTGAGAATAAATGACCCTGCATAGAAAAGTCAGCATAGCTCATTAAAGAAATTGAAGGGAGGTTTCCTGTCTCTCATTTTCATTGCTGTTTCTGGGACTGACTGGAATGCATTAGGCTCCATAATTATTGGCTCACTCCCCCCACCCCCACTCCGCCCCCAGGGCCAGGAACTCTTAGCTCAGGCAGGGGTGGAGTGAGCCATGTTCCCAGGGCAGCCCTGCCTTGAAGGAGCTTGCACTGAGCTCAGGCAGGGGTGGAGTGAGCCATGTCCCCAGGGCAGCCCTGCCTTGAAGGAGCTTGCAGCCCAGGGTTGGGTGGGGGGCAGATGCAGGGACACAGCTGTCCAGCTCAGCTGAGAGCACAGGAGCCTCCGGGGCATCAGCGACTGGCCGGGGTGAGGGATGCCACCAGGTGCAGAGGTGGAGGCTCAGGGCGTGCTGGGGAGGAAGAGAGGCTTGTGGAAAAGTCCAGAGGTAGGAGATGGGAAGGAAGCCTGGAATCTCTGGAACAGGACATTCCCAAGCAGGAAGGAAGCCAGTGGGGCTGGAGATGAAGGGGAGGCTTTCCACCGGGCAGCAGCGGGGAGAAAACGCAGCCCGGAACGCCCAAGGTGGGGAGCCCTGGGTACCTGTGTGGCCGCGATGTGAGGCCCCCTTTGGGGAGAGGTGGGAGCGTCCCCTGTGCCATACACTGTTGTGAGCTTGTCTCAGTTGTGCCGGCGTGGACATAGGGCCGTGACGGTAGTGACTTCCTAGACACCAGTGTGGCCAAAGGCAGCCTGGACCGGGCATTGCAGCAGGGCAGAGGCACAGACATCCTGAGGGGAAGCAGGACTGGGGCCGGGGCTCAGCTGACAGCTGGGGAGAGAGGGAGGTGGACCCCAGGCCGCCGTGGGGCTGGGGCTGATGAGGGGGACACAGTGGGGCCAGGCTGGTGGCCGGGGTAGGAGGGGCCGTGGGGAGCACTGGGAGTGGGCATGGAGGGGGCAGCTCTGAGACCCAGACCCAGGAGGAGGGGCCGTGGCTAGAAGACTGGGTGGCCAGAGAAGGCAGCCCTCAAGCGCAAGAGAACCCCGGGTCGTGGCAAGAGAAAAAAGGCCAGTGTTTACATTTGTGTTTCTGGGTCAGGTAGAGACAGTGGTTTGTGAACGGCAGAAAGGTCATGGGCCTGCTCCGTGCACCTAACCCTGGGGTCTGGGTCCTTCCGATCAAGAGGAGGCCTCTGGGCTGCCGGGCTTCCTCCGAGGGCTGACATGCATCACTGGGCAGCTCCAGGCTGTGGCTGGAGAGCTGAGCCCAAGCTCAGGTCCAGCCCCAGCACCGCCGGCCCCTCTGCGTCACTCGGCAGCACAGCAGGACTGAGCAGCCCAGTCCGAGAGTCCTGAGAGCAGAGAGAAGAAATATGTGGAGACAACGTTTCCCATTGTTTTTAAAAATGTGTGAGCCAAATAAAGGAAGGAAAGGAACATTGACCACAGGCGTCCTGTGAGCGTGGCACTCCTGGGCACTCCTGGGCACTGTGGGGCTGTGGGCTCTGGGATCATCTGCACCTCAGCTGGAATATTTCCTGAAGGAGTGCCAGACCGAGTGCCGCCTCTGTGTGTTTTGCTGTGTCCTCTGCAGTTGAGGCCTGTTGCAGGGAGTGGAGCTGGGATCCCACCACATCAGACAGGTCATCCCAGGGCAGGCTTTTCCCCGGTTCGCTCAGGAAAGGGGCGGCTTTTTAGCATTTGCTGTTGCTTTCACACGTGCACTTGGGAGGATTTAGGATTTTAATTCCTGTATTGAAGCAAGTGACACACTGAAGTTGTGAGAAATAGTGTGCGCTGGGGGAGGCTGTCCTGCGGTCGTAACGTGTCTGTCCTGTTCCCAACAGGGCTCCACGTGTTCCCCACGTTTGTGGCGTACGAGCTCACGGTGCTGGTGTTCCTCACCTTGTCAGTGGTGGTGATGAAGGTATGGACTGGAAGGGTCCACGCCCCTCGCAGTTTGCAGGCTCAGCATAGCCCTCCCTGTGGCCCTGGTTTCCAGTGGGGCCCACATCGGGCCTGCAGAGCCGGCCCTGCTCCTCATCTCGGAGGAGGCCCACTGGGCCACTGGACCCCGGGGGAGGCAGATGTAGACGAGGCTGGGCGGTCTGGGTTTGTCCATGTGATCGATTGTTTCAGAATTGAGCGTGTTTAAAGGGGGGAACTAACCTTTTGGGACCCTCAGGACGGGCCTTGGCTGCAGTCCAGCCCGTCCTCCTCTGACAGATGCAGACATGCTTTTTAAAGACTGGAAAATGGTGTAGGCACTTTCTGTCTGTCCCCCGTGACTGCCAGTGATCGAGCTGCCTGTGTCCACATTTAATTGAAGGTGTGATGACCTAGTCAGCAACCAGTGGCTTTCTGGCTCATAGACAGTGACTTAGGTCATTTCCGTTTTAAGGAGCCAGAAGCTGTGATGATCGTTGGACCACTCCACCAGCTCTTAGCTACTCGGCCCAAAGACACACCACCAGCTCTTAGCTGCTCGGCCCAGAGACACACATCTCTCTGTATTAAAAAGAAATTTCCACCTTGAGTACCCCACGCTTAATGCTATTAATCTAGTTTGGTTGGGGCGGGGGCGGGGGGGCTTGGGCAAGGCTTATTATTTTCTGCTAATGAACCGAAAGGCTTAATTTTGCCTTATTGTTCAGTGTGGATTATTTAAGAGGTTTTGCGTGTATTTGGTGCCTTCGGGTGTTTGGAGTGCTTCTGTGCCTTTCCCTACTTGACGTGTTATTCAGGGACCATCGCAGCGTGCCTGTGGCTCGTCTGGGTTCTCTGTTTCGTGTGTGTTTAACTCTGTGTGGGTCCAGTCTTCAGCAGTGACGTAATGAACCGCTCTTGCAGTTTCTCCTGGCGGCGCTGGTCCTGTCTCTCATTCTGCCGAGGAGCAGCCAGTACATCAAGTGGATCGTCTCTGCGGGGCTTGCCCAGGTCAGCGAGTTTTCCTTTGTCCTGGGGAGCCGGGCGCGAAGAGCGGGCGTCATCTCTCGGGAGGTGAGTGGCTTCCCCCCGCGGAGCGCTTCTCGGGCGGCACGGGCTGCACTCTGGGTTTGAGTCGGGTGTGGCGAAGGCGGCTCGGCAGCACAGCGGGGCCTGGGGGCAGGGTCCTCCTCCAGGGGGGCACGCAGAGGCCTGGCTGCTCTCTGCTCATCCAGCATGTGGCGTTTTCAGAGGAAAGTTGCAGTTAGTACTGCTTGAACTATTGCATTAACCTTTTACAACAAGTCTAATTAAATGTCAGATATTTCTTCTGAAAGAAAACTAACTTTTTAAAGCTGAACTGCCAGTGTGCACATAAGTAGCACCCCAGAAACGTGAAATACCCGTAATGGCAGTGTGCCCGGAGAGCTGGGTGGAGGTTCCTGTGGACACTGAGATGGCCCTGGGCATTCGGACTCACGGCCTTGTCTCCTTGCATTGTGTAAGTGTGAGGCGGGTAGAAGTCCAGGTGTTGAGTGCAGTGGAAGTAATTGCTGAAAGGTAGAATTGCTTACAGGAAGCTCCACCTGAGGCCTGACCCAAGGCCGCATCCCCAGGGTCAGGGAAGCTGTGGGGCAGGCTGGCTTGTTACTGTGGCCCGGGGTTGGCCTTCAGGCAAACACAGGCTAAAGCTGTTATCCTGTGGCCCATCAGGACTAACCATGCATCACTGATCTTGAAATCACAGTCTCTCCTACATCCCAATGTCCTCAGCTTCTGGCTGTACTTCCATGTGCTTTAAAGAGATAGTAGTGAATTTATGATGTGCAGGCGTCCCTCCCAGCACTCGGCATGACCGCGCTTAGCTTCCATCCCCCACCCCCCCGTGCAGGCATCCCTCCCAGCACTCAGCGTGACTGTGCTCAGCCTCAGGACTCTAGCTTTGCAGGCGTCCCTCCCAGCTCAGTGAGACCAGCCCTGTGCTTTCCTGTTGCAGGTGCTAGTCCTGACAGTCTCTGTGACCCGCTCTGCACTTTGCTGTTGCAGGTGTACCTCCTTATACTGAGTGTGACCACGCTCAGCCTCTTGCTCGCCCCGGTGCTGTGGAGAGCTGCAATCACGAGGTGTGTGCCCAGACCGGAGAGACGGTCCAGCCTCTGATGGCTCGGAGATGATGGACCGTGGAAGGGAAGCGTCTGTGGGGAGTGAGCGCTTAGATGGCCAGCAGCTGCTCCTTCTGGGAAGCTCGCACCTTGGCAACAGAACAGCCCTCTAGCAGAGCGTCAGTGCAGTCGTGTTATCCCGGCTTTTACAGAATATTCTTGTCCTATTTTAGAATTTTCCGGAGTAGTTTATTTGCAGTCTGTTGATTATGTGCAGTAGACCCGGGACACTGCGTTTTACCGATCACCTTGAATGTGGTGCCTGGATGTGCCTTTTTTTTTTTTCCCTGAAATTATTATTAATTTTCTATTGTGAGTTCATCAGTTCATAGTTTTTTTAGTAAAGAAGCAAAATTAAAAGGCTTTTAAAAATGTACAACTTCAGAATTATAATCTGTTAGTCAAATATTTGTTATTAAACATTTCTGTAATATGAAGTTGTAATCCTGGCCGTGAGCTTGGAAGCTTACTTTTGATTCTTAAAGCCTATGTTTTCTAAAATGAGACAAATACGGATGTCTATTTGCCTTTTATTGTAACTTTTAAATGAAATAATTTCATGTCAATTTCTATTAGATATATCACTTAAAATATTTGGTTTTAAATCACAAGAATATGTATTCTTTAATAAAGATAATTTATGATCATGGTATAATTAATTGAAATTTATTAAAATCTGTTTTTATTAATTTTTTTGTATTGAGCTTATCTTTATACAAAATTCCAGCCAATTTTTTTTTTTACTAAGATGATTTCTATATTAACATGCTATTCTCCAAGACACCAAATTAATGCAGTGTTAATTGATAAGTTCTAACTTTTGATATTTAAATATCTATTTTGGTGATTATGTGCCCCAGTTTAGAAAACCACACAGGTGAGGATCTGAGCCTCACAAGGACTTCCCTAAGAGGCATTGTGCTCATCTGTTTTGTGCTGCTGTAATAGAATGCCTGAAACTGGGTCATTTACAAAGAACACAAACTTATCTCTCGAAATTCTGGAGGCTGGGGACAACAAGATGGAGGTGCTGGCAGGTCAGGCCTGCTCTCTGCTTCCGGGATGGTGCCTGGAACGCTGGGTCCTCCAGAGGGAGGAAGGCTGGGTGCTAACGTGGTAGAAGAGCAGGAGAGCCAACCACTCCCCAGTCCCCTTTGTGTGGCAGCATTGATTCACGAGGGCAGATTCCTCCTGACCTAAACACCTCCCTGCAGGCCTCACCTCCCAACGCTTGCAGTGCACATCGAGGGGACAGAAGCATTTGAACCGTAGCAGGTACCGTATTAGGCTTTTTCAACTGCATGAATTTTTTTAATTGACAGATAAAAGTCAACATATTTATTGTGTACAACATAGCAAGTACTTTAAGCCAGGGTTTTCGTATACCTGTCAGCTTTAAGAGCCTAACAATTTGACCAAAATACTTGAGATAGAGAAGGTAAAAATGGCAGGTGTAATTATGTATTGCACACATAAATTATCGATTGCAGTAGTATAAATTAAAACATTTTGAAGTAAGTTGTATCTAGTCTGAAGCAGATTAATGGAGAAATGATACCAACATGTTTATGTTTAGAAAATATCTTTGGTTTTTCATTTCTAAATGAGCCCAAATGGTCTAGTGCCGTTTTCTCCTCCACTCGTGATGATATATGAGATGTTGCCAGGTGCATGTGAAGCGTTCTGGGTGTGGCCTGTCTGCCTGAGGCTGACTGGCCTATCACTGTGTCCCTGTGCTGCTTTGCCACGCCTGTGACACTCCATCTTCCCTGTGCACGCGCCTTCTCCCCATCCAGGCATTCAGGATACAGTGGAGTCTCTGCAACAGGGTGACTTTTTTTTTGTCTCCAACACCTGTGACCATCTTTTTAATTTTGTTAAACTGAAGGAAACCGACTTGATGAGAGTAACATCAAACTCCCCCCAAAACACGAAATTAGCCTCTCTCTGCAAGATGAAATAAGAAGTGCCCTGAATGACGAGAGAAAGCATGCTAGGGTCTCTGCCTAACTGATCACTCAGGTAAGATCCTAACTGCCCAGGAACGGTGTCCTCAAAGCCCCAGCTGGGCCCACCTGCCCCACTCCAGCCACAGGACCTGGCTCTGTGAACCCGTCACTCCCGTTTTCACCCCCACCTCTCTGCTAGTGACTTCCTCATCTGTGACCTGCCCGTTTGTCCCATGCTGACCCAGCAGAACCCTTTCTTGACCTCATGACTCCTCTTTCATCCAGACCTTCCAGAAAGCTTCACCCTCCCCATCCCATCCCCATCATGTCTGCCCCTGTCATCCAGATGGGGGTCTCCGAGCCACCGAGCCCCTGGTAGCCACATTGCCCCCACCCTGCTCTCAGCATTTCCCCAGTGTGTAGCATGTCACTAGAAAGAAGTGGGAGGACGGACTCATGGTGAGTCTTGTGGGGACATGTTTGCTGGAGGCTAACCAGCCTGATCATGACATCTTCATCTTAAATTTGAAAATTGTCATCAGGTTACGGTGAAATCCTACCGGATCAACATCTGAGACCAGGCTTATGGAAGTGAGCTTCCAACCTGAATGCTTGAGGCTGAGGGGGTGTTGGCGGCCTCGATAACAACCTGAACAACAGCTGGCAGCAGGGAGTGCCTGGGCCATGTGTCCCCAGAGCACTGACCTGGGTGGTCCAGTCTCCTGTCTCGAGCTCCAGCCATGAGCTTACACGGCCTTCACACTCCCCCCAAAACCAGCCATTCTCAACCAGCGAGGCCTCTGTGTCTGCAAGGCCAGTTTTATTTCTTCTTTGATATTTCTGCTTCTGTGTCCTTTCCCCGCTGCCCAAAAGCTGCCTCCCGTCTGCCCATGCAGAGCTGTATTACCCAACAACACCCAGCTCGACTCGGACAGCACCCAGCTCAACTCGGACAGGCCCCGGGAAAGTAAGAGCTTGGGGGGAGACCCACAGGCCCACACGGCAGCACTGCGAGGCTAGACCGTAAACATGGGTCAATTGAATATTTATAAACAGGATACTTAAAGGTTCTTGGGATATTGAACAATGAAAGAAATTGTACTATTTGAAAATTCTATTTCACATGAAAATGTAAAATTTCAGCATATCAGAAAGCATCGTGAACAAATTTGAAAGCCAAGCAAAACTGGGAAAAATATTTGGATAAAAAAATCCTAACACTGGTACATAATACATAATAGGCAGTTCATATGTATTTTTTGTATGAATGAAACTTACAATACTTTTATTAATGTCATGGGAACTTATAAAAACTGCATGGAGATATTTTAAAGAAAAAATTTTGAAACCCATTTTGGTTTTCTTTATAATTCCTTCAGTTCAGCCCATTCCTGTAACCACGTGCTCATCCCCACAGGACTAGGCAGTGCCCACCCTTGGTGCCCTGCAGTGCACCGCAAGGACATGGCCGTGGCCTGGAGCCGCGTCCCTGAGTTCCTGGTGGGCCGCGTGAGTCTCCCTGTTCCTCCCTGCTGCCTTCTCCTCTCCTGGCTTCCCCACCCCATACTTCCCTGATGATATGGTTTGGCTGTGTCCCCACCCAAATCTCATTTTGAATTGTAATCGTCATGGGTTGACCGAGGGAGGTGATTGGATCATGGGGGCAGATGTCCCCCAGGCTGTTCTCATGATAGTGAGTTCTCACAAGGTCTGACGGTTTTAAAAGTGGCAGTTTGTTCTCGCGCTCTCGCTTCTCCATCCTGCTGCCTTGTGAATAAGGATGTGTCTGCTTCCCCTTCTGCCGTGATTGTGTTTCCTGAGGTCTCCCCAGCCATGGAGAACTGCAAGTCAATTAAACCTGTTTCCTTTATAAATTACCCAGTCTTGGGGAAGGCGTGAGAACAGACAAACATGCCTGAGTCCCCGAGTCTGTGATGCTCCTCATTCTTCAGCACGGCCTGTGCCCGGGACGGGGCGCTCCTCCAGTGCAGAGCTCACACCATGACTGTGGTGTCCTTCAAATAACACTGCTGCTGCCAGCTTCCCAGGGACTCTTCTCCTGTGTGATTCCAGTGCCTTGCCTATGTCCCTGCTAATCTTCTGGAGTTTAGGGGTCCGTGCGAAGCCCACCCCACCTGAGTCCTTTCATCCTGGGTGCCTTCACCTCCGTCCAGGACTCCGGGGTTGCAGCCACACATGCTCATGTCACCGTGAGGCCCAGCCCTCCAGGGCCTGAGATGTACAGATGCTATCCCCCTGGGCACCCAGTGTTTCCCCTTCCTCCCTGTCTGCCTTTTGCTCAATCTCTCAGCGCCCTCAGGAAGCCCTTTCACAGCTCAGCAGGGAAACCTCTGGGCTCCTCCCCCTCCAGCAAGTCACCTGGAAGCTCTCAGGCTGGCCATGGAAAGCTGAACCCACTGCCAGGGGACTGGACAGAGAGGCTGGTCTCATTTTCCAATCCCTTCCAGAAGGAAGGAGGATGCTTCTCCTGAGAGCAGCGACAGGTTTGTGTCCTGTGACCTCTGCCTTCCCTCGCCCGGGGGAGGGTGATGGGGCGTCTTTTTGGCTTTGGTTTAAGTAGCAAAAGAGATGGAGTGTTCAAAGGATTGAGGGGTCGGCCGAGGGTGGGGCTTCTCAGTGAGGGGCGGGTCCTCTGGGCGTCATGAGGGCCTGGGGAGAGGACCCTGACCCACTGCCAGGGAGCTGTGCCAGAGGTTCCCATGGGACATGGAAGGGGAACCGACATCCGTTTCTGCACTGGGGTGTGGACACCTGGCCCCACACCACCTAGGTTCCCCCACAGGGGCCTGAAGACTGGAGGTTCTCTCCAGAATGTTCTGGTTTGATTCTGAGAGCAGGAGAGACACCCATAAAAATGATTGGGGTTAAATTTCTGGCCAGGTAGATGGGAACTCACAGCCAAAATTTAATTAAGGAGAATAAACAATTGTGCCACGCCATGCATCCAAGTCCGGCAGGGCAAATCCACACCCGCTACTCACTGAGCTTCCCCTGGGCCGGAATGCTCCCCCTACATTTGCAAGAACAAAGCCTCCTTCCTGTAGAAAAGAAAACAAAAGTAAAATAAAAAAGAACAAAGCCATTGGGCTTGGGTTTCCTCTTTCCAATCAATCGATCGGTCATCGTCAACACTTTGGTTTTTTGTTGTTGTTTGTTCGTTTTTTTGAGATGGGGTCTCGCTCAGTCACCCAGGCTGGAATGTGATGGTGCGATCTCGGCTCACTGCAACCTCCGCCTCCCGGGATCAAGCGATTCTCCTGCCTCAGCCTCCAAAGTAGCTGGGATTACAGGCTACCACCATCATACCCGGCTACTTTTTGTATTTTTGTAGAGACGGGGTTTCACCATGTTGGCCAGGCAGGTCTTGAACTCCTGACCTCAGGTGATCTGCCCGCCTCGGCCTCCCAAAGTGCTGGGATTACAGGCATGAGCCACCGTGCCTGGCGTCGTCAACGCTTTGAAAAGGTATGATGAAATCGGGCCACCTGTGATTTTTACCAGTTGAGCATGAAGAAGCGAACCCCTGAGCATGAGCTGGGCAAAAGTGAGTGGTGAAAACATGGTGAAGAGCTAGGGCTTTTCAGGAAAGAAGAGGAGACTCACTGGGCTCCCTAAAGTCATCAAGAATTTGGGCATCAGATTATCAGAAGTTAAAATTTATTTTCACCTATAATCCAGGGGGTTGGGACAGAGAGGTGTGGCTTCCTCCCAGAACTGTGACTTTACCTCATGAACTTCCACAAGGCAAGGGGCTGCAGGACTGTCCTCTAGACGCTCCGGGTGAGCCAAGACAGGAGACCTGACATCAGCTCACCTTGGGGAATGACACCCCCGGAGACAACCCACCCTTTCACAGAACTTCCAGTGAGCATTTTAGCATCTTAACTCTTCCATGTGAATGAACAAGGCTTGCTGCTCCCCAGGCTCATGCCTCTGAAGTCCCAGTGCTTTTGGAGGCTCAGGCAGATGTATCGCTTGAGCCCAGGAGTTTGAGACCAGGCTGGGCAACATGATGAGACCTTGTTTCTATGAAAAACACAAAAATTAGGTGGGTGTGGTGGTGCTCAGGTAGTCTCAGCTACTCAGGAGGTGGGAGGATGGCCTGAGCCCGGAAAATCGAGGCTACAGTGAGCCATCATCATGCCACCGCACTCCAACCTGAGCAACAGAGTGAGACCTGTCTCAAAAAAGAATGTATATATATATATATATATATATATATGGATATGAGTGAACAACCTCCACCTAGGGCTTTCCTAAAGGTAAGACCAAAGCAGAAGAATGAAAACAGAGAATTCAGGAAGCAGAAAAAAATGTCATGGAAAATGTTTTAAAAACCTATCATTAGGCCAGGCGCAGTGACTCACGCCTAGCACATTGGGAGGCTGAGGTGGGCGGATTGCCTGAGCTCAGGAGTTCAAGACCAGCCTGGGCCACATGGTGAAACCCTGTCTCTACTAAAACTACAAAAAAAAAAAAAAAAAGCCAGGTGTGTGGCCCGGCATAGTGGCACCCAACTGTAGTCCCAGCTACTCGGGAGGCTGAGGCATGAGAATCGCTTGAACCTGGGAGACAGAGGTTGCAGTGAGCGAGATCACACCACTGCACTCCAGCCTGGGCGACAAAGCGAGAGTCTGTCTCCAAGAAAAAAGAACAATAAATAAATAAAATAAAAACTTACCATTAATACACTGTCAGGGATAGTACATCCATAAAATAAGAACAGAATATCATGAAAAATGATCAAGAAAAAAATCTCTTTGAAATGAAAAAAAAAAAATTACCAAGATAAAAACGCTCAGGGGAGATGGAAGAGACGGTGGAACCTAGGAGCTTGGCGAATGCTCCTGAGACCTGGGTTCTTTCCCAGGTGGCTTCTGGCAGCTCTGTCCCTGGTGTCTTTGGTTCTCTTTTTCTGGACCCTCTTTTGGCTGGATGATGGACTGCCTGGTTTGATCCTCTAATTTGCTTACATTTTCCCTGCCATTTTCCATTTCTTTGTCTCAGTCATATGGGCACCACAGATACCCACACAGTAAATGAAAAAAGTCCCCTACAAATCACATCATCACAAAATTTCAGAACACTGAATAAAGTTCTAAATAGCTTTCAGAAAGAAACTAAATCAGCTCTCAGGCAAAGGGACAGAGATAAAAAGGCCTTGGGCTTCTCAACAACACGAAAGCAGTAGAGTGAAGCTGTTGAGATTCCCAAGGAAAATGAATTCCACCTAGGATCCAATACCTGGAGAATGAGCCGTGAAGAGCATAATAAAGATGTCTTCAGAGTCATGAGCCCCTCCTCTGGAAGCTGCTGTAGAAAATGTTTCAAAACCAAGAAAGATGGCTTGGGGTCCAGCACACAGAGCACCACCCTGAGGGGATTCCAAGCAGAGTTCTGGGACAAGAGCTGCCCACCTGGGGAGAGAGCAGCTGGTCAGCTTGGAGGAAGGGAGCTCTCCAGGAAACAAACCACTGGTCCTCTACCTACACAGGTGTGTGTGTGTGCAGGTGTGTGTGCACAGGTATGTGTAGGTGTGTGGGTGTACAGGTGTGTGTACAGGTGTGTGTGTACAGTTGTGCATGGGTGGACGTGCGTGCACAGGTGAGTATGTGCAGATGTGTGTAGGTGTGCGTGTACAGGTGGGCATGCTAGCACAGGTGTATGGGATGTGTGTGTGCACATGTGTGTAGGGGTGTATGTGTAAGTGCACATGCACAGGTGTTTGCATGTGTGCGTGTGTGCAGGTGTGTGTGCACAGGTGTGTCCAGGTATGTGTGTGTGCAAGTGTAATGTCCCTCATGTGGGTGGGGTTGTGTGCGTGGGTGTGTGTGCACAGGTGTGTGTAGATGTGGGGGGTGTGTAGGTGTGTGTGCATGTATGTAGGTGTGTGTCCAGGGGTAATGTCCCCGTGTGTGGGTGTGGATGTGTAGATGTGTATGTAGGTGTGTGTGCAGTTGTTTGTAGGTATGTGTGTGCACAAGCATGTACACATTTGCATTTACTTGGAGAGGGGCCATAGCTTTCATCAGATTTACTACAGGACCAGAAAGCTCAAGAACAAGTCTCATGAAAGGTTCTCCAACAGCTTTTTGAGGCATTATTCCCAGCCCAGCCGTAACCTTTGTGTAAGGGAATGACGGGGCCCACGTTTCCGCCGGGGTATTAGAAGCAAAGCCCTAGTCAGGCATTTGCCTGTGAACTTAAAGTGACCACACCCTGTTCCCCTATATATTTATAGTACTAGTTGCTCGCTCTCTCTCTCTCTCTCTCTCTCTCTCTCTCTCTCTCTCTCTCTCTCTCTCTCCCTCTCTCCCTCTCTCCCTCTCTCCCTCTCTCCCTCTCTCCCTCTCTCCCTCTCTCCCTCTCTCCCTCTCTCCCTCTCTCTCTCTCTCTCTCTCTCTCTCTCTCTCCCTCTCTCTCTCTCTCTCTCTCTCTGCCTGGTGGGACCCAGGGATGGAAGACAGCCCTCCTGACTCATCGACCCCTCCCTACGCAGGATCTGTGAGTGAGTCTTTGTAGGTGTATGTATTCAGATGCACACGTATAGGTGTGTGTGTGCAGGTGTGTGTGCAGCTGTACATGTGTGGGGGCCGGGTTGAATTTCCATCTTCCGCTAGAAGAACTAGGGGTTGCCCAGGCTGTTTCCCTGGTTCCCAGTGGGCGGGGGAAACATAAGAGTGGGCTCCAGCCCTAGGGCAATGGTCAGGCTGGCAAATCCTGGACACGGGTCAGACACGAGCCTCAGGGCATCTGCCACTGCAAGCAAGTTTCCCATGTGAGTGACCCCAGGCACACAATGGACAACCAGGCATTAGGCCATCCATCAGGTAAGAGAAGCATCCCATAGAAGGCGCATGGTAAACATCACATCTGGCCCGTGCATTTCCCCAGAGGGCAGGGTTGCCACCCACTCTGGTACTGGAACCCCAGTTTAGCAGGGGGCTCCCAAAACAACTTGGCATAAAGAACAATCTGAAAGCACGCAGCCTCAGGGAGAGCAGGCCCTCACCCACTTCTTAGTCCTGCAGTGTGTGAAACAGTGACAGAGCATTCTGAAGAGATCCCTTAGGCCACGTGTTGTTCCCATGGTGTGAACACATTTAGGAGGACTTGGTGCTACGTGGCACAGCCTGCATCAGCTAGCAGAGAGGCTCTCAGATTGGAGAGGACAGAAGAATCATCACGAGAGGGCTTCTCAAAACACAGTTGATGGGCAAACCCAGAGGTCTGGGTTGGGCCTGAGAATGTGCATTTCCGACAAATATTCAGGCATTGCTGTTGCTGCTGGCCTGGGACCCTGTCATGAGGAGCACGGATCTGCACAGTTGTCCCTCATTACATGTTTGCTGATTGACTGAATGAGTGAATCCAGGCAGTGAGAATAATGGCACTCAGAGGAGGGGCCCAAGGAACAGAGTTGGGAGTGGTTGCTGTGCTGTGATCCCTTGAAGGTTGGTTTAGAGGCTTGTTTCTCAAACAGCACCCTCTCAGTGGAGAGGAAATTCAATTTGGAAGATGATGACTGCCATTAGAAAGGGAAGTGGAACAGAGTAGAGGGTGAGGGTGCACCATCTCATGAAGCTTTGGTTCCATTTTACACCTACTTCTCACTCGTGTGTGTTTGTGTGTGCTGATGAGGCAAAAAGTAGCTTCTCACTGAGGCAGTCAAGAAAGTCTGAAGCCACCAGGTGTAATGTCACTGAGGAAAGAAGGCCCAAATGGCAGGGGCAGGAAACAGGCCGCCCGGCGTGGTCAGTGACCAGAGGGCTGCGAAATGAAGTCCTGAGAACCCAGGGCTGGGGATGGGGCTGTGGCTCTCTTTCCGTGGGTGTGTAACTGGAATCTTTCCTTTCACAATCTAACTAGATTATTCCATGATCTATGAATAAGATGAAGTGTGGCCCAGAGAAACAGACCCAAGAACTAGAGGCAAGGGGAGTACGAGGGGCTGTGAGGAAATAATTGAAAAGGGATACATGTAGCTGTTGTCTATGTGAAGGATTACAAAAAAAGGGTGTCACTGGCAGGTGCGGTGGCTCACGCCTGTCATCCCAGCATTTTGGGAGGCCGAGGCGGGCAGATCACGAGGTCAGGAGATCGAGACCATCCTGGCTAACATGGTGAAAACCCATCTGTACTAAAAATACAAAAAATTAGCCAGGCGTGGTGGCACCGCCTGTAGTCACAGCTACTCGGGAGCCTGAGGCAGGAGAATCACTTGAACTTGGGAGGCAGAGGTTGCAGTGAGTCGAGACTGCGGCAGTGCACTCCAGCCTGGGAGACAGAGCGAGACTCCATCTCAAAAAGAAAAAAAAAAGGGTGGGGTGAAGGGGGGCATCACTGTTTCAAATTTAAAGGTTGATAAAGGGGGTGATTTATCACTGAAGTCTCTCCGCTGCTTCAGTGGTCTGGGGTGAGACGTGCCTACGAGCCAATGTGTCCATAAGCCGATGTGTCCCAGCAGGTGTCACCTGCACCCCGTGGGAAAAGAGCACATTTCTGGGGGGCTTTCTCTCTAAGCCCATGCTCGCTTCAGGTGTCAGTGTTGGCTTGCGCCCCCTGAGCACACGCAGGTCTGGACGGGGTCGCGGGTCTGGACAGGGTCGTGGGTCTGGATGGGGTCGCAGGTCTGGATGGGGTCACGGGTCTGGACGGGGTCGCAGGTCTGGACGGGGTCGCAGGTCTGGACGGGGTCGCACAGCTTTGGACCGGGTCGAGGGTCTGGACGGGGTCGCGGGTCTGGACGGGGTCACGGGTCTGGACGGGGTCGCAGGTCTGGACGGGGTCGCAGGTCTGGACGGGGTCGCACAGCTTTGGACCGGGTCGAGGGTCTGGATGGGGTCACGGGTCTGGACGGGGTCGCAGGTCTGGACGGGGTCGCAGGTCTGGATGGGGTCGCACAGCTTTGGACCGGGTCGCGGGTCTGGACGGGGTCGCGGGTCTGGACGGGGTTGCACAGGTCTGGATGGGGTCGCACAGGTCTGGACGGGGTCGCGAAGGTCTGGACAGGGTCGTGGGTCTGGACAGGGTCGCAGGTCTGGACGGGGTTGCGCAGGTTTTGAGATGGGCATTTCCTCCCCCAGCATCTCAGGGTGTTCTTGGCAGCCCCTACCCCAGGACAAACCTAGTTTCCTGTGTTCCTGGTGTTTGTTTTACAAAAGCCTAAGCAGCAGGAACATTTGCAGACTCTGCTGAGAGGGCGAAAGGGGAGGCAGGCATGCAATGTAGGCAGAAGCTGGGAGGGGCTGGACAAAGCTTCTCAGACTTCAGAGTTGGGACCGGAGGGCAAGAGAAGGGCCCAGCTGCCAGGACGTGGTAGCTTCACAGAGGGCAGGGCCTCAGGACACTGGCCACTGCTGCCACATCCCGGGCACAGGGAGACAGCCCAAGGACAGACAGACGGGTCCCACGGGCCTGTGGGTGGGTGGCATACAGAAAGTGAGCCAGCTGCAGAAGCCAGAGAGCACTTCCTACCCAGCCGAACGGCGGCCAAGACCCCGCTGCTCACCAAGACGTGGCCTTGTGAGTCGGTCCTGGACGCCGGGGCTGACTAGCATGACGGTTTGCAAGGGAGGAAATGGTGGCCCTGGAGGTCCAGTTGTTCACTCAAGGCTGCTCAACAGGACAGTGACATTCACAGAGAAAGCCCTGTAATAGGGCTGCCCACCTTTCACACACTGAAAGCTGACTTGAGAGGCTGTTTTCTTCACTGTATTGATGGACAGCTTTGAGTTGGTGTTGGTCATGGCCATCTTCCCTCAACACTTTAATTGAAATGTGAAGTTACAGAATAAGAGGTCAAAGGCACCCTGGGGACTGCATGGGCACCTCATCCATGGGTAAGGCTCTGGGCCGGGGTTCACATCCTGAAAACCTGCGTTCAGGAGTCTGTTTCTCACTCGAGGGGACTTTGGTGTCTCCAGAGATGTTCACTGCGCTTTGTTCTCAGAAGGGCTGCTCTGAATCTCACGAAGGGAGTGAAGGGTCAAGGCATGTGAATGGCAGTGAGAGCCCCCTACGTGGACAGGGCCTTCTGTCCACAGAGTGGCAGAGAAGAGTTTGTTCCTGGAAGAGCTCCACCCCTGGAGCTGCAAGGCTGGGGCCCAGGCGCGCTACAGCTACAAGCTTCATCACAGCTCCCTCTGCTTAGGCTGTCACTGGCTCACGGTCACACAACCAGGAAGGAGTGTCAAGCACCCACCACGTAGCGCCCACTCCACGTCCCTCCTATCCTGCCCTCGGTTTCAGAGGCTCAGTTGCAGACCACAGAATCCCCACCAGCAGGTGGAAGCAGATTGAGTTTTACTCAGAGATAAAGACCGATGGTCTCCCCATCTGGGCTGAGAGCCGGTGGACGTCACTGCCAGGGATGATGCGGCAGGAGAGGTGCCCAAGCACGAGCAACACTGGCACTGGGCCCCAGGAGCTTCTCTACAGTCCACACAATGTCTAAAGGCTTTCCCGAAGGCCCAGGCCACTCCCGTGTGGCTGCACCTCTCGTTGGCCAATTCTGCCCCCCAGCTTCATGCAGATAAAGCAGTGTGTGGAACCCAGGTCGCAGGTGAAGGCCCAGCTGTGAGGGCCTCTGGCAAAGGGTGATCATACTGCCTGGGCTTTGTGGTGCAGAGGGGATCTGAGGACAGGCAGACTGGGTTTGGATTGATTCGATATGCCAGCCTGCCTGGAACTGTTAGAAGAAAAACTTTGGACTTCGTTCTACATTCAAAACAAGGTGGATGAGGGGGAAACATCCAGGGCCCCAGTGTGGTGTTATGCAGAATCCATGTGGTGCGGTTCTACTCTGTTTGTGGAGAGAGCATGTGTGTGTTTGCAGAGGGCTTGTAGGGCTACTCTGCCTCCCTGCCCGAGCTGACCCCAGGACAAGTAATCTGGGGAGTGGTCCCAGAGACACTGCCAGTGAGGCTGGAGAGGGCCCCGGTGTGGCATAGGTTCCCCGGGTGTGGGGGCTGAGCCTCTTCCCCTCCCGGCAGTCCTGGTGCCAGGCTCCACAAGGCAAAGATGCTCCGCGTGCCTGTGGGTGGTCCCGCAATGAGCTCTGTGGCTGCCAGATGCACCTCCCCTCCAAGGCCTCTGCTGCCTCCCAGTGGCTCACTTTGTTTGTGGCACTGCAAACCGAATCCTGTTAAAAAGCATAGTTAGAAGGCAGCACCATGCTCCTCACTCTTGAAAGCCGGCGGGTGGACCAAGTCTCTACCTTGAAATCCCAGTCACCGTGCTCAAAATTAACAAGTTGTCCAGTGACCTGATTCTGGGATTGCCACGCTGAGAGGTCGCGTTGTCTTCAAGCAAATACAAGAAAGCAAGTCTCAAGGAAAGCAGGTTTTGTTTCTAGAACATCAGAGGGACCCAAGCATGTACCACATTAGGCTTTTTAAACCCACATTCTACCCAGGGCTAGGTCAGCGAAGAAGGGCTTTCAATACTGAGGAAGCTCTCGGCTCCTCATTAGTCACTGAGATGACATTGTAACCATGGGAAGTCTGGGCCTTACCTCACTGCGTCCATCCCTGCCCAGTTACACCCCACTCCCACACTGCAAGCGGGGGCTTTAAACTGTAAATCTGTCAATGTCATTCCCTGAGATGACATAGGGGCCAACCTTGGGTCGTGTGAGCAACAAGATGCACAATGGCCGTGCTGATTGCAAACTGTAGAATAAAATAAATGCATGCAAGCTCACACTGCTGTCGTCACTGACCATGTCAACACGCAAACGGGGAAGAAGGACCCACTGCTCTTCCCTGCAGGAGAACCTCGATGGATAAATGCCAGAGGAAAGGGGGAAACAGAAAATCACCACGAGGCAAAGTCCACGGAACTGATTGCCGCTGACAAGACCCCCATGGATGCCAAAATCAGAGAAGTTCCAGGAGAATCAGGATTTGGTCTCCCAGTGTCTCCAGGACGATTATCCCCTACAGAGGAAGGACGGCAATTTGACCAGGAGACTCGGCAGACACCACCTGGACCTGTAGTTGGACACATCAGCTCAGGAGCCACTGAGAGACAGCCTTACCTCCACAGGATGCTTGCCAAATGGGCTTGACTTCATACAGTCCTGAGAACACGAGACAGCAAAATCCATGCCCAGGCCCCAGGACAAGGATGGTTAGGGCTGACACAGGGTCTGGCTCTGTCACCCAGGCTGGAGTGCAGTGGTACAATCATGACTCACTGCAGCCTCCAGCTCCTGGGCTCAAGCGATCCTCCCCACTCAAGTAGCTGGGACCACAGGCGCACACCACCACACCCGGGTAATTTGATTTTATTTTTTGGAGAGATGAGACCTCATTGTGTTGCCCAGGCTGGTCTTGAACTCCTGGGCTCAAGTGATCCTCCTGCCTTGCTCTCCCAAAATTGTGGGATTACAGGCATGGGCCACGGTGTCACACTGGGTGCTGGGTTTAATATCTGTGTCGTGGCCATGCTGGACACGGATATGAGGGAAGCCAGGGAGGATTATGTGGGAACTCTGGGTACTATTTCTGCAACTTTTTAGTAAGTCTCAAATTCATTCAAAACAAAAAGTTAAAAACAACAACAACAAAGAGCCATCCACTTGCCCCAAACTCTTCCTCAGCTCCCACTCACTCTGAAGATAAATTTCAGAGTCCTCCATCAAACTTAAAGAACTTCTCGCCAATTCCCTCCGGTCCACACGACCCCAGCTGTCTCTCTCCACTCATCCCTGAGATCTTAAATCCACGACACTTTCTTGGATCAACTTTCCCGACAACAACATTGCGAGGTCTCTCTCTGTGGCATTTTTGTAGCTCCTAACACCTCCTCCGCAGCACTTACCACGTCTGCAGTTAACTCAGAGCCTGAGAGATCCACCCCTCAGATCATCCGCAAAGACCCACAAGTGCTTCCCTCGGCCCCACAGACCCTTTCCACAGACCGAGAGACACTTCCCACAGACCCCCCCAACATATCCACAGACCCGAAGCCGTCCCCTCAGACCCACAGACCCTTCCCACAGACTCGGAGACCTTCCCCTCAGACCCATAACCTCCCCACCCCACAGACCTTCCCCACAGACCCACGGACTATCCCTACCTTCAGACCCTCCCCTCAGACCCGCAGACCCTCCCCAACCCACAGCCACTTCCCATAGATCCACAGACCCTCCCCTCCCTTCAAACCCTCCTCTTCCTTCAGATGCTCCCCTCAAACTATCCTCAGGCCCTCCCTTCATACCCACAGACCTTTCTGTCAGACCCTCCTCTCAGACCCACGGACCCTCCCGTCAGACCTGCAGCCGCTCCCCTCGAGCCTCAGACCATCCCCTCAGATGAAGGGACCCTCCCAACAGACCCCCAGATACACCCCTCAGACCCTCCCCTCGGGCCCTCAGCCCCTCTTCTCCAAACCCCACACCCTCCACTCAAACCCACAGACCCGCCCCTCAGACCCATGGACCCTCCTTTCAGACCCACACACCTTCCCATCAGATCCTCACACCCTCAGACCCTCCCCTCGGACGCTCAGACCCTCTTCTCAGGCCCTCGTAACCTCTCCTCAGACCCATAGACTCTCTGCTCAGAGCCTTGGACCCTCTTCTTAGACCCTCAAACCCCACACTCAGACCCTGAGACCCTCCTCTCAGAACACAGACCCGCCCCTCAGACCCTCCCCTTCCTCTCAGACCCGCAGACTCTCTCCCCTCAGACCCACAGATGCTCCGCTCAGACCCACAGATGCTCCGCTCAGACCCTCAGACACTCCCCTCAGACCCACAGACCCTCCCCTCAGACCCACAGACCGTCCCCTCAGACACACAGACCCTCCTCTCAGAACACAGACCCGCCCCTCAGACCCTCCCCTTCCTCTCAGACCCGCAGACTCTCTCCCCTCAGACCCACAGATGCTCCGCTCAGACCCTCAGACCCTCCTCACAGACCCTCCGACCCTCCCCTCTGACATTCCCCTCAGACCTATAGACCCTCCTCTCCAACCCTCGTACCCTCAGACCCTCGGCTCAGACCCACAGATCCTCTTCTACACCCTCAGAGCCTCCGCTCACACCCTCAGACTCTCCCTTCAGACCCTCAATCTTCCTCTCAGACCCAACGACCCTCCTCCCAGACCCTCAGACCGCCCCCCTCAGACCCTCAGACCCTGAGACCCTTCCCTCAGACCCTCCCAAGACACCCGCAGACCCTCCCCTCAGATGCTCCCCTCAGACCCTTGGACGCTCCTCTCAGACCCACAGACCGTCCCCTCAGACACACAGAGCCTCCCCTCAGACGCAGAGACCCTCCTCTCAGACCCCCCAACCCTTCCCTCAGACCCTCAGACCTTCTTCTCAGACCCTCAGTCTGTCCTCTCAGACCCTCCCCTCAGACCCTCAGACCGTCCCCTCACACTTTCCCCTCAGACCCTCATACTCAGGTGGGCAGAGCTTCTGCCAGTGTAGATCATGGTGCCGTCTTCCCGCGCGGCACTGCTGTCGTCCTGGTCTTCCGAGGGCGTCTTTCTGTCCGTGGCTTTCCGGCAGGGCCCTCACCTCTTCCGGTGCGCACTGCTCAGCCCTTCGCGGCTCAGGCCTGACTGAAAGCACCCGTGGTCCCTGAGCCTCGTGTGCGCTTGTCAGCAGAGCCTGTTTTGTCCTCAGTCTGTCTGGTCTGAGCTGGCGTGGACATTTGCTCTCTGGGTGCATCACAGAGACCTGCAGGGCCCTGGCGCTCAGAAGCCAGCGTGAGGTTCTAGGTCTGGGGCCGGGGCGGGCGACAGCGGGGCTCGGAGCCACCGCCACAGCCCTGCCCGACGTAGGTAATTCACCCCTTTAATAACCAGAAGACGGAAAGAAGGAAAAGGTGCAGGCCAGAGGGAACCCGAATTCCCTGTTGAGTGCGACTTTCTTTCTTTTTGCGGTCCGGTTTCTGGTCAGTGTCCTGAGGACATTATGCCATGCAGGGCGGTTCCGAATTGCCTGGGCCCAGCCTGGTGTTGCCACGGTCCCCACCCCACTCTGCAGCCCTGTCTGATCCTGACCCAGTTTTCTTGCCCACCCCTGAGGCTCAAACACTGTGATTTGAGCTCAGACAAGGTGAGTCTCAGGTTTTGAGTGAGAATGTTTCTTTTAAACGTTGGTTTGATAATTTTCTATAAAAGGCTGAACCCTGAATTGTTTCTTTTTCAGCCTGTACCAAAACGTCAGGTGGTCTCCTCCGGCCGTGCCTATCACCACCAGCCTGTGTCTCCCTGTGAAATATGGTCTGGTTCCATCATGGATTTATTTTCCCGCCTCCCAGTAGGACAGATCTCAGCTCTTTAGGCCGACAACCCCTGACAGCAACTCAGCCACCTCCTGCCCTCACCCTTGGAGCCCTGTCTACTGATGGCTCACTTGGAGCCTGGCTTGGGGTGACCTCTGTGCCAGGGTGTGCGGTCATTTCCCTGGATTCTTGTTAGAGTCCTCATCTGCCCAAGGAGATGATGACCCTGAGCTACTAAGAACAGGCTTCCTTCATGTCAGGACACAGAGACAAACATGCGCACCACGTAAGGGAAGGGAAGATGGTAAAGAGAAATTGGTGAACAAATGCCGCGGCCAGGCAGGTGGCGCGAATGAGCTGAGTGTGGCATCAGAGGGGTGGGAACTTGGTGCCGCTCAGCCTTGGCAGGCAGCTGCTAAGTAGGAATGCACAAACACTGGCCAGATCATCTGATTTTTAAAAAGCCAGAAATATGGACTTCTGTATAAAATTTTGTGATTTTTAAATGTTGGCAATGTTCTTTGCTTTTTTTCTTTTTAATCCTGGGTAGGGTAAACCACCAGTTTCCGACTTCTGTACTAAAACATGTTCTCTAGATTTTTTTTTTTTTTTTTTTTTTGAGACGGAGTCTTGCTCTGTCGCCCAGGCTGGAGTGCAGTGGTGCGATCGCGGCTCACTGCAAGCTCCGCCTCCTGGGTTGACGCCATTCTCCTGCCTCAGCCTCTGGAGTAGCTGGGACTACAGGCGCCCGCCAAGACGCCCGGCTAATTTTTTGTATTTTTAGTAGTGACGGGGTTTCACCGTGTTAGCCAGGATGGTCTCGATCTCCTGACCTCGTGATCCGCCTGCCTCAGCCTCCCAAAGTGCTGGGATTACAGGCGTGAGCCACTGTGCCTGGCCCCATGTTCTCTAGATTTTTAAAACTAAGATTTTGTTTTATATATTTATATGGAAATACAGAAAAATGCCAGAAAAAGTGCCTATAATTTTCACTGTTAACAAAATTATATAAAGTAAGAAGTAAAAGTAGCTGTAAGATCCCCTTCACTTCTCCGGTTTGCTGACGTGTGGTAGAGGAGAGGCCATACAGGTGAAGGTCTGTATGCGGCGGTCAGGTGAGCCCTGGAAGTGGGCAGGATTTGGAAGGACTGACAATGAGGAGAGCTTGCCCTCAGGTAGGAAGACAGGGTTGATCCTTATCTTTGTTTCAGTGGCAGCTGCACTCTTGCATGCATGGTCCAGTTCTATCTCCTGTCTTATATGTCCATGGAACATAACAAATCCTAGTGTAACCACAGCCCTACCCAAGAACATGATGAGACACAACTCCCTAAGTTTTCCCCCCGAAAGTAACCAAAGAACTACTCTGACTTTGACACTTGTTATCCTTTCTAGCTTGTCTCTTTTCTTATATACATACATATATACATAAATATATATATATATATATATATATATTATGCATACATGAGTTTTGTCTTTTTGTTTTTAAACTTTATAAGAAGGATATGATATATGTGGGCGTTAGGGACATTTTACTTCATTCATTCTCACTTGTTACCCTATTGTGGGAATACTCCTCACTTTGCTTATCTGGTGTCCTACAGTTGAACATTTGAGCTGCCTTCTGCTTTTTTGTTAGCGTAAACATTGATGCTGAGCATGATCCCTGGGACAGGTCCTGAATGTGGAATTGTTGGGTAGCAGGGTGTGCAAATATTCAACCTAATAGGATTGTGCCAAATTATTTTCAAAAGTGGCTGTATCAACTCACACTCCTACTGGCCATGTGTAAGAGATGTAATTGGCCCACAGCCTTCCCAGTATTTGCTATTGTCAGACTTCTTAAAGTTTGCCTGTCATATGGGCATAAAATGATTTCTGATTGTGGTCTTGATCTGTAGCTCCCTGATAATTAATGAGACCAAGAATCTTTTCATGTGTATACATATTGGCCCATCGACAACACTGACTCTTCTGAGCCGTGAACAGCATATACCTTTATGTATTTAGTTCTTCTGTCTTTCAGTTGTATTTTATAGTATTGTGTTGTACGCATTTTTCATTAGAGTTGTTCCTTGTATTTCATATTTTGTTCTATTGTTAAATTGGATATTGGTTTGATTTCTTTTGGATTGGTTTCTTACTGTTTATTGCTGTATTGTATATGTATAGAAAGGTGCAAATATCACAAGTTTACAGCTTGATGAATTTTCATTGGACTCACCTATTTAACCTAGACCCAGATGAATAAAACACAGCTTCCCCAGCACCCTAAGACCCCCTGTGTTCTCTTCCATTTATTTCCACTCCTACTCCCACCTTCCAACCAGCAGCCTCTGTCCCAACTAGATTCATTTTGCTTGTTTGGTACTTTATAATCATGGATCCACACAAAATGTAGTCTTTTGTGTCTTGCTACTCTTGCTGAAAACAGTATTTATGAGGAACTTTACCCCATTACTGCCTGTAGTTGTGGACAGTTCATTCCATTGTGTGATTCTATCGGAATTTGTCCTGTTGTCAGGGAGCACTGTGACAGGTCCCAGTTTGGAACAATTACACACAGTGCTGCCTATAGACACTCTAGAAGATGTCTTTTGATAGACAAATGCATTGATTTCTCTTGGATATATTCCTGGGAGTGGAATTGCTGGACCATGGAGTAGTTGTATGTTTGACTTCGTTAGGGAATGTAAGTCAGTTTTTCAAAAGAATTTTAACATTTAACACTCCCACCACCAATATATGACAGTTCCACTTATGTCACGTTCTTTGCCAACACTTGATGTTGTCAATCCCTTACCTTTTAGCCATTCAGATAGGTATGAAATGGTATTTGCCTATGTTTTTAATTTGTATTTTCTGATTACTAAAGAGGCTGAGAACATTTTCACATGTTTCTTGGCCATTTGGATTTCTTCTTTACTATAGCTCAAGTCTTTTTGACAATCTTATAACTGAGTTATTTTTCTTTTATTTATTAACTTGTAGTTCTTAATTGTTCTGGATATTTCTTTGTTAGATATTTGCGTTGTAAATATTTCCCTAGTCTATTAATATTTTTTAAACTTGCTTTTGATGAGCAAGAGTTTTAAATCTTGAAAAAGTCCAAGTTATACATTTTTTCTTTTATACTTGGTGCTATTTTTGCTCTGTTTAAAAAATTCTTGCCTATCCTAAGGTCCTGTTTTCTTCAAAATATCTAATTTTTGCTTTCATAAAGCTAAAATTAATGTAATGTCATACAGTTTAATTTGGGGGGTTTGGTGTGAGGTAGAGATCAAAGTTCATTTTTTTTTTTTCCATATGAGATCCAGCTGATCCAGCACCATTTATTGAAAAGACTTTTCTTTTCCCATGAATGGTATTGATGCCTTTGTTGAAAATCAAGTAAATATAATATGTGAGTCTATTTTGGGATTTTCTATTCTGTGTCATTGGTCTCTTTAGCTATATTTATTTATCTGTATGCCATCACTACACTGTCTTAATGTGGCATTGAAATCTGGTAGTATAAATCCTTCAACATTATTGTTCTTCAAGATTGTCTTGGAATTACTGGGTCTGTTGGTATTCTACATAAAATTTCAAGTTGGGTTGTCACTGGAAAATCCCAGACTACTTGTTGATTAAACAACACGCTTGTAGATAAGACATGGGCCTGAGTAGAATTTCAAGAGAAATTTAAAAATCTTTCATTGACCTAAATGAAAATGAAAATACAACTTATCAAAATTTGTGGGGTGCAGCAAAAGCAGTGCTTAAAGGAGAACTTATGGCATTGACTGCATATATTAGAAAAGGATATCTAAAATCAATGGTCTAAGCCTCCACTTTAGTGAACTAGAAAAGTATGAGCAAATTAAATTCAAAGTAAGCAGAAAAAAGAAATAATAAGAATTAGAGCAGAAACCAATGAAATGAAAACAGGAAGACAATAGCAAAAAGCAATAAAACCGAAAGATGGTTTTTTGAAAAGATTAATAAAATCCATAAACTTCTAGCCAGGCTAAGGAAAAAACAGAGAAGACAGAAATTGCCAATATCCAAAATGAAAGAGGGGCCATTAGACCTCATATAGAACTCATGGACATTAAAGGGGTAATAAAGGCATATGACGAACAACTCTGTGCCTGCAAATTTGGTATCCTAGATGAAATGAACCAATTCCTTGGAAGACACAATCTGCCAAAACTCACACAAAAATAGACAATTTAAATAGACCTAAATCTATTAAAGAAATTGAATCAATAATGAATAACAGAAAGCACCAGGCTCAGATAGGTTCAGTGGTAAATTTTACTAAACATTTAAGGAATAAATTATACCACTTCTCTACAATCTTTTCCAGAAGATAAAAGCAGAGGAATATGTTTTAATTTATTCTGTGAGGCCAGCATTAACATAATACCAAAACTAGACAAAGACATTACAAGAAAAGAAAACTACAGACTCGTCTCTCTTATGAACATAGATGCAACAGTCTTCAATAAAATACTAGCAAATCAGACTGGATGTAGTGGCTCGCGCCTGTAATCCCAGCATTTTGGGAGGCCGAGACAGGTGGATCACCTGAGGTCAGGTGTTTGAGACCGGCCTGGCCAATGTGGTGAAACCCCATTTCTACTAAAAATACAAAAATTAGCCAGGCGTGGTGGTGGGCACCTGTAATCCCAGCTACTTGGGAGAGTGAGGCAGGAGAATCACTTGAACCCGGGAGGCAGATATTGCAGTGAGCCAAGATTGCACCATTGCACTCTAGCCTGGGAGACAAGAGTGAAACACTGTCTCAAAAACAAAACAAAACAAAACAAACAAACAAAAATACAAAAAAAAACCAAAACTAGCAAATCAAATCCAGCAATGTATAAAAATAATTATACACCATGAACAAGTGGAATTTATAACCATGACCAAGTGGTATCTATCCAGGTCTGCAAGATTGGTTCAACATTTAAAAATCAATTCGCACAGTCACATTACATTAGGAGAAAAATCACACGATCATATCAATAGATGTAGAAAAAGCATCTGACAAAATCCAACAATTATTTATGATTTAGGAAAAAAGACTCAGTAAACTAAGAATAGAGGGAAAGTTCTTCACTTGGTAAAGATATCTACAGAAAACCTACAGCTAACATCACACATAATATTTAGAAACTAGATCTTTCCTGCTAAGATCAGGATCAAGGCAAGGATGTTCCTTCTCACCAATCCTTTTCAACATTGTACTAGAAGTTCTAGCAAGTCCAAGAAGACAATAAAAGGAAATAAAATGTATACAGATTGGGAAGGAGAAAACAAAGCTTCCTTAGTTACCAGACTGCCTGATTGTGTATGTAGAAAATCCAAAAGAATTGTCAAAAACTCCTGCAACTAATAAGCAATTATAGCAAGATTGTAGGATATAACAAAAATAAATTGCTTTTCTATATGCCAGTAAAAAACAAGTGGAACTTCAAATTTAAAACACACTACTATCTACAGTAACACTAAAAAAGAATGAAGTACTTAGGTTTAAATCTAACGAAATACATACAAGATCTTTATGAGGAAAACCACAAAACTCTGGTGAAAGAACTCAAAGAAAAGCTACATAAATGAGAGACATCCCATGTTCATGGATAGAAAGACTTAATATTTTCAGAATGTCAGTTCTTCCCAACTTCATCTCTAGTATAGATTGAATGCAATCAATCTATAAACTCAACAGTAAGAAAATGAACAATTTGATTAAGAAATGGGCAACTGGGCCCGGTGGCTCACGCCTATAATCCCAGCACTTTGGGAGGCCGAGGTGGGCGGATCACGAGGTCAAGAGATCAAGACCATCCTGGCCAACATGGTGAAACCCCATCTCTACAAAAAGTACAAAAATTAGCTGGGCATGGTGGTGCACGCCTGTAGTCCCAGCTACTTGGGAGGCTGAGACAGGAGAATCACTTGAACCTGAGAGGTGGAGATTGCAGTGAGCCAAGATCCTGATCTTGCCACTGCATTCCAGCCTGGTGACACAGTGAGACTCCATCTCAAAAAAAAAAAAAAAAAAGAAAAAAGAAAAGAAAAAAAGAGAAAGAAATGGGCAAACCAGCATGGTGGCTCATGCCTGTAACCTCAGCACTTTGGGAGGCCGAAGCAGGCAGATCACCTGAGGTTGGGAGTTTGAGACCAGCCTGGCCTGGTTAAACTCCATCTCTACTGAAAACTCAAAAATTAGCTGGGTGTGGTGGCATGCACCTATACTCGGGAGGCTGAGGCAGGAGAATCACTTGAATCTAGGAGGCAGAGGTTGCAGTGAGCTGAGATTGTGCCACTGCATTCCAGCCTGGGCAACAGAGCAAGACTCCATCTTAAAAAAAATATGAAAGAAAGAAATGGGCAAAATACCTGAGCAGACACCTCACCAAAGAAGCTATACAGACGGCAAAGAAGATGAGCATGTGACAAGATGCTTCATATCATATGTCATCAGGGAAGTACTAATTAAAACAGCAAGGAGATACCACCACACACCTATTAGACTGGCAGACAACCAAGTTGCTGACACCACCAAACGCTGGTAATGATGTGAATCAGCAGGAACTGTCATTCATTGCTGGTGAGAATATAAAATAGCATAACCACTTTGGAAGACAGTTTGGAGTTTCTGACAAAACTAACAGCTGGGCACGGTGGCTCATGCCTGTAATCCCAGCACTTTGGGAGGCCGACGCAGGCGGATTACCTGAGGTCAGGAGTTCAAGACCAGCCTGATCTACATGGAGAAACCCCGTCTCTATTAAAATACAAAAAAATTAGCCAGGCGTGGTGGCGCATGCCTATAATCCCAGCTACTTGAGAGGCTGAGGCAGGAGAATCACTTGAACCCGGGAGGTGGAGGTTGCGATGAGCCGAGATTGCGCCATTGCACTCCGGCCTGGGCAACAAGAGTGAAACTCCGTCCCAAAAAATAAAAAATAAAAAAATAAAAAAAACTAAACATACACTTACCATGTGATCCAGCAATTGTGCTCCTTGGTATTTACCAAAATGAGTCAAAAACTTATGTCCGCACAAAATTCTACACATGGATGTTTATAGCAGCTTTATTTATAATTGCCAAAAGTTGGAAGCAACCAAGATGTCCTTCAATAAGTGAGTGGATAAACAAACTGTGATACATCCAGATAACGGAATATTATTCAGTACTAAAAAGAAATGAGCTATCAGGCTATGGAAACACATGGAGAAACTTTAAGTGCATATTACTAAGTAAAAGAAGCCACTGCTGGGGGCAGTGGCTCATACCTGTAATCCTAGCACTTTGGGAGGCCAAGGCAGGTGGATCACCTGAGGTCAGGAGTTTGAGACCAGCCTGGCCAACATGGTGAAACCCCGTCTCTACTAAAAATACAAAAATTAGCCAACGTGGTGGCACGCACCTGAAATCCCAGCTATTCGGGAGGCTGAGACAGGAGGCTAACTTGAACCCAGGAGATGGAGGTTGCAGTAAGCTGAGATTGCGCCACTGCACCCCAGCCTGGGTGACAGAGCGAGACTCTGTCTCAAAAAAAAAAAAAGAAGCTAATCTAAAAAGGTTACAACTATATGATTCCAACTCTATGACATTCTAGAAAAGGCAAAACAATGGAGACAGTTAAAAGATCAGTGGTTGCCAGGAATTAGAAGGGAGGGAGGGATAAAATGACAGAGCACAGAAGATTTTTAGGGCAGTGCAACTATTTTCCATGATACTATAATTGTGGACACGTCATTATACATTCGTCCAAATCATAGAATGTACAACACCAAGAATGAACTCTAATGTAAACTATGAACTATGGATGATGATGATGTGTCAGTGTAGGTTAATTGATTGTAACAAATGCACCACTCTGGAAGGATGTTGAGGCGTCTGTGGGTAGGGGGAGAGAAAGAAGGTATGTAAGGACTCTCTGTACTTTCTGCTCAGTTTTGCTGTGAACTTAATAATGCTCTTAATAAAGTCCGTTTTTTGAAAAATGAATTGTCAACTTCTACTGAAAAAAAATAAAAAAAGCTGAGATTCTGATTGGGATTGCATTGGATCCATAGGTTAGTTTGGGGAGAAGGGCTATCTTAACACTATTGCGTCTTCTAATCCACAGATATGTTGTATCTCCAATATTTTTGGTCTACTTTAGATTTGTAAAGCAATATTTTGTATTTTTTCAAAATAACTTTTACACATCTAAATTAATTCCTAATTAGTTGCTATTTTTCATGCCATCATAAATATTCTTAAATGACATGAAAATATTTTTAAAATATATTGTCCAATAGTTTGCTGGTATATAGAAATGTAAGTGATGTTATTTTGCATTGAACTTGTATTTAGAGAGTCTTGTAACTTTACTGATTAACTTTGAGTCCTTGGTGCTCCAGATCTGCAATCATCATCTGAGAATAAAAAGAATTTTACCTCTTCCTATTCAATATTTGTGCCTTTTTATTTCTTTTTCTTGTCTTGTTGCACTGGTTAGGACTTTCTGTTTCATTTGAATAGAAATGGGATTTTTCTCTTAATTATATTGCGAATTTCAAAACACAGAGAGATTGAACAAATAGTAAAATACACAATCATACATTAAGCAGTTTTTAAAAATCATTTTGCCATATTCGTTCTCTCTCTTCCCCTTCTGTCTCTCTCTCCCATATGAAAGTACATACACAAAAATACACACTTTTATCTGAACCACTTACAAATAAATAGTCAAAATAATGACACTTAGTATCTAAATTCATCACTGTGCACCTTTTCTAAGAATAAAAATAATCTCCCAAACTACCAAAATGCCATTATCACATTTAGCAAAATAATAATTTTTTCCTTCTTTTACCTAATATTTGGACTATGTAAGGTCTTTCCCCATTGTCCTCAAAATATCCTTTATAGCTTTTTTAGAAATAGTTTTATTGAGATAAAATTTACATACTATGCAATTCACCCACTTACAGTACATGATGGTATCTTTGTATATTATTAATTTTTTAAATTAAATTAATAATTTAAAAATTCAGAACCAGTTCACTGTTCTGAACTGGGGTATATTAATAATTTTTTAAAACTATGGTGTGTATATATATATATATATGTGTGTGTGTATGTATATCTTGCCATTTTAACCATTTCAAGTGTAAAATTCAGTGGTATTAATTACATTCACAGTGTTACTAATTACTTCCAACATTTTTCATCACCCCTAACAGTGCTTTGTAATCATTGAGGAGTAACCACCTACCCACAGTCACTGGTAACTGCTAATTTACTTTTTGTCTCTATGAATTTACCTATTCTGGATATTTCATATAAGTGGAATCACACCATATTTGTCCTTTTGTGTCTGACTTACTTTACTTAGCATGATGTTTTAATGGTTCACCCATGTTACAGCATATATCAGAATTTCATTCCTTTATATGGCTGAATAATAATCCATTACTGGCACATGCTATGTTTTGTTTATCCATTTGTCTGTTGATGGGCACTTAGGGTCTTTCCATCTTTTGACTATTGTGATTAATGCTGCAGTGAACATTGGCATACCATGTCAAACATACATGCTTGTGTGTGTATATGTGTATATAGTTGTTCCTTAGTATCCATGAGGGATTGGTTCCAGGATCCTCTGTGATACCAAAATCCATGGATGCTAAAGTCCCTTTTTAAAAATGGCATAGTATTTGCATATAACCCAAACACACCCTCCTGTGTATTTTAAATCATCTGTAGATTACTTATAATACATAATGTAATGTAAATGCTATAAAAATAGTTATTAGACTGTATTTAGGGAATAATGACAAGAAGAAAAAGTCTGTACATGTTCAGTACAGAGGCAACCTTTGTAGGTCTAAATAAATTTTTAATACAAGGTTGGTTGAATCCATGGATGTGGAATCCGCAGATACAAAGGGCCGACTGCATATTGTTCTATTAATGTGATGTGTTACATTGATTATCTTATGTTGAACCATCTTTGCATTCATGGAATAAATCTCACTTGGTCATTGTGTGTAACAAGATGAAAGATACAAGTCTACAAATCCAAGAAGTTCATGAACTTCAGGTAGGATAAACTCAAAGAAACCCACACCAAGATACATAATCAAACTCAAAAGACAAAGAGAATTTTGAAAACAGCAGGCGAAGTGATTTGTCACTTATAATGGATTTTCAGTAAGATTAATAGCCAATTTCTCATTAGAAATCATGGAAGTCCACTGCCTAGTGGAATGATACATTTAAAGTGAAGGGGGAAAAAAAAAACAAACACTGCAAAAAAAGCCAAACCCTGCCAATCTGTAAATTCTATAGCTGGAAAAACTACCCTTCAAAAACGAGGGAAATATTAAGACATCCCCCAGAAAAACAAAAGCTGAGGAGTTCATTACCACTAGACCTGCCCTGCAGGAAATGCTAAAGGACAGATCCTTCAAGGTTGAAATGGAAGGACACCAGATAGTAACTATATGAAGAAATAAATGTCTTTGGTAAATACATGGTAAGTACATGGGCAAGTAGAAAAGCCACTATTATTATATTTTTGGTTTATAACTCCACTCTTTTATTTCCTACATGATTTAAAAGACAAATACACAAAAATAATTTTAAATCTATGTTACTGGGCAGAAAATGTATAAAGATGTAAATGGATTAAACTCCTCAGTCAAAAGTTATAGACTGGCAAAATGAATAAAAAAACACATTTTATATGCTGTCCACAAAAGACTCACTTTAGATCTAAGGACACTCATAGGTTGAAAGTGAAAGGATAAAACAAGATATTCATGCAAATAGTAATCAAAAGAGAGGAAGAGTGGCTATATTAATATCAGCATAGATTTTGAGTCAAAAACTGTCATGAGTAACAAAGAAGGATATATATAAAAGGGACAACTTTTGAAAAGGTCAATTCACCAAGAAGATACAACAATCATAAATATATATGTACTAAATATCAGAGCTTCTAAATATACAAAGCAAACATTGACAGAATTTAAGGGAGAAACAGACAACTCTATAATAATAGTAGGAGACTTCAGTGCCCAACTGTAGATGTTGGATAGAACAACCAGACAGGAGATCAATAAAAAAAAAAGGACTTAAACAACACTATAGAGCACCTGGACCTAACAGGCATACATAGAACATGCCACTAACAAACGGCAGGATACAATTTTTTCTCAAGTGCACCTGGAACATTCTCCAGGGTACAGTCCCTGGAGACATTTCCTATACCTTGTGAGATAGCAGTGCATTAAAGAATAAGTCTTACTCGGAGTTTATTTATTGCCATGCTTCCTAGTTACTCATCAACCCAGTAAGCAGGTCAATCCATTGAAGAATTTTTTAAGCAAGAAGCAGCATGACCTAATTTATTTATTTCTCTCTCTCTCTCCCTCCTTTCTTTCCTCCCTTCCTTCCTTCCCTCCTTCCTTCCTTCTTTCCTTCCTTCCTTCCCTCCCTCCTTCCTTCTTTCCTTCCTTCCTCTCTTTCTCTTTCTTTCCTCTCTCCCTCCCTTTCTTCCTTCCAAGTCCCACTGTGTCACTCAGGCTAGAGTGCAGTGGTGTGATCACTGGTCTCAAACAATCCTCCTGCTTCAGTCTTCCAAGTACCTGGGACTACAAGTATGTGCCACCACACTTGGCTAATTTTTTTTTTTTTTGAGATGGGGTCTCGCTCTGTTGCCCAGGCTGGAGTGCAGTGGTACGATCTCGGCTCACTGCAAGCTCTGCCTCCTGGGTTCATGCCATTCTCCTGCTTCAGCCTCCCCAGTAGCTGGGACTACCCAGAGTTGTGTCTGGCACTTAGCCCACCACCATGCCTGGCTAATTTTTTTTGTATTTTTAGTAGAGATGGGGTTTCACCATGTTGGCCAGGATGGTCTAGATCTCCTGACCTCGTGATCCGCCTGCCTCAGCCTCCCAAAGTGCTGGGATTATAGGCATGAGCCACCGCGCCTGGCCCATGCTTAGCTAATTTATAAAAAATTTTTTGTAGAGACAAAGTCTTGCTACATTACCCAGCCTGGTCTCAGACTCTTGGCCTCAAGCAATCTTCTTGCCTTGGCCTTCCAAAGTCCTGGGATTACAGGCATGAGCCACCATGCCCGGCCTAATCTCCAATTTTAAAATATCACTCTGCTGAATAGATAACAGATTAGATTATACAAGATTGGATGAAGGGAGTGATTTTTATAGTCCTCAATGGAGAGGATGCTATCTCGGCCAGGGTTGTAGCAGAGGAGGTAGAAAAACAGAGGAATTAAAGACATGTCAAGTTGGTAAGTGGTTGGAGTGAGGGCAAATGAAGTATTTGGCTTCTAGGTTTCTGTATGAAGGACTGGGTGGATGTCTTAGTCTGTTTGGGCTGCTTATAAACCACTGAAATTTATGTCTGATGAGGGTCTTGCTTGCTGGTTCATGGACAGCCATCTTTCTGCAGCATCCTCCCATACTGGAAGGGGCACAATGGTTCTTCTTGAGCCTCTTTTATCAGGCTTGCGCATTGCCGGCTGTTGCCCTCCAGGCAGCTCCTCGTGTTTAGAAAATGCACCTAAACACGGTGGGAGGCAGGTGCCCCCTGCCCCCTCCCACCGTTGAAGATGCACTATTACTTTGCTGCCATCCAGAGTGGGAAAGCTAGGGGCTGGAGGACGCACAGCCCTTGGAAAGCTCCCAGGCAGGACGTGAGTCTGGAGCACAGGGCTCTGATGAGATCTGGCGCAGAGTCATTCTAGCATCTGTTCAGTGTCCTGGTTCTGTCTGGACTGGCTGCTTGGTTCTTGCTTGCATTGCTTTTTTTTTTTTTTTTTAATCCTTTTGAGAAGGAGTCTTGCTCTGTCACCCAGGCTGGAGTGCAGTGGCGCGATCTCGGCTCACTGCAACCTCCACCTCCCAGGTTCAAACAATTCTCTTGCCTTAACCTCCCGAATAGCTGGGATTACAGGTGCCTACCACCAGGCCCAGCTAATTTTTTTTGTATTTTTAGTAGAGACAGGGTTTTACCATGTTGGCCAGCTGGTCTCGAAAAGAGACCTTGTCTCTCAAAGTGCTGAGATTACAGGCGTGAGCCACTGCACCCGGCCTGCTGCGTCGTTTCTGAGCTAGCACCTTGATTAGCACTGATCCTGCAGTGGCCTGCTTTCAGCTCATGCTGGCCTTGGTTTGTTTGCATCAGGACCCTTGGTTCTTCATCTTCTGACTGATGTCCTATCTCAGATGTCTTTCTCCAACCGATCCTCCTCACCTCTCTGAAACATGAGTCTCTTCATCAATCGGAAGAAACTGCCAATTGTCTCCCAATATCTGTTCTCCACGTTATTCTTTTGTAGATCTTTAAATGCTTAGGCAGTCATATGGCCCAGGGTAATGACTCTATTTCCAGCATCTTCTAGGTCAATGTGGCCATGAGCTAAGTTCTGGATAATGGGACAAACTGCTAAGAGCATTTTCCAAAACTGATCTGTTTCTGTTTGTGCACACACACACACACACACTCAGACACACCTGTGTACTCAGCTGGTCATAGTCTCTCTCAATTGTCACCTTCTCCATGAAGTGTTGCCAACTGTGTGCACGGAGAAATCATTGTTCTGTGCTTCCATACCCCCCTTCCCAATCGTGAATATGAGCTTGTCCCACCAGGTCACATCCATTATAATTGCAGGTGCATCTGTCTCTCCAGTTTGACTCTGGGCAGTCTCTTATTAATCTGCGTAATATCAGCACCCAGAGTTGTGTCTGGCACTTAGTAGGAGCTCAGAAATGCTTGCGGAGGGAGGAATGCAGGGAAGGCAAGGGTTTCGAAACTGTGGTTTCGTCTTCTTATTAACAAACTATATTTTTATCCACGTATTTCTCAGTTAAAGGAACGTGCCCATCACAGAGGCTAAGATCACTTATCCACAGTGATGTGGTGCCCCATCATCTCAGCATTGGTGTCAGTGGATGCTAAGATCCTTCTGTGAATCCGTAAGAGGAGTGGGCAGGCAGCACAAAAATGCCCAAAGGCACTCAATTGCATGTGAGGCCACATTTCTCAAACAAAATTACTCTGTAGGCTCCTGGTGCTGGCTTCACCTTGGGCTGAGGACAAATGGGTGCTATGGGGAAAGGAGATGACGCCAGGAGAACACAGATCTTTCAACCTGAAATCATGGGACTCCACAGGACATCACCTGACATCATCTTAGCCAGAGCGAAGCAAGCCGCAGGGCAGGCACACTTCAGGAGAATCTCGGAGTCAATGGCCAAGGTACCAAGGGGTCTCTCATCACAAAAGCCAGAAAAGAATCCAGATCAAAGCAAGGGAACATGTCTAAGGAGTAGGCAAAATTGGTTGATTCGGGTAAATTCAACTTTTATAAATCTGGTGATATGATCCTCTAGAATTTGTCAGATCCAAGGGGTGATTTTGAAAGAACTGTGGTTTCAGACTATAAATGAATGCGACAGTCTTTAAGACAGAAATAATATTATAGCATGCTAATGTGGCAGGATCACAACTGACTTTCCTTCCAAGAGGGAGAACTTGGGATTTGACCGGGAATTTTAAAAAGGAGCAATAACGCAGTAGGAGAGAGACAAAAAATGTCTTTGTGTCTGGGGGTGGTGGGGGGACTTAGGAGTGTTGATCTGTGAGAGCAAAGGAGAGCCACACGGGACAGACCTGGAGGTTGGGAAAGCGCACAGATTTTCCTGTGTTTTATGATACACTCAAATACACAGAGCAAAGTTTTCTAGAGATGCCTTTATTGACATTTTACTAAAGATCAAGAAAATGCCATTTACGCATATCCAGGAATATTATTTTTTAACTTTCCCCATAAATTCCATGAGTCCCTGCCTCCTGCTTGTCCTCCCACTGAAGGCCTCTTGCCATAGTGATGGAAGAAGGCAGAAAATAGGAGATGGTTGGAGAAAAGACCAATGTCATCGAGGAGGGAAACAAAAGACAATCTGGATATGTAATCAGCAGATTTAGAATTAAAACAGGGTTAGAAAATTCTCTCTCTCTGAAAGAGAGGACAGTTTAATGGGGGTGTGGAATTGGTGGGGAGAGTTTGCACCATGCCTGGAGACTCTGGAGCAGACACACACACAGCTTTTGCGAGATGAAGACTTTTCCTGGGAAGGACACGTTCACTTCTAGTAAAACACAGCACAGGCCATTTCCATGTAATATTTGGGACGGTAGCTGAATCTGGTGCCCACATGCACAAAACAAGACAGTATCTGGCCCCAACCATAGGGCTGAACCCAGCCTCTGGCATGTGGTGCAAGTCAACACCTGAACGAGTGCATCATTCAAAGAACCCTATCTCCTAAACAGCCCAGGCTCCAGAGATACAGGGAGGCCAAAGGCTTAGATAAATTCCGAGGGTTATGGGCTTATTTAGGAAGTTTGCATTTCAGCAACCCAATCGAGAGACTGCAAGGCAAGGCAGTGGCTAAAAATATTTGGATCATCAACCAAAATTTTAGAGGGAATTCTGTTAACTTTTGTTAAGAGAAACGAGGGCTTTCTGTGGAACATGTGGCTATGGAGAGGAAAAAGGGAGTAACTTTTTGCCCTTTTCCTAAGCCACACAGAGCACCGTGAGCATTCATTGCCGCAGTGCCTCGTGCGCGTTCGGAGTATCTCAGTACAGTGATTTTTGTGCAGAAACTTCTTTGAATAATATTAGTTATCAGCCATATAAACATTGTTGAATTATCAGAATCCTGAATTTGTGGGGAAGACGTTTAAGACCCCAATTTTGGACCCTACGTGTGTATCCTCCTAACTGGAGCCCCCAGGTCTCAGGGAGAAGTCCCCAGAGGCTGGGAGGGTGTCACTGTTGCCATCAGGGCTCAAATACTGACATTTAGGAACACATAAAGAATCCCTGTGAAACAGAAGGAACGGACCTAGGAAGATAGGGCCATTTGAGGAACATCAGTGTTCTCTAAGTATCTATTTGTGTGAACCAGCTCGCAGAAAGTGAGCGTTTCTGGTAGTCTTCAAAGAAGAAACGGGTGCTAACTTGTAAGCAGTTTAAGCCAAGTGACCAGAGCTTTAGGGGGTGCGGCGTTGCCTGAGGGGCAGGAGTGGCCAAAATCAGCATAAAACGTGCAAAGTGGGCTGTCATGTAATAATACACCGCACAGGCAGAGAGGCCTTTGGTCAGCTCCTCAAGTCCTCTGTAGATGTTCCTTACCCTCGGCGCGCACCAGCCTCTGCCGCCTGCTGTGGCCCTGAACTTCGGACTCTTCTCTGGCCTAGCCCGCCCTTGGCTGGGGTGCTCGGGCCTGGCCCTAGCGGCGGGGCCCTCCAGGGTGGATTAAGTCTCCAAGACTCCGGGACCACCAGGCTCACCATGCAATGAAACTGTTTCTGGAGTTTTCCTGTCCCTGCTTTCCCTCCCGAGTCCCGGGCCAGGCTGCGTCCGGTGGGCACCGAGGACGCCCAGAATTGTTGGGAATCTGGGCGGAGGCCCGTCGTGGGCTTGGAGGCCACCGGGTCCAGCAGAGGCAGAGGCCTCTGTGCCACGCACGCACACACACCTGCTCTCCTCCGTGTGTCCACATACACACGTCTATGCACACACCTGCTCTCCATACATGCACAGCCCCACACACAGTCGGCCCTTTATGTGCACACACACTCGTGCACACAAGCGGCCCCCTCTCCTCCGTGCATACAGGCGCACACACAGCTGGCTCTCCTCTTTGAGCACACACACTCAAGCACACACCCGGCCCCGCTCTTCCAAGTGCACACACACTCCTGCACACACTAGTCCCTGCTCCCCCCCCCACACTCGCGCACACAGCCGGCACTCTCTGCTCCCTGCACACAAACACACATCCTGACATACCCGGCCCCCTACCTGCTGCCCCATGTGCACACACACTAGTGCACACACCAGTCCCCGCTCCCTCACATGCACACACACTAGTGCACACACCAGTCCCCGCTCCCTCACATGCACACACACTAGTGCACACACCAGTCCCCGCTCCCTCACATGCACACACACGAGTGCACACACCAGTCCCCGCTCCCTCACATGCACACACTAGTGCACACACCAGTCCCCGCTCCCTCACATGCACACACTAGTGCACACACCAGTCCCCGCTCCCTCACATGCACACACTAGTGCACACACCAGTCCCCGCTCCCTCACATGCACACACACGAGTGCACACACCAGTCCCCGCTCCCTCACATGCACACACACGAGTGCACACACCAGTCCCCGCTCCCTCACATGCACACACACGAGTGCACACACCAGTCCCCGCTCCCTCACATGCACACACACGAGTGCACACACCAGTCCCCGCTCCCTCACATGCACACACACGAGTGCACACACCAGTCCCCGCTCCCTCACATGCACACACACTAGTGCACACACCAGTCCCCGCTCCCTCACGTGCACATGCACTAGTGCACACACTAGTCCCTGCTCCCCCACGTGCACACACACTCTTGCACACAGCCGGCCCCGCTCCCCCACGTGCACACACCAGCTCCCGCTCCCCCACATGCACACACACTCGTGCACATAGCCGGCCCCGCTCCCCCATGTGCACACACACTCTTGCACACAGCCGGCCACCTCTCTCTCCGGACACACACAGTCAGAGGCGCGCACAAACACAGTCCCTTGGCCGCCGAGCGCACGCCGCGCGCGCGCACTGCCCGTCCCGGCGCAGGCCCCAGCTACATCTCCGCACGCGCACGCGCACACACGGACACGCGCGCACAGCCCCTCCCCGCTCTCCCAGGGCGCGCAGCACTGGCGGGAGGAGCGGGAGACCGAGGAGCAGCAGAAGAGGAGGAGGAGGGCGCCGAAGGCGCGAAAAGGCGCGCAGGCGCGCTGCGCGGAGCGGGCCCGCCGCCGCCCACGTCACCGCGCCGCGCGCACGTCACGCCGGCCCGACGCTCGGCCAGGGTGAGCCCCGCGTCCCGGCGCCACTCGGCCCAGGGCAGGGACCCCGCCACGGCCGGGACCGCCCGGCCCGGCCCCAGCCCGCGCCTCTCCGCGCCGCCCCGCGCTCCGCACCGCGCCCTCTCCGCGTCCCCGCCCGCGCGGCCGGACCGGGCAGCCAGGTGCGGGTGGGCAGGGGATGCCGCGGGAGCCGCGGGCGGGAGCCGGGGGTGCGGGCGGGACCCCCGGCCACCCCATCCCTTGCCCCGGCCGCGTGTAGGCGCCGCGCGGCCCCGACCCGCGCCCTCCCGCGCCCTGCGCGCTCCTGTGCCTCGGGGACCCCGCGCGCTCGGCGCTGGTAGGGGCTCCCCAGGTGACCGCGGGGCGGGGGTCCCGGGCCCGGCCCTCCCGGCCGACAGCAGCGTCCGCGCCCCACGCTGGAGGTGGGGCCGGGGCCGGGGCCGGGGCTGGGGCCAGGGTCGGCCGGAGCGCGCAGGGCGGGGGAGGGGAGGCCGCCCCACGGCGGCCCGCGGGGACCCGGTTCCGGCGCGCGCGGGAGGCGCCTCGTGCGGAGGCGGCCCGAGGCCTAGTGACAGGCGCGCGGCGCGGACCCCGGAAGCCCACCTGTCAGAGTTACCGGTCAGCCGGGCGGGCGCCGCCGGGGTCTGGGGTGGACGCCGCGAGCCTGCACGTTGCGCCGGGACCCCGGGGCTGTGCCCAGGTGGGTGGTGGGGCACCCCCCTGCAGCGGCGGGAGGGAGGCGCTGCGCCCTGGCTCCTGGGGCTCGGCCCCACCCTCGGCCGCTGGGCGGGCCGTCGGGGACCTGGGGGTAGTGGTGGTGACCCTGCGGGCCCGCGGGCCACTTTTCCGCAGGGGGCATTTCCGTCTGGCGAGGCGACTGAAAATCCTGAGTGTGGGAGTCGGTTTGGCCAGCTCCGCTCTCAGGATGGAGGGTGCCTTTGGGAAGGAAGGTCCGCGTTTCCTTTGAGATGTGTTATTTTTTAAACTTCGTTTTTCATTCTTACTTATTTCTTGTTTTTCCTTACTTTTTTTTTTTTTTTTACCAGAAAAATCATTTTTCTTCTCTGGGAAGGTGAACATTTGTAGCATTGATTTCCCGGATCTGGTAACATGGCAAAAGATGTAAGTATGTTTGCTTCATGCTGCACACGAATGTTTGCCTCGCACTAAATTCTTTGTAGTTCTCTGCCTTTATTTCAGAATGACAACACATAAGCTACAGTAGTGTTTATTTTCAGACTTTTAAAGCGTCTGAAGCGGGATGAAGGTGAAAGATGGAAGGATCTGATCTCTGAAGCTGCGGTCACCACCCACAAGTTGTGGCCTTGGATACCACACTGCAGTTGGGTGGTGATGGGGTGGTGCCTTCTGACTTTTTCCTTATCTTTACCGACTGTGTTAATTGATAATTTTAAATAAACGCCTTAATTAAATTGAGGTGGAGGGTGTTGCAGCACCGCAGCGAATCCTGCATTTCTTGGGGGGCTTCCACATGAGACGCTGGACGGGGGCCAGGCTCAGGGCTCAGGCTGTAGCCACCTGCTGGCACCTGTCTTCCTACAGAGGAAGTTAATTCCACTTGGGTGGACCAAGAGCTAAGGACTTGTTTTGGCCACTTTTTTTCTCAGAAGGATGAGATTTCCTGATTTATGAAATCTGGTAAAAAATGCTACTTAGCCTGCTTTGCAGTTGTCATGAAACTATAGAATATTTTGAAAATTTTTTAAAGCCAGAAATTTAGTCTATTTTATTGGTGTGCGGTTCTTTACCGTGCTTGGTTATGTCAGTCACTGAAACACCAGCTGGATTCTTTAGTGTTTCCCACCGTGCATCGTTTTGTAACTGAGTGAAAGGTGCTGTTGATGTGTTTACCTACTTACCGCACAGAGTTGGAAAGAGTCCGCACATGCTGCCTCTGCCTGAGATACATCTGTAGCGAAAATGCGTCCAGAGTGTGGAGCCCTCTCCGTTGGCGCAGAGGTTTCAGTGGTCCCTGCGAGGCCTTTTGGGGTGTCTGCCCTCCCTGACCTGCGACCAGGCATGTCACACGGCATCCCTGCCTTCAAGCACTGGGGTCCCCTTTAGAGAGGGTGTGTGAGCACCCAGGTGGACCCAGTGTGAGTTTTTGAAGTCATATCTGGCTGTGCTGCGAGACTACTTTTATCCTCTCCACTGTGCTTGTCCGTACCATGCCCTGACCTCGTGCGGGCATGCACTCAGAATGCCAGATGTGGGCATGTGCTCAGCGCGCAAGCCATGTTCATTACATCTCCTCATGGTGAGGAGCTGGACCCAGGGCCTCGGTTAGAGCACGCTTCTGGTGTTGTGTGGTTTCCTGTGTGGTTTCCTCAGATGGTTCTCAAACACGCTTTGATACATAATGGATGGTGTTTTCGGGGCCCTCTTTCATTCCCCCGTGATTTCACTGGCACTGTCTGTGAGCAGCATGTAGTGTGAGGCTGGGGGTGGGGGGCGTGTGGAAAGGTGGTCCGGCTCTGCAGGACCCTGAATGCTCCATCCAGTGTGGGCACCTGAGACGCAGCATTTGTCAGGAACTGCATAGGCACAGGGGCTGGGGGCTCACCTTGCACTCAGGGGTTGTGATCTGAGTTGGGGGTTGGCGCTGGGAGGAGAGTAGGATTCTGCAGCTGGTGAGGCCTTCCCTGCTCAAAGCCTGGGAGTGGTCAGGAGTGCTGGGTCTGGATGGAAAGTGAGGTTGTGAACAAGTCAAGGAATTTGATGTTTTCGCTAGCTCTTTTTTTTTTTTTTTTTTTTGAGACAGAGTCTCACTCTGTCTCCCAAGCTGGAGTGCAGTGACGCGATCTTGGCTCACTGCAACCTCTGTCTCCTGGGTTTAAGCAATCCTCTCGCCTCAGCCTCCCGAGAAGCTAGGATTACAGGCATGTGCCACCATGCCTGGCAAATTTTTTTGTATTTTTAGTAGAGATGGGGTTTCACCATGTTGCCCAGGCTGGGCTCGAGCTCCTGACCTCAACAATCCACCCGCCTTACAGGCGTGAGCCACCGCGCCCGGCCTAGCTAACTCTTTTAAGTAGAGGTGTGACATTTGAGTTTTGAAAAGATGATGTTGGCAGCTTTTGCAGAAGGGAACATCGATAACCAGTTAGGTGTTTTGTTTTTGTTTTTTGAGACGGAGTTTTGCTTGTTGCCCAGGCTAGAGTGCAATGGCGCGACCTCAGCTCACTGTGACCTTGGCCTCCTGGGTTCAAGCAGTTCTTCTCCTCAGCCTCCCAAATAGCTGGGATTACAGGCGCGCCACCACACCCAGCTAATTTTTTGTTAGTAGACACGGGGTTTCACCATGTTGGCCAGGCTTGTCTTGAACTCCTGACCTCAGGGGATCCACCCACCTCGGCCTCCCAAAGTGCTGGGATTACAGGCGTGAGCCGCTGTGCCCAGCCCACCAGTTAGGTTTTTAAAAGCACTGGTACTGCAGTAAAACCACAGGTGTATGTCAAAAGCCTTTATGCTGGGGGAAAGCTGTGCCACTTGGGTTGAAGGAGGCAGGCCTCCAGCTTCTAAGTGCCCTGGGGCCTCTGTAGAGGGCCATGAGGGGCCACAGGATGCAGGGAGCTGGAGCTAGGCCCTGGTAGTCACCATGGAGGAGGAGAAACAAGGACATCCAAGACCTGAGGCTGGAAGGTTCTGGAGAGAACACAAGAGAAAAACAACTCCGGAGCTTCCAACCTCAAGTAGGGCACAGGGAGACAAGCGGGTGGGAAAAGGCCACAAATGGCTCCATGTGAGTGAGGGGCAGAAAGAAGAGGATGAGGTCAGTCCTCTGGGGGTGTCATCTTTGAACAGCAGTTGACAGGCAGTGGGTGTGAAGGTCTATATGGCAAGGAGCTACACACGAGGGAGGAGAGAGGTACTCTGAAAAGTTTGCAGAGTGGGTAGGAAATGACTGTGGAGCAGTGAGGAGAGTGATCAGTGATGGTGTAGTAGTTAGAGAGTGAGTGGTGGTGGACTTGATGGAGAGTGAGTGGTGGTGCTGGAGTGGTGGAGAGTGAGTGGTGATGGTAGATTGGACGGAGAGTGAGTGTGGTAGACTCGGGGACAGTGAGTGGTGATGGTAGATTGGATGGAGAGTGAGTGGTGGTAGGACTGGGGGAGAGAGAGTGGTGATGGTGGTGTAGGTGGAGAGTGAGTGGTGATGGTGGAGTTGGTAGAGTGAGTGTGGTGATGGTGTTGTGGGTGGAGAGTGAGTGATGGTAGTGTTGTGGGTGGACAGTGAGTGGTGATGGTGGTAGACTGGAGGAGAGTGAGTGTGGTGATGGTGTTGTGGGTGGAGAGTGAGTGGCGGTGCTGGAGTGGGTGATGTAGGGTCACAGAAGGAGGAAACAGCCTAGAAGGTGGCTGCCTTTGATGGTCCTTGAGTGGGCCCAGCTGGAGAAATGGTGAGAAGGATTAGGTTTCTGTTGTCTTGCTCAGGGACTTTTTATTTTATTGCACTTATTTGAATTAAAATGGTAAATTCAAATGGAATATTTGTGTTTATACTCTGTTAAGTGGGAGAATGTGGAGAACAGGAGTCAGCTGCCATACGGCCACCTGGCTGGCTCCGGGAACCTGAGGCCTGGTCTTGCCCAGCAGGAGCGCTGGCATAGCATGGATCACTTACAGAAATTTATGATCAAGATTATGGGCTGCTCCTGGCAATATGGGGAGGATTTCCTTGCTGTGGGGACTGTCTGTTTCCATGCCTGGCCCACCCGGTCTGTGATAGCCTCAGGTGCAGTCCTGTCTTAAGTTTGGAGACACCCTGGGAGGTCCGTACAGACTCTTTGAGTTTCTGAACTGTCCTCGAAACATCTCAGGCCCTCCGCCTCAGGGCCTAGGGAGGCTGTCCTCTGGTTCCTGAACAGGGTGGCTCTGACCCGCAGATCTGTGGGCTCCCGTTGCAGGTACCGGTGGTGCTCGGAACCGTCCTCAGATTCAGTCTTGGAAGGTGCTTTGGCACCTCCTTAGAGTCGGACAGACCCTTGTCACGAGTCAGTCCAGCTGCAGGGGCTCAAGTTGTTCTAGAGCTGGGCTGGCAGGGCCCTTGGGTGAGGGAGTGTGGCTTGGCACTGGCATCTCAGCCTGCGGCCAAGTTTCCTGCCTGCCCAGGCAGCATGACCCTTGGTGGGATCAGGCAGAGCTCTGCCTCTCCCCTCCCTACCTCGGAACATCCTGTCGTCACACACGATTGTCCAGTGTCATGAAAGTTTGTAAGTGGGAAGGCAGGCAGATGATGAATTCATCAAACATTACAGGGATGCTTTTGCTGTAAGACTTCGGGATGTAGCCCGTGTGGGGCTGTTTCTGGGGTCCCGTTCGCCTCTCCAAGCTCCTCCTGCCATTGGTAAAGATGCAGGGCATCTGAACTCGCTCTTGGGCTGTGCGGGCACTTGGACCTGGTCAGCTCCCTGTGCAGAGAACGTGGCTGTGGACGTCACTGCCCGGTATTCACGTGCCTTGGTTGTGAAAGCCGTTCTGTGGTGCCTGTTTGTGTCCTGTGAGTTTATGGGGAAATCCTGAAATTGAGAGCTGGGGACCAAGAGAACTGTGTGCGTCCCACCATGGAGGCGTTTGAGTGATGCTGTCACGAGGCTCTGCTAATGCCAAGAGGGGACCAATGAGCTCCTCTAAGGGTCTACCACCAGGTGTCCTTTTACAGACCTGGATGGTGAAGTTCAGGCCTGAAGAGGTGAACCTGATGCAGCAACAAACTGCTGTTTCCTTCAGTGCTTGAAGGAGTGAGTTCTGGGAACAGGATTCAGCGACTCAGGCCTTCTTTTGTCCTCATAAAGAAACAACTTTACATTTGAGGTTAAGAAGGTTGTCAGTTTAGCCCCCTCAGGTTTAAGTGTTGAAGAAATCTATGATGACGTGCTTGTTTTTACAAGAGTCTTTTCATATTTCAGGATTTTTTTTTTCTACATAGGATGAGGTTAGAGAAACTCTGAAGGGATATTAAAAATTAGAAAATTATAGGTTGGGCCGGGCGCAGTGGCTCACGCCTGTAATCCCAGCACTTTGGGAGGCCGAGGCAGGTGGATCACAAGGTCAGGAGATTGAGACCATCCTGGCTAAGAGGGTGAAACCCCTTCTCCACTAAAAATACAAAAAATTAGCCAGGCATGGTGGTGGGCGCCTGTAGTCCCAGCTACTGGGGAGGCTGAGTTAGGAGAATGGCGTGAACTCGGGAGGCGGAGCTTGCAGTGAGCAGAGATCACGCCACTGCACTCCAGCCTGGGCGACAGAGCGAGACTCTGTCTCAAAAAAAAAAAAAAAAAAAAAGAAAAAGAAAATTATAGGTTAATTAAAAGTTTTGCCCCTGCTGGGCACGGTGGCTCATGCCTGTAATCCCGGAGGCCAAGGCGGGTGGATCACCTGAGGTCAGGAGTTCGAGACCAGTCTGGCCAACATGGCAAAACCCTGTCTCTACTAAACATACAGAAATTAGCTGGGCGTGGTGGCGGGCGCCTGTAATCCCAGCTACTCTCGAGGCTGAGAAGGAGAATCGCTTGAACCCGGGAGGCGGAGGTTGCAGTGAGCCGAGATCACGCCATTGCACTCCAGCCTGGGTGACAAGAGCAAGACTTCATCTCAAAAAAAAAAAAAAAGAAAAAAGTTTTGCCCCTAAAACATGCTTTAAAAGAGGTATTATAGGAACATCTGGTATAAAATTCAAAGAATAAAAAAGGACATCTTTTTTCTTACATAATCAGCTCTTTGTTAGCTCTTTACTTTTGGTATTTGGAAGAAATCTCTGGAGTTCGTTGTGTAAGAATTGGAAACCTCACCTTTGGTGCACAGCTCGATTTGCAGTAGAAGTATCAGGTGCTCTTTAGGGGATGTTAAAAACTTTTCACTCTTGGTATTTACATTAAAAAATACTTTGTTGTAGAACAATTAGAAAATCCAGATTTGCAGTTGATATTTAGCTTGACTTACAGTGTGGCTTTCTGCTGTTTGTCATAAGAGACTAGATTTGTCAAGTTTTGCTTAGAGAGGAGGACTGGTAGCAGCAGGTGGCTTAGACTACGTGTGGGGATGGATCTGCGAGGGGAAGGGCAGATGTCAGCGTTGGCTGAATTAGAGGCTGAATTAGGTGACCCCTCATCCCCCAGGTGTCTTACTCAGATGATTCTGGTTGTTCGGGTACTGGCCATGCACTGCTCTCTGTATCTTTGTGTGTAGCCCAAGCCTGGAAAAGCATCCGCCCTTTGTACCTTTTTCCCGACTGGCTGAGATTCCCGCAGCATCCCGACTCCGCTTCAGGGCTCCTGTGAGGACAGGGACTATGGCTTTTAAGTTGTCGCACAGGTCATGGGCACTATTCACATGTGCTGCAGGTAATTTTGAGACTCAAGGATGAAGAGTTATATCTGCCTCTTCCCGTTAGTCTTTTATGTGAATCCTGTTTGTTTGTTTGTTTCGAGACGGAGTTTCGTTCTTGTTGCCCAGGCTGGAGTGCAATGGCACGATCTTGGCTCACCACAACCTCTGTCTCCCGGGTTCAAGCGATTCTCTGACCTCAGCCTCCCAAGTAGCTGGGATTACAGGCATGCGCCACCATACCCTGCTAATTTTTTGTATTTTTAGTAGAGACGGGGTTTCTTCATGTTGCTCAGGCTGGTCTTGAACTCCCGACCTCAGGTGATCCGCCCGCCTTGGCCTCCCAGAGTGCTGGGATTCCAGGCGTGAGCCACCGCGCCTGGCCATGAATCCTGTTTTTCTATGGTCCAGTTTCTAAGGGATTCTGGTCTGATGAATGAAAACCTTGTGTGTCCCCTGTGGCTTTGGGATACAGTATCTTTTAACACAGGTGCTTGCCCTGTGCACCCTGGTCTTCTGTTCATTAACATCGCGTCACTGGGGTCTGAGGAAAAGAGACAGTGTGATCCGCTCCAGTGAATGGGGAAGCAGGAGAGGGTCAGAAACCTGAATGGGTCAGCCCAGAATCCAGCATTGCCAACACATCCCTGGCCCTCCCCTCCTGCCCAGGTGACAGGTGTGGCATATGCTGGTCCTCAGCCCTGCCCAGGAGACAGTTGTGGTGTCTGTGGGTCTTCAGCCCTGCCCAGGTGACAGGTGTGGTGTGTGCTGGTCTTCAGCTGTGCCCAAGAGACAGTTGTGGTGTGCACGGGTCCTCAGCCCTGCCCAGGTGACAGGTGTGCTGTGTGCTGGTCCTCAGCCCTGCCCAGGTGACAGGCGTGCTGTGTGCTGGTTCTCAGCCCTGCCCAGGTGACAGGTGTGCTGTGCACGCGTCCTCAGCTATACACAGGTGTCAGGCGTGATGCGTGTGGGTCCTCAGCCCTGCCCAGGTGACAGGTGTGGTGTGCGCGGGTCCTCAGCCCTGCCCAGGTGACAGGTGTGCTGTGTGTGGGTCCTCAGCCCTGCCCAGGTGACAGGTGTGCTGTGTGTGGGTCCTCACCCTGCCCAGGTGACAGGTGTGCTGTGTGCTGATCCTCAGCCCTGTCCAGGTGACAGGTGTGCTGTGCACGCGTCCTCAGCTATACACAGGTGTCAGGCGTGATGCGTGTGGGTCCTCAGCCCTGTCCAGGTGACAGGTGTGGTGTGCGCAGGTCCTCAGCCCTGCCCAGGTGACAGGTGTGCTGTGTGTGGGTCCTCACCCTGCCCAGGTGACAGGTGTGTGTGCGGGTCCTCAGCCCTGCCCAGGTGACAGGTGTGCTGTGTGCTGATCCTCAGCCCTGTCCAGGTGACAGGTGTGGTGTGCGCGGGTCCTCAGCCGTGCCCAGGTGACAGGTGTGCTGTGTGTGGGTCCTCACCCTGCCCAGGTGACAGGTGTGGTGTGTGCGGGTCCTCAGCCGTGCCCAGGTGACAGGTGTGCTGTGTGTGGGTCCTCACCCTGCCCAGGTGACAGTTGTGCTGTGTGCAGGTCCTCACCCACCCAGGTGACAGGTGTGGTGTACACGGGTCCTCAGCTGTGCCCAGGTGACAGGTGTGGTGTACGTGGGTCCTCAGCCCTGCCCAGGTGATAGGTGTGGTGTGCGCGGGTCCTCAGCCGTGCCCAGGTGACAGGTGTGCTGTGCACGCGTCCTCAGCTATACACAGGTGTCAGGCGTGATGCGTGTGGGTCCTCAGCCCTGCCCAGGTGACAGGTGTGCTGTGTGCTGATCCTCAGCCCTGTCCAGGTGACAGGTGTGGTGTGTGCGGGTCCTCAGCCGTGCCCAGGTGACAGGTGTGCTGTGTGTGGGTCCTCACCCTGCCCAGGTGACAGTTGTGCTGTGTGTGGGTCCTCACCCTGCCCAGGTGACAGTTGTGCTGTGTGCAGGTCCTCACCCACCCAGGTGACAGGTGTGGTGTACACGGGTCCTCAGCCGTGCCCAGGTGACAGGTGTGGTGTACGTGGGTCCTCAGCCCTGCCCAGGTGATAGGTGTGGTGTGCGCGGGTCCTCAGCCGTGCCCAGGTGACAGGTGTGCTGTGTGCAGGTCCTCACCCAGCCAGGTGACAGGTGTGGTGTACACGGGTCCTCAGCCGTGCCCAGGTGACAGGTGTGGTGTACGTGGGTCCTCAGCCCTGTCCAGGTGGCAGGTGTCCTGTGTGTGGGTCCTCACCCTGCCCAGGTGACAGGTGTGCTGTGCACGCGTCCTCAGCTATACACAGGTGTCAGGCGTGATGCGTGTGGGTCCTCAGCCCTGCCCAGGTGACAGGTGTGCTGTGTGCTGATCCTCAGCCCTGCCCAGGTGACAGGTGTGCTGTGTGCTGATCCTCAGCCCTGTCCAGGTGACAGGTATGGTGTGCGCGGGTCCTCAGCCCTGCCCAGGTGACAGGTGTGCTGTGTGTGGGTCCTCTGCCCTGCCCAGGTGATAGGTGTGGTGTGCATGAGTCCTCAGCCCTGCCCAGGTGACAGGTGTCCCGTGTGCTGGTCCTCAGCTGTGCCCAGGCTTGGGCTGTGGGTGCCGCCCGTTCCCAGTGGACATGGAATCCTTGTGTTACTGAGTGACCTGCGTGTGCTGGTTGCTGCACCAGCGGGCTTTTCTGTCGCAGTTGCTTTTTAATTGTATCCATTAAGTAGACTTTCCACAAGAAAATAATATGACTTACTAAAAAAAGTTCAAGTAATATTTCTTCTGATTATAAGAGTAATCTTAGTTGCAGAAAATTTGGAAAAATTCTAGGAAAGCAAAAAGAAGAAAATGAAGTCACGTTCATATGTGAGCTGAATTGTTAGGGTTTCATAGCATATGCCTGTTGGATTTCTATTTAGCCGTGTGTAATAAAGGCAGCTTTTCCAAGATGGGAATGTGCTGTACCTTCTGTTTCTAATCTTTTCACCTCAGTATATTGTCAGTGTTTTCTCTGGTCAGTTATTTTTTTCTACCATGTTTTCAGCAGCTGTATGTTTTTGGTACGTTGGGGAGTCGTAGATGGTCAGTTACTGAAAAAGTGGGTTAACGTGGGAGATAATTAAAAAAAAGACGCTGTACCTAAACACTTCATTTTACATTCAAACAAATGTGCATCTGGTCCCCAAATCTCTTGGCTCTGGACTGAACGCCCCTTCTTGGAGAGTGGGCCACCCCTTCAAGCCACGCCCACCATACTGGGTTTTGATTTCTGTAGACTGAATGGAGAACATAAAAGACATCTCAGGACACGGAGTGCAGCCTCCTGGGTTGTTTGCAGTTTTCCCAGGATGCTGCTAACAGTGCCACTGGTATAGAGGGGTGTCTGGAATGAGCAAGGCTGAGTCTGAGACATGTGGATCTGTCCGAGAGAGTCCTGTCAGCCTGGTGCTTTACAGGAAAGGCGGTGGAGTTAGGAGCGCTCTTCCTGCTGCATGGATGTGTCTCAGTAATTACCCACTCCCCTGTGGTTGGGGATTCTAGTGGTTTCCAGTTAAATCTTCCCAAATTTGCACAAATCCAGGATGAGTCTTAGGATGAATTCCTGGAGGTGAAATTGCCTGTGCGCGTGCATGTCTGTGAGTGCAGATGCTGGTCTTTTCAGGTCGCTTTCAGCACAGTGTGAGGTATAGCCGTCAGGCTTTTTAGCTGCTGTGTAGTCATTTACTTCCTCTCCTTGAAAGTATTAATGGCGGCCGGGTGCGGTGGCTCACGCCTGTAATCCCAGCACTTTGGGAGGCTGAGGCGGGCGGATCACAAGGTCAGGATATCGAGACCATCCTGGCTAACATGGTGAAACCCCGTCTCTACTAAAAATACAAAAAGTTAGCTGGGCGTGGTGGCGGGCACCTGTAGTCCCAGCTACTTGGGAGGCTGAGGCAGGAGAATGGTGTGAACCCAGGAGGCGGAGCTTGCAGTGAGCCAAGATGGCGCCGCTGCACTCCCGCCTGGGCGACAGAGTGAGACTCCGTCTCAAAAAAAAAAAGTATTAATGGCTCGGAGTAACTTGTATGGGACTTATTTTAGGCTCCACTATTTCTTTTGCCTTTAAGAAAAATCAAGGCTTGAATGAAAATATTTCGTGTCACCACTATTGATAGAACCCAAATTATATTTTGCAGGGAAGCAGGATGAAGAGGGAGATGACCGTGGTGGGAGTTCAGCCTCTGACTTTGTTTTCATGCCTGAGTTTGAGGTCATATGTCTTACCCAGTTATTGACTCTTGGAGGCCATTCCTGCTTTAGGGCATCCTTTGACTCCGGGAGTCGTTTTTAAGCTGAGGGGCCTTATCTGGAACGATGCAGCATGGAGGACAGATGTCTGCCTCGGTGTCATCCCGGTAGCCCGAGTTGAGCTGGCTGTGGATGAGGGGTTCCTCTTGCTTCAGGAGACCCTGGGTGTCCCCTCCCCAGCACGGCCAGGTTGGGGAGGAGGAGTCACACATTTGACAGCTCACGGGGTGTGCAGCCACAGAACTGGAAGCCTGGTCTGTAGGCTCCGTGTCTGGGAGCTCTTCAGGCCAGCGGTGGAGTCGGCTAGCCACGATGACTTTTGCCCGGACTTAACCTCTTTTTTCTCTAACAAATGGAAAAGCAGTTCCCATTGGAGTGGCCAGACCAAATCCTATTCTGGGGTGGAAGGGGATGAAGGTGGTCAGCATCGAGGTTGATCTTGATGCCAGTCCCCATCCCAGGCTGTGGTTCCAGTGGCATTTATCACATGTGGATGCTGATCCTGGAAGCCCTGCTTCGTGTTTTTGGGCATTTGTTCCCTGGAGCCCTGTTTTTGCTCACTGTTGAGACAGAAAGGCTGCGCGTCCCCTCGCCCCAGCCTGTCCTGAGCTTGCCTCACTGTGCATCCTTGTGGGTGGGCGTCAAACCCCGCACCTGAGTCTGCTGCGGCTCTGGTGCCTGCCCGGCGCCATTGTCAGGGTGGGTGTCCTGGGCCCTCTGGATACCCCCTGTCTGGCCGGGGTTGCCGCTCCGTTCTGACCCCAGGCCACCCTGGAGGAGGGTTTCTGAGAGTGCCGGTGGCTCACTCTGTCCTTGGATGACTTGATTTTTGTTAAAATGGAAATGGAAATTCTTTCTAAAAGGGAAAAGAGTATAATGTAAAAACTTTTCCAGAAGAGAAATTAGATTAACATATTGTTATTTTTAAAGTTAGCTGCTATGATAAATAAATAGATGAATGGAGATGGTCTCCACCTCCCACAGGCTGGCGGTATACTCGGGCGAGGGCTATGGGGCGGCTCTTCCCTGAGGCCCCAGGCCTGGACCCCGTCGCGCTGTCTGGCAGCGTGTGCTGCATTTCCCTCTGGAGGATTTTCCCACCGGAACCTGTGTGATGTGTTGTGGAGGAAGCTGTGTGAGGCAGGGGTCCCGGGGCCTGAACGGCTGGACCTTGCTAGCCCTGCGACCTCAGGTGGGGACTCCTGGCCTCTGTGTGCTCGCCTGTCCCACGTGGGCGGCCAGCTGCCCTCCCTACAGGGCAGTGAGGGAGAAAGGAGGGCGTCAGCTGCTTGCCACGTCCTGGCTGAACTTGGATGGATTCAAAAGAGTGAACATAAGGCTTTGACGAAATTAGGAGCACCTCACAGGCCTGGGCGCTGTGTAAGACCTCCTCCCAGCCACGAGGGGCTGATCTGATCAGAGCTGGAGGGACGGCCATTGCCGTGTGTCCAATGTGAGGGCTCTGAGCTCAGGAGCCAGCATCCAGACACGCTGGGGACTCTGCGGCCTCTGTCTTTGCCCCAGTGTTGCACAGAGGGGCCCTGGCTTTCCCTGGGCACTGTTTAGAATGATTGAGGGGGTGGCAGGTGGCCAGAAACGGGAGAGGTGGAGTCTCCGAGGCAGCAGGCCTCCCCTGCAGGCTGCTGCTTCCAGGAGGGCTGCAGGCACGAGGTGTTCAAATGCAGCAGTGACTTCATAAGAAAAGGGAGTGGAGCCGCCGACATTTCAGGTGAGTTGTCATCAAGAGTGCAGAATCCAACTGTGTTGGGAGCCACTTGCTGGTGCCTGGCCAAGTTCCCGTCTGGTCCCTCTACTCCCCACCACCCCAGCCCTGGAAAACCGTGCCTGCCAGGTTCATACCACACAACCCGGTGCAGCCCACCCCAAAGACAGCGGGAGGCAGGATGCAAGCACCTTTTTAACGGCTGTGGAACTGATGTATGGGTTTTCCAGGCAGTTTTGCATTTGTGCCTGTTGTAGACTAGAGCATCATTTGGTGTTTTTCTGCTGGAAAAGCAGGCTTTAGAGTGGTGGCTGAAAGTCTCATTATAGATTATATAGATTAGAGCAGCCTCTCCTGGGAGAGGGATGCTGGGTGCCTGCCTTCCAAGTGTCTGCTCATGAGTGGATGGGCCCCACCCTCTGTGCCTGCTGGGGCTTCAGAATCCACTGGTTTCCTGAAGGTTCTGGTGCCCCCGAAGCACAGCCCCACCTCCCTAACCTGCCCTCCTGTGACTCCCATTGTGTATGAACTTACCTCCTCGCTCTTCAGCTTCCCCTGCCTGATGGCTCCAGGCTGTCCCCTGAGGACCTGGGGTTCGTGTTGCCCTCCTGGGTGGAGTCTGCGTCCCCCTTTCCTGGTCATTTAAGTTGCGTGGGGCCGGGAGGAGGCGTTCTCTGCCCCTACGTGGCTCACACTGTGGTTCTGTGGCCGCCGTCCCTCTGTCCGCTCGGGGTAGCCAGCTTCCTCTGACTCTTTCTTAGGGTGATGTTGGGCACCACCCTCGCCTGCAGCTCATCACCTCTGGATGGATCTTGTTAGGTGTGTGGCTTTTCCCTTAGTTTAGAAAATGAAATCGCCTTATTGCTTTGTTCGGTTATGAAAATGGAAAGTTTATTTAAAAACGTAGGGTGCAGAAAGGTGTCAGAAAGTAAGCAGTCATCTGAAATGACAGTCAACGGGGCTCTGCTGTTAAGGCTTTTTGGTGATTGTTTCTGGGGATGCCCTAGATGTGTGTGTTTAAATACACATGTACAGTACGGAATTCTAAATAAATGAACTCACATGTTTTGTTCACTGCTATGTTTTACTCAACAGTTTGTCCTAGGTTTTTTTTTTTCACATCAATAAATATAAGCAGAGATAATTCTAAAAAATTTGTGGAACGTTTCAGACACACACAAAGGAGAGAGATTGTGCTGGTGCCTCGTCCCTGTCACGGACCTGGGTGACTCCCTGCCGGGCCAGGGTGATCATTAAGTAGTTATTAAATATTCTGACATGTGTCTCTCAGAGATAGTCATTCACTCTTATTGTCACATAGGCAGCATTTACATTTCTCAAGTTGTCTCAAATTTGGAAAGTTTGTTTGCATTGGAGCCTCGCCCCCTCCAGGCTGCTGGAGTCTGGTCTCGCTGATGCGCCCTCACGTACTCCACCCTGTTGATGGGCTGCCCTGGCTGAATGTTCATCCTTCGAAACCCTCAAAGGTGTTGGGTGTTGGGGCCTTTGGGAGTGACTAGAATTGAGTGAGGGCACGCGGGTGTAGTCCCCCCTGCCCTGTTGGATCAGTGTCCTGATAGCCAGTCCCCACGGCGAGCCTGCCCTTTTCCCACCTTGCGAGGCCCAAGGAGGAGGTAGTAGGTGCAGCCTGGAAGCTGGCTCTGCCCTGACCTCCCGCTTCCACATCCAGGACCGTGAGAGAGAATCCTTGCACTTAGGGCTCCAGGACTACGAGAGAGAACCCAGGACCGTGAGAGAGAACCCAGGACCATGAGAAAGAACCCAGGACCGTGAAAGAGAACCCTTGTGCTTAGGGCTTCAGGACTGCCAGAGAGAATCCTTGTATGTAGGGCTCCAGAACCGTGAGAGAGAACCCAGGACTGTGATAAAGAATCCTTGCACGTAGGGCTCCAGGACCATGAGAGAGAGCCCAGGACCGTGAGAGAGAATCCTTGTATGTAGGGCTCCAGAACCGTGAGAGAGAACCCAGGACTGTGAGAGAGAATCCTTGCACGTAGGGCTCCAGGACCATGAGAGAGAACCCAGGACCGTGAGAGAGAATCCTTGTATGTAGGGCTCCAGAGCCGTGAGAGAGAACCCAGGACCGTGAGAGAGAATCCTTGCACGTAGGGCTCCAGGACCGTGAGAGAGAACCCTCGTGCTTAGGGCTCCAGGACCATGAGAGAGAACCCTCACACATAGGGCTCCAGGACCGCGATAGAGAACTCAGGACCGTGAGAGAGAACCCTTGCACGTAGGGCTCCAGGACCATGAGAGAGAACCCTCACACATAGGGCTCCAGGACCGCGATAGAGAACCCAGGACCGTAAGCGAGAATCCTTGCACTTAGGGCTCCAGGACTGTGAGAGAGAACCCTTGCACATAGGGCTCCAGGACTGCAAGAGAGAACCCAGAACCATGAGAGAGAATCCTTGTACGTAGGGCTCCAGGACCATGAGACAGAACCCTCACGTGGGGATCCAGGACCGCGATAGAGAACTCAGGACTGCAAGAGAGAACCCAGGACCCAGGACCGTGAGAGAGAATCCTCGCACGTGGGGCTCCAGGACCATAAGAGAGAACCCTTACACGTAGAGCTCCAGGACCGTGATAGAGAACTCAGGATGGTGAGAGAGAATCCTTGCATGTAGGGCTCCAGGACCATGAGAGAGAACCCTCACGTAGGGCTCCAGGACCGCGATAGAGAACCCAGGACCGTGAGAGAGAATCCTTGCACGTAGGGCTACAGGACCGTGAGAGACAACCCTCACACGTAGAACTCCAGGACCGTGATAGAGAACTCAGGACTGCAAGAGAGAACCCAGGACCCAGAACCGTGAGAGAGAATCCTCGCACGTGGGGCTCCAGGACCATGAGACAGAAGCCTTGCACGTAGGGCTCCAGGACCACGAGAGAGAACCCTCCTGCTCTTCCCACTTGATGCTTTTGCTCACTCGGAGCGTGTTTGTGAGATGAGCCTTCACGCTGTCCTGGATCTTCTCCAGATGCGAGGTTCTTTTCTGCTGCATCCCTCCTCTGTGGTGGCACCATCTCCTCTTGCCTGAGGTGGGGAGGTGTTGGCCTCCGTAGCTGAGAAGGGCTGGGCCTGGCGGTCACCCAGCGTCTCCTGCCTGGACTTAGCAACTTGAACCAGCAGCGTCTGTCACCTCCTAGTGCCTGTTAGGAGCCCAGGTCCCCGTTCAGCCTGTCCCGGGCGGCCCTGGCCTGTGGTGCCCTGAGTTGGTCTGGGCAGGACCACTTTCAAATTAACTCACCCGGCTGCTGGTGGGATCCCGCTCCTTGTGGGCTGTTGGTGGGGGTGTGTTCTTGCACTTTGCCTTGTGGGCCCCTGCGTAGGGCAGCTCGCTGGTGGCTTCCTCAGGGTGAGCCAGCAAGGTCAGAGTCGGTCTCTTGAGGCCACCCTCACCCTCACCAGGCTCTGGTGCTTGGTGGGAGCAGGGCAGGGCAGCCCACTTGGGGGCCCCTGCAGGGCCAGGGCACTGGAAGGGATGGCTAGGGCCACCGGAGGTCGTCCCTGAGCTCTGGGGTTGTGTTTGTTCCCAGGTGTGCTCTCCAGGGTCCAGGAGGACTCGTGGGAGCTCGAGGCTGGGGTCCCAGGCCCGGCCCCAGAGGAAGGGCCTGTGGCCAGGTGCGCGGAAGGTGCTGGCTATTTGTGGTGGGCAACCCAACAGCCAAAAGGGAGGAGCAGAGAGAGTTCTCCGCAGGAGTTGATGGGGGAGCAGACAGAGTTACCCGCAGGAGTTGAGGGAGGAGCGGATGGAGTTACCTGCAGGAGTCGAGGGAGGAGCGGAGAGAGCTACTCCCTCTGTAGCTCTGAGAGGAGGACAGAGCTACTCCCTCTGTAGCTCTGAGAGGAGGACAGAGCTACTCCCTCTGTAGCCCTGTAGCGGACAGAGGAGGGACGGAGCTACCCGCAGGAGTCGAGGGAGGAGCGGACAGAGTTACCTGAAGGAGTTCAGGGAGGAGTGGATGGAGTTACCCACAGCAGTCGAGGGAGAAGCGGATGGAGTTACCCGCAGGAGTCGAGGGAGGAGTGGACAGAGTTACCCGCAGGAGTTGAGGGAGGAGTGGACGGAGTTACCCACAGGAGTCGAGGGAGGAGTGGACGGAGTTACCCGCAGGAGCTGAGGGAGGAGCGGACGGAGTTACCTGCAGGAGTCGAGGGAGGAGTGGACTGAGTTACCTGCAGGAGTCGAGGGAGGAGTGGACAGAGTTACCCGCAGGAGTTGAGGGAGGAGTGGATGGAGTTACCTGCAGGAGTCGAGAGGGGAGCGGATGGAGTTCTCCGCACGAGTCAAAGGAGGAGCGGAGAGAGTTCTGTGCAGGAGTCCCGTGCTGGGGCCAGGAGGGTCCTGGTAGCAGGCGGGGCCCATCCCAGCTGCTGTTTATAGAGTGGCCTCTTCCCCAGGTCTCTTCATTCATTATGCAGTTTAATGTGCAGTGCAAGTGTTTTCTGCCCTGGGGTCTGGCGCAGGCCACTCCAGTCCTCAGGGGGATCCCTCAGTGCAGCTGGGTCACTTTCTTCTCAGCTCTGCTTACTTTTGAAATTAAGATTGTTCCTTGACACTTTTATGGCTGTTGCGTAGGCAGAGTTGAGTGGCTGTGACAGAGACTGGGTGACCCTCAAGCCTGAATCATTTGCAGGGTCCCCCCTGAGAAGTGTGCGGCCCTGGCGTCCCTCTCTCCAGCCCTGCCCTGGGCCTGGCTTGTGAACCTGTGATGTCGGGACTGCAGGGCCCCTGCTGGGCCGTTTTCTTACCAGGCAAAATTCCTGCTTCACAGAGTTGATGCCAGGGGTGTCAAATCTTTTGTTTTCCCTGGGCCACATTGGAAGAAGAATTGTCTTGGGCCACATAAAATAGAATAACACTAACAATAGTTGAGCTAAAAAAAAAAAAAAAACGTATAATTTACAAATTTGTGTTGGGCTGCATGCAGAGGTGTCCTGGACCACATGCAGCCTGCAGGACACAGGTCGGATAAGCCTGGTTTATACTCTAGTGGGGAGCTGTTAGCAATGGAAATGGTCAGTTGTTCAGTAGATTAGAAAGTGCAGAGAAGAGCAGGGCAGAGAAGGGTGAGACAGCGTGGGGTCCAGGTGTATGCCCCACCTGGCTGCTGTGTGTTGCTTGCTGACCCCCTCATGGGCCTTCGAGTGTAAGGGAGAGTCCTCTTCATGCCCTCGCACCCTCCTGGGTCTCTAGGGCTTGTGTGTCCCCAGGGGAGGAGCCCCCTGGACACACCCTGGCGGGTGCTGGCTGGCAAAGAGGGAGGCGTTGAGGGCCCGGGCAGCGCCTCCATCCTGGCCAGGCAAGTGCAGCTTCAGGTTGTGAGAACCGTGGTCACCTGTGTGTTTTAAAGATGACGGCAGTGATAGGTCCCCTTTTGGGCCTGGCATGGAAATTAGTCACATTCGTAGACCCTGTCACAGAGTGGGCACTGGTGATGTCATCTTTTATAGTTCTTATTTTCAATTGATTCAGCTTTTTCTAGCAGCATGGCGTGTTTTACGAACGTGTGTTTTGCTGTTACTGCTGCTACTCATAGTATGGTTTTGTCTAATGTAAGACAGAAGAGAATAATCTACTGTTATCTCCATGAAGTACAAACACAAATACAGTTGAATATAGTTTTTCTAATAGAAATTAAGGTTAGTTTTAGCCAAGGAGCACCTTTGCTGTTGGCTTATATGTTAATGTGTTTAGCACCTTGAGGTGTCCTTACTGGCAGGTAGGGTTGCATCTTGAGTGTAAAGATTTAACAGGAAAATAAGTCCAGTGCACATGTCTTAAAATTAATAGCAATTTCAGCAATATGTTAAAAACACGAAGCTAGGCCAGGCGTGGTAGCTTACACCTGCTTGAGCCCAGGAGTTCGAGACCAGCCTGGGCAGCGTAATGAGACCTCGTCTCTACTACAAATAAAAAAAAATTAGCCAGGCATGGGGTGCATGCCTGTCCCAGCTACTTTGGAGGCTGAGGTGAAAGGATGGCTTGAACCGGGAAGGTCAAGGCTGCAGTGAGCTGAGATCTTACCACTGCACCCTAGCATGGGTGACAGAGTAACAGCCTGTCTCAAAAAAAAAAAAAAAAAAGGCAAATTAAACTATTTGTGTTTTGGTGGTGCTTGTTACTGAGTTCCTGTGGGTCACAGCCCACAAGAAATGCAAGGAGGACCCACATGAGGGTCTTTCCTACAGCTCCTTACATGCTCAAGCTGGTAATTGTGGTCTAGTAGTAGCTACTGAATATCAACCCATAAGAATGACTTCATATTAAAAAACCACAGAGGCTATAATTGGGTCTGTCTTAGTAAGTTCTAAAGTGTCAGTAGAGACCCAGACTCACACCCACACTCCTAAGGGCAGGACACAGGGGAGGCTGTGGCCTTGGATCCTGTGTGGCTGAAATGGGGTTGCCTATTCAGGTGCTGAGTTTGAGATGGGAGCTGGCCCCTGGCCTGGAGAGTGGGGACTTGTGCCGAGGCCACTTTGCTGTTGCCCAGCAGGCCAGCGTGCACCCCTTGCGCATCCTGTTGACACGAGCACTGAGCGGACAGACCTCGGCTGTCCTGTTAACAGGTCCCACTTAGCAGCCTCCGTTTACAGCCAGCCCGGGACCTGCCTGGCAGGACCCCTGGTAGTTCTGTGTCATAGGAGCCCCTCTTTGTTCCAGGCCAACCAGGACAGGCGGTCACCCCACATACAGGGTTCTGAACGTTCTGACGTTACAGCGGGGGTCTGGTGCTGTTGTCTCAGGCAGGAATGGAGGCTGAGGGTCTGCACGTTTACTGCTGTGTGCAGGCCCCGTCCCAGGAGCGAGGTGGAGCCCATGTGAGGAGGTTGTGGTCTTTGTAAAGGTGAGCAGCAGCGAGTCATGAACTGCAAGCTCTTGGTAGGTTTTGGACGGGACGTGGCTGGCTGAGCTTCCTCTTGGCTGTGTGGAGCCTCAGCAGGGCGTTGTGTTTGACGGCAAATGGGAATTAAATCATGGCATCGTCACTGTCTTTTTTAGGGACGATGCTGCACTTAGTTCTTGCGACTCTTCCTGTTGTCAGTTGGGGCGGGGGGGCGTCATAACATTCTTTCCTGTCCTTGGGGGTCACCTTCCAGGAAAGGGGTGGGTGTCAGAGAGTGAGTGTGGCTTTGAAAGGCTGGTGTTGAGTGGGATCTCGTTTTTCAGGTGATGGTGCCAGTGATCTTTCCGTGCGGAACTAAGTTTATGCAGGGTTCAAGATCCATTCAAAGATAAATTCAGTGACGACCTGGTTGATGAAAAGAACCACTTTTTTTTAATGTTCTAGAGAAAACTCTTTAACTGCTGTATTACTTATCTATTGCTGTGAAACAGACAAATGTAGTGGCTTAAAACAACAATAAGCTGTCTTCTCCCACACAGCGGCTGTGGGTCAGGAGTTTGGGAGTGGCTCAATTGGGTGCTGCTGTCCTGGATTCTCATGCAGTTGCAGTTGAGATGTTGCCCAGCTCTGCAGGCCTCAAGGCCAGGGTCTGGGAGTCTGCTTCCAAGATGTCTCACCCTCGCAGCAGTAGCAGGAGGAGCCCTCAGCACCAGGACCACCTCAGGGCCGCTTGAGTATCCTCACACCGTGGCACCAGCTTTCGCCAGAGGGCAGGGAGTGACCTAGCTTCAGAAGTTGCCCCTTATTTCCATCCTCCTGGGGGTCACAGAAGTCAGTTCAGGGAGGAGAAGGTGGCACGGTGGTGAGTGTCTGCAGGGGATCCTGTGGGAAAGCAGCGCAGTGGTGAGTGTCCGCAGGGGATCCTGTGGGAAGGCGGTGCGGTGATGAGTGTCCAAGGCGGCGCGGTGATGAGTGTCCATAGGGGATCCTGTGGGAAGGCGGCGCGGTGGTGAGTGTCCGCAGGGGATCCTGTGGGAAGGCGGCGTGGTGGTGAGTGTCCGCAGGGGATCCTGTGGGAAGGCGGCGCGGTGATGAGTGTCCGCAGGGGATCCTGTGGGAAGGCGGTGCGGTGATGAGTGTCCATAGGGGATCCTGTGGGAAGGCGGCGTGGTGGTGAGTGTCTGCAGGGGATCCTGTGGGAAGGCGGCGCGGTGATGAGTGTCCGCAGGGGATCCTGTGGGAAGGCGGTGCGGTGGTTGAGTGTCCGCAGGGGAGCCTGTTGGAAGGCCGCGTGGTGGTGAGTGTCCGCAGGGGAGCCTGTTCTGGTTGCTTGGGCTGCTGTCACAAGAATGCCATGACCATGAACTGGGCAGCTTGTAAACAACAGGAATCCACCGCTCACAGCTCGGGAGCCTGGGAGTCCACCATCAAGGCCCTGGTAGGTTTGGTGTCCAGTGAGAACCACTTCTTGGCTGGTAAATAGCGTCTTCTTGCCGTGCCCTCTCCTGGTGGAAGGGCCAGGGAGCCCCTTTATCAGGGCACATACTCCATCCAGGAGGCTGTGCCTTCATGGCCCAGTCACTTCCAAATACCGTCCCAAGCAGGATTAGGAGGACCACATGTGAAGACGCCGCACAGCCTTCCTGGAGGCTGTGTGCCCCAGCCCTGCCATCAGCTGCCTGCTCCCGCTCACGTCTCCCCAGTTCACCTGCCTCCAGTGCTGGTTTATAGAACATTTGTGTGACTTCTTCAGATGATCTGTAAACAGAGGCAGTCTAGGTGGTGTTTTGTTTTCTAATTTCCTTTATGGAAAGGAGAGTTTGCATTTCCCTTGTGATTTTGACACACATTGTATTATGAAATATTTTCAGTGTTTGTCAAACTCGGTGTGGGGTAAGCGCATCCCACCAAGATAGGCGCTTACAGGCAGCCAAGGAACCCACCGTGTGGTTTCCTTTTAGGTTGGATTTCCTGTCTTACAGCCTCATGTTCCTAGTTGGAAATTAAGGTTGAGACTGTAGCCAGGTGTGCATTTATTCATCCGCCAGCTCTGGAGAGGTCTGCTTTAGAGGCCCTGCGGCCCCAGAAGTCATGCCTCTGAGTCCGTGGTTCTTAGCTGAGGGTGGCTTTGCAGTGTCCGGAGATGATTCTGGTTGTCCCACCCAGGGTGAATGAAGGCTGAAGATGCCGCCAAACACCCTGCAGGGAGGCTGGCCCCTGACAGAGCCGTGCAGGCGGCAGCGGCAGCACTGTTGCTGCGGCTGAGACAGCGCAGGGCGTCATTCATCCCCCTGCCTCCTGAGCCCAGAGCTTCTCCAGGAGAAAGCTGAGGAAAGGGGCCAGCCGTGAGCTGCGGGTGCTTGCCAGGGATCTGGTGACACCTGGGCATGTGGCTGGTGGAACCAGCAGGCCAAGGCTGTGGATTTTGAAGTGCTGTCTGCCATTTCCACTTTCAGAAGCATGAGTTGCATAAGGAAGGGGAATGAAAGGGTTTTTCCTGGAGCAAAATGATGCTTGTGGCAGACACAGTTGGAACCACAGACGATGCCACGCTTGTGTCAGCAGTGCGACACTGGCCCACGTGTCGTCCTTGTTCTCTCCTCATTGCTGCCGTCACTGTGTGCTGCGCATGCCCTGCAGTTACCCCAGAGCTTTATGTCACAACATTGAGGCTGGCGGAGAAAGACCGGCCCCTTCACCCCACCTTAGACTTCCTGGAAGGGCCGCCCGGGTCCACAACCTGGCCCGTTAACTCCCTGGGCAGCTGCTGGGGAGGAAGAAGCACTGCCCGCAAGGAGGGGCTGTGCCAGTGGGTGGCGGTGACGGGGGCCAGTGGTTTCCTGGACCTGGGTTTCCTGGGTGTGGGCTACTCAGGGATTGCTGAGTTCCCATCCCAGCCGGAGCTGACCACCAAGTCGACGGGGCAGAGTGAGAAACATCCAGGCCACCTGTGCCGCAGCCCCCATGGCTGCCGAGGTCTCCCCTGGGCAGGGGCAGTTGGTGTTCTCGCAGGGCCTGTGTTGGTGCATATGAGGAGTGTTTTCTGTGAGCAGCGGTGGAACATTTACAGACACGAGCGTCACAGTGGCTGGGCAAGGCCCGTGGCTGAGTGCACGGTGGCCCTGGGCGGGGCTCCTCTGTTGGGGCCTGACTTGCTGGCATTTCATGGAGGCCGCAGGCAGCCGCTCTTCCTGGGGGTCTTCCACATGCCCTGCAGGCATGGGGAGGAGCAGCCCCCACTCTGTCTCTGCCCATCAGGCTGCCCCCGCCAACAGAAAAAAGGCACTGTGCCACCCGGGGCAGTGCGTTCCCAGTGCCAGTCCCTGGCCCTGTACTTTTTAGCAGGCGCTCATGCTCATCCTGGTGAGGGAGGGCGATAGACAGGGACAGCGGTGCAAAATGGCTTCAGAGCCTGAACCACGGTTGCCACAGGCTGGGGCTGGAGTGCAGACACCATACAGGGGAACTGGGCAGAGCCCTGGCTGTGCAGGCGGGAGGGCAGTCATCCTCCACAGCTGGGACTTGCTCCGTCAGACCCCCAGCAGGGCTTCCTCCAGCTCCACGCACACGGGGCTGGAGCATGCTGCACTCCCACACAGATGCTCGAGCTGGGCCCAAGCCTGACCAGCCCTGGCCGAGGCCCTTGACTCCTGGCCTCACCCACCACGCCTTAACCTCCTGGCTGTAACTTCCTGGCCTTACCCTTCTGGCCTTACGCACCTGGCTGTTCTCTCCTGGCTGACCCACCTTGTGTTTAACTTCTCGGTCTTACCCAGTGTGCTTGCTTTCACCTCCTTGGTCATAGTCACCTGACCTTAACCTACTTTGCTGTAGTGTCTTGGCCTTCATCTCCTGTGGGTTCTAGCCCACCATAGCCACTTGGCCGTGTGTACCTGGCTCAGCCACCTGTCCAGACCCACTCGCCTTTTTCTAACTGGCCGTACCCTCCTGCCCTTTCTCTCCCAGGCTTAACGTCTCGGCCTTACCAACCTGGCCTGGATGGTAGTGCCCTCATGGTGACCAGGACATCTAGCGTCTCACACCTGTAACACACTAATGGGTGCCAGCACAGAGCCACGCATGCCGGCCTTCAGGCACCATCGTTGACCGCACGTCATGCTTTTCCTGGTGTCGTATGTTTGTGCCAGCGTAGCCCTCTGCGGGGCCTGTGCCGGTGCTGTGTCAGGTGTGGTGGCCTCAGAGCGCCTCCTGGGTGCAGTCAGGTTCTTGCTCCACGGCTCTTTTCCTTGATATTGCGTCACACGCCGTCTGTGGGCCCCTGGGGGTGGTGGAGCCTTGATCCCAGCCCCTTGGTGTGGCCAGTGGGATGCAGCCCCCCTGCACATCCTACCTCACCTGGCTCTGTGTGCAGGTGGTCAATGGGACATCCACCCACCTCCCAGCAAGTCCCACAGCCAGGGCTGGGACGGTGCCTGCTGGACAGCTAGACTCAGAAAGTGCAGTTGGACCCGGTTGGAACGGCAGTAGTGACTGTCTTTTTTTTTTAGCGTCCTAGGATGTGAACTTGCCGTGGTCCTCGGGCTTACGGGCAGCCCTGGCTTTCCTCATCTTCTGTGGGGAAGTGGAGTTGTGAAGATGCCCAGGAAATTGCCCAGTGGTCTTGCAGTGGTCGTCTTGCTGGGCTTTGAGTCTTGGCTGCCTCCCCTGTGTCCCCTGACTGTTACCTGGGTGGCACCAGGGGGTCTTGGCGTCTCCTTGTTCCCATGGTGTGTCCCCTGACTGTTACCTGGGTGGCACCAGGGGGTTGTGGCGTCTCCTTGTTCCCATGGTGTTATCTACGGAAGGGTGCATTCGGGTGCCTTTACCCTCAGCGAAGGCAGCAACCCTCATCGCTGCCCCCCAGCCCCACTGCCTGAGGTGCGTGGCCTCCTGGGACCCTGGGTACTCAAGCATGCTGCCGTGTGTGTGCTCACACTCAGGCTGCCACGCCTGTGCTGCCAGCACGCCACTCCCAGAGGCCGCCCCTCCAAGGCCTCCTCTTGGGATGGCTTTTCCTTCGCAGAGCCCGGCCTCTGGGGACTGACATTTTGTTGGGACTAGGAAGAGAATAAAAGATTTCCATGGCTTTCTGGAGAAGCAGGATGAGGTTGACAGTTCTGATAGGAGTCCCCCTTAATGTGTCTTGCCGTGTGGCTGTACCATTACGCGTGTGCTCTTGCCGTGTGGCTGTACTGTCATGTGTGTGCCCCTGCTGTGTGGCTATACTGTCATGTGTGTGCCCCTGCTGTGTGGCTGTACCGTTATGCGTGTGTGTCCTGTGTGGCTGTAGCATCACTCATGTGCCTCTGCCATGTGGCTGTACCATCACGTTTGTGTGTGCTTGCTGTGTGGCTGTACTGTCACGTGTGTGCCCTGACGTGTGACTGTACTGTCATGCGTGTGCCCCCACCGTGTGCTGTACCATCACACGTGTGACCCCGCTGTGTGGTTGTGCCATCATACGTGCCCCCACTTTGTGGCTGTGCCATCACACATGTGCCCCCGCTGTGTGGCTGTGCCATCACGTGTGCCCCCGCTGTGTGGTTGTGCCATCACGTGTGCCCCCGCTGTGTGGTTGTGCCATCATACGTGCCCCTGCTTTGTGGCTGTGCCATCACACATGTGCCCCCGCTGTGTGGCTGTGCCGTCACGTGTGTACCCCTGCTTTGTGGCTGTGCCGTCACACGTGTGTCCTTGCTGTGTGGCTGTACTCTTACCTGTGCCACACTTAAATAGAATGTGTTTAACATTCTATTGTGAACATTTTCCTCATCATTACAATCTTGATTTTTCAAGACTGTGTGGATTCTGTAAGTCATGGCTAATTCCTGGTGGACGGTGCTGTTTTGGCCCTGTAGGTGCCATGGTGATAGTGACATTCCTTCTCCGGACCTGGCGTTCTCCTGGTTGTTCCTGGAGTTGCTTGCTTAACTGTGGTCCTTCTGCCTTTTTATGACGTTATTTGATAGAACCCTTGAGGGTGGTTTTAAACACCCCTAGTTTCGTAGCCCTTTTAGCTGTCATATTTATTATTGTTTTGTTGCTTTCCGCAGGCCGGTCTAATTGAAGCCAACGGAGAACTCAAGGTCTTCATAGACCAGAACCTTAGTCCCGGGAAAGGTAAGGGCACCTGTTCTGGACACACTCTTGTGTTGATGAATGCATGAAGCTTCACATGTTTATGAAGCTGTTGACGCTGAAGCCTCTTGCTAATGATGGCATCTCCTGCATGGGCACCTTTGTGCTCCGGGAACCCAGGAGGGTGGGCGTAGGAGCCTTCTAGCATTTAGAACACAGCCTGCACACACACCAGTAGCTTTGTGGATTTTGAATTCTAAGGTATGTATACTATTTGCAAAAGTTTAGAAAAGGTAGAATATTGTAAAGAAGAAATAAAGATAGTTTGTTTTCTCTCCACCCAAAGATAATGACGTTTCAGCTGTGGTGTGGGCTCTTCCAGAGGCCGGCCTCACCTGTGCTGTTTGAGGAAAGATGGGCCTACCATGGTGCATGCCTTCTGCGAAGCAGGCACTTGCCACCTTTAACGCTTCGCGTGTGTATTTTACTAGCTCTTGAGGAAGAGCCGTTTTTCTTGTCTTGGGGAATCCAGGGGAGGAAGTCAGCTGGAGAGGTTGAAGCCACCTCTTCCAGGGTCCCACGGTTGGTAGTTTCCATTTTACACCTCGGAGTGGTGCTGTGGTTTACGTTCGTGAAGGTGTGTGTGCTCACCTGGTTACTTCCTGGGTAAACTCCTTACCTGTGCTGGGTCAGGGCACGCCATTTAGAAGCTTTGATGTGCGATGCTTGGCCCCTCGTGAGAGGCTGTGCTGTGTGGATCTGGGATTGCGTGCAGGGTAGTTCGTTGTGGTTTGTTGCGATATTCCTGGGAGACAAGCTTGTGGAAGAGCTTGCTTTGTCCCAAGACCTGTCTGCCTGCAGAGCCTAGTGGGTCCACTGAGTGCCCTGGTCGCAACATCCACGTGGTCGCATCAGCCCAGGGAGGAGCCCAGAGGCCTGGATGTGTTTCCGTTTTGGGTTCCTAAAAGGAACCTTAAGATTTTTCTAATTATTCCCATATATAAAATTAGCTTTTTTTACTCTTAACATTGTGACCCTTGTAAGTGACCTCTCAGTGCTTGCCATGGCTCTGGGGCGTGGGAGTGTGGTGACCAGGCCCCCACCTCTCTGCTGAGGCTTGGCCTTGCCACCCGTCCCTTTCTGTCCAGTGCTGGTGCGGGCGCCCATGGTGCCATCTGCCTCCAACCCCTACATGCTGTGGATCCAGGTGTCTCCTTGGGGCCTGTCCCTAGGTCCTGCTCTGGTCTCTTCCTTGAGAGAACTTGGCTTTGTGACCTGAGCCAGCCTGCAGCCTCCCCAGCCTCCTGCTGTCCCCGGGCCCTGTCAGAGGGAGGTGGTGGGACTGGCCCTGCTCTTCTGCTGAAGCAGGTCCTTCCCTGCCGCTTTTCTAGGAATAGGGACCAAATCTACGCAGCCCTTTTGGGATTATTTATGAGCTTTTTGTCTTGATCATTTGAGGATTCACAGATTGCTTGAGAGAAATATCGTTTTAGTGTAACTAATTGAACACTTAAAAGTGGACAAGTTGCAGGCGTGACATTTTCTGTTCAAGTGGTGAAGCAGAAATAACAATAAAAAAGTTCACCATTTTATTTGCTTGGAAATGATGAAGTCTGTTACTATGGTGTTGAATTTGAATTTCTCTTGTTAGGTTACATGCAGTAGGCTTTCTTACCACATGTGGGCTGTCTCCTTTTCCATTCTTACTCACAAATCTGTGCTTGAATCTGTAACAAGTTTAATTGAGCTGAAGAGTTGAATTGCAGGGATTAGGAAGGAACATATTCTGCATTCATGACATAGCTGAAAATGTTCTGGTTTTGAGCCGGCCCAGCAGGGCCGTGCATTTCCCCTCAGCTCGCCCCGCGTGCCCCGGCCCCCAGATCCCTCCCACATGAGCCTTGGGACGGTCAGTTCTTTCCCTGGATCGCCGGCAGCAGCTCCTGGACCTCCCCTGCCCTCACCTGGTGTTGATTCCACCGCACAGACGGTGGTTTTTGTTGTTGTTGTTTTGGAGATGGAGTCTCACTCTGTCGCCCAGGCTGGAGTGCAGTGGCGCCGTCTCGGCTCACTGCAACCTCTGCCTCCCGGATTCAAGCGATTCTCCTGCCTCAGCCTCCAGAGTAGCTGGGATTAGAGGTGCCCACCACCATATCCAGCTAATTTTGTATTTTTAGTAGAGATGGGGTTTCACCATGTTGGTCAGACTGGTTTCGAACTCCTGACATCATGATCCGCCCACCTTGGCCTCCCAAAGTGCTGGGATTACAGGCGGGAGCCACTGCACCCGGCCACACGTGGTTATTTTAAATTTGCTTTTGAATCAGTGACACGTTCATGTTTTTAAATTTTGAAGTATGAAAAGGTGCAGAGAGGTTTCCTTTTTTCCTCTTCTGTCCATGCAGGTGAGCACCAATGTTCACTTCCGGTGTTCGTTCCAGAGAATTCTGTTTAACAAATAGAATGGTTTGTTGGTGTTTGCATGTGTCTGTGTCAATATGTGTGCATGAGTGTGTGTGAGGAATGTGTGTGTCACTGAGTGTGCATACGAGTGTGTGTGTGCATGAGTGTGTGTGTGTATGCGTGAATGCGTGGGTATGTGAGGAGTGTGTGTGCATGTGTGTCTGCGTGAATGCGTGGGTATGAGTGTGTGTGTGCATGAGTGTGTGTGTGTATGCGTGAATGCGTGGGTATGTGAGGAGTGTGTGCATGAGTGTGTCTGTGTGTATGCGTGAATGCGTGGGTGTGTGAGGAGTGCTTATCAGTGCATTGTGCGTGTGGAGTGTCTGTGCGTGTCTGTTCATGGGTTGCATATGTGTTGAGTGTGCATGTGTGTTGAGTGTGCATGAGTTGTGTGAGTGGATGTGAGTGTACCTGTGAGTTTGCGTGTGTGTGCATGCGTGTGAGTTGTGTGCGTGTGTGTGCATGTGAATTGTGAGGAGTGCATATGGAGTGCATGTGTTGTGAGTGTGCATGAGTTCACGTGAGTTGTGTCAGTTGTGTGCGTGCGTTTGTGAGTTGTGTGTGAGATGTGTGTTGTGTGCATGAGTTGTGTGCATGAGATGTATGTGAGTTGTGTGCATATGCACGTGTGAGTTGAGTTGTGTGCATGGAGTGTTATGTGCGTGTGCATGTGTGTGTGTTGTGTGCATGAGTTGAATGAGTTGTATGTGTGTGTTGTGTGCGAGTTGAGTATGATGTGTGTGCGTGTGTGAGTTGAGTGTGAGTTCTGATTGTGCGTGTGTGTGAGTTGTGTGTGTGTAAGCGTGCAGTCCTCGCCTCCCCAACAGACACCTGTCTTCACTAGTGGGCCCCCCTTGCCTCTAGTTGGGAGTGGGGTGGTCCAGGCAGGGTCCTCGGCGCCCTTAGATGGAGCCGTTGCAGCTGCTTTTTGAGTTGCCCTCGGCGGTGCCAGTGAGCAAGGCTCTGCCTTCCTCCGTTTGTGCCCTGGGAGCCCAGGGCATGGTCGGTAGCACTTTGAGGGCTGTAGAGGCCTCCCTTGAGTCAGACCTTGAGGAAGGACAGGAGCTGTCCAGGTGAGAGTGGATCAGGGGAAGGTAGAGGGGACCAGCCCAGCCGAGGCTCCTCATGGGCCCCTGGCCCTGGTCCTGGTCCTCCCAGCTCCACTCCACGTCACAGCCTCCCGGGGCCACTGTGTCTCTTCCTGCTGCTGCTGTGGGGGGCCTGTGTCCAGTTCCCCACTGTGTCAGCGTTCTCTAAAGTAGCAGCCAGTGAGCGACGGGAACCTGGGTGGGGACTCACTACAGGACCCACCTAGCCATAGTGGGGCCGTCAGGGCGGAACCTGCAGGGTGGTTGGTGGTGAATTCCTTTTCTGGGAAAATGCAGGTGTTGCTCTGAAAGCCTTCAGTGGGTTAGACGAGGCCCACCTGCATCGAGCACAGTCTCCTTTGCTTAACGGCTCCTCTTTGAGGAGCTCCGCGGCAAGTTCTCGGCTGGCCTTTGGCTGAATAATGGATAGAGCACCGTCAGGTTGACACGTAAAACTGACTGTCACACCCTTCGAGGCTTAGAAGGCTGCTTTCCACCCAGAGAAATGCACCAAACTCGAGACATTTTGCATCCACAGGCTCCCCAAGGATGGGAGTCCCAATGTGGAGGTTTGGCAATACATCTTACGTGGGCCATTTTAGTTGTGGCTGTTTGGGTTGCCTCTGATTGTTTCCTGAGAGCAAAATGCTGGTGTGAACATTTGCACACACACTTTGTGTGTCTGGCAGTTCCACTTCCTCACCAGCATTTGGTAGTGGTGGGTTTTTAGGCTTTCTGTGTCACAGGTGGGCTCTTACTCATATCATGCCTACGGCCCCGCAGTGCTGATAGGAGCTTTTCCTCTCGCTTTGCCTGGTCCACCCTGCCCCTGTCTGAGGGTGACCTGGCCCCATGGCTGCCTGCACTCTCCTCCCTGATGTGTGCAATCCTGCCCGGCCTGTGCCTCGTCCTCAGGGAGGCCATCCGGGAGGCCACAGCTGGCCTGGAAGTGTGCTTGTCTGTCTCTACCTCAGGGCTGCTTGTGCACCTCCTGTACCTAGAGGTGATCCAGGCTCACTGAGAATCTGCCCACACTGTTCCACACGTTTAGGCCAGGTGCAGGGGCTCACACCAGAAATCCCGGTGCTTTGGGAGACTGCAGTGGGAGGATTGCTTGAGGCCAGGAGTTCAAGACCAGTCTGGGCAACAACGGGAGACCCCATCTCTATAAAAAATTTTAAAAAAAAGTAGCCAAGCATGGTGGCGCATGTCTATAGATAGTCCCAGCTACTTGGGAGGCTGGGGCAGGAGGATCGCTTGAGCCTGGGAGGTCGAGGCTGCAGTGAGTTGTGATTGTGCCACTGCACTCCAGCCTGAGTGACAGAGCCAGACCCTGTCTCAAAATGAGTAGGCTGGGCATGGTGGCTCAAGCCTGTATCCCAGCACTTTGGGAGGCCGAGGCAGGTGTATCACCTGAGGTCAGGAGCTCAAGACCAGCCTAGCCAACATGATGAAACCACCTCTCCACTAAAAATATAAAAATTAGTGGGGCGCTGTGGTACACGCCTGTAATCCCAGCTACTCAGGAGGCTGAGGCAGGAGAATCACTTGAACCCTGTAGGCGGAGGTTGCAGTGAGCTGAGATTGCTCCACTGCACTCTAGCCTGGGTGACAGAGTGAGACTCTGTCTCCAAAAAAAAAAAAAAAAAGAGTAAGTGTGTAAGTGTACATTTGAGCGTGCACTTTCGCAGCTGGTGCGTGGAGTGTCTGTCCTCTCCATGCCGTGTGGTGGCTCCTGTCTGTAGTCACTGGGACCCTTCCAGTCACGGTTTCGGTGGCTGCGTTTTGCTACCTTTTGTTATTTGCTGCCGTTTTCTCGTAGAGTGCTCATGATTTTTAACATAGTAAATCCGTGGAGAGCGCTCAGGTACAGATCATGGCTGTGTGCAGTGCAGGCTCACCGTCTGCGGCGCCAGGCCGGGTCCCTCGTTTGCTGCTCATCTGGGAGTGCCCAGCACATGTGGCCATTGATTATACATATCCTCTTAGCCCAGAATGACTGCTTACTAAAGAGCATCTCCCTTTGTTGTGTCTTTACTTTCCTCCTGCTTCAATCTCATATCTGTCGGCTTTAGGGTTCTAAGTGGAGGAGGAAATTTAGCAATGATGTGTGGTCAGAAGCTTAGTGTTGCTTACGTAATTCCTCACTCGTGACCGTCGCCTGTGAACTAACTGTGCCCCTTGCCCCCCGACACACGCACTGGTCTTTGTAGAGCTGTTAGGAAGGGGGTTATAGGAAGGGAGGGTATAAGTTTTGGTTGGCCTCTTCAAACTGCCAGCCTCCTACAAAACTGTCAGGAGAGGCCATCAGCTTTTTCTCTCTTTGTATTTCTCTGTTTTTAACCCGAAGGATGTTAAAAGCCCAGCCTCTGTTTTTAGCCCAGTCATGACATTTCTGTGGCCGTAACCCTTGTTCCAGGTGTGAGATGGTGACTCTTGGATGCAGGGTAGCCTCCCAGAGCTTTGTGTGTTTGTATAGAGAGGTTTGTGGGAGTGACTTGAGCCGTGCTGTGAACTTGGACTAGCACCCGTGTGTTCTCAGGAGCGGGTCCTGCTGGAGGCCCAGCCACGTCAGGCACAGTAGGTGTGTGATTTGTGCAACGGAGGCCTCTGATAACTGCCAGAGTAGATAGCTTTTGTGTGGGAGCTGCCTCAGCCTGCATTCCAGGAGCTCAGGTTTCCTGAGTCTGAATGGAGTCTGGAGAGAGCAATGTCTCCATGGAGCGGGTGCCTGGCTGTGGTCGCTTAGGCAGGAGCTTCCTCCTCAGTGCTGACAACAGAGAAGAACATTCTGTTGTGGCCAGTCAAGTGTGCACAAATGCTGCTTGCGAGCCAGTCACAGAGGCACTCACATGCAGAGCCGCTCACCTGCAGAGCCGCTCACCTGCAGAACCGTTCACCTGCAGAGCCCTTCACCTGCAGAACCGTTCACCTGCAGAGCCCTTCACCTGCAGAACCATTCACCTGCAGAGCCGCTCACCTGCAGAACCCTTCACCTGCAGAGCCGCTCACCTGCAGAGCCCTTCACCTGCAGAACCCTTCACCTGCAGAGCCGCTCACCTGCAGAGCCGCTCACCTGCAGAGCCGCTCACCTGCAGAGCCGCTCACCTGCAGAGCTGCTCACCTGCAGAGGGGTTGTGCTTGGCCAGATAAGCAAACAAAACATCTCCAGCATGGTGGGCAAAATAGTAACTCTTAGACATCTGGCTCTGACAACGTAAAGATGTTAAAATTGTTTTTCAGAAAATACAAAACTGTATGGTTTCATAATTTATCTTAAGCCCTATAGATATTAATAGAATAGGATTAGTAATGATAAAAACGTGAATACTATATTTAGACTCCTTTTTCTGTTAATGGATTATAGCAACTGAGACCATATATATTCTTAACTAGTTTTCTTCCCAAGAAAGGAATTCTCCATTTAAAATGCTGTATATAAAATGTTTTTAATTAGTTCATTTGAAAAACGCTGTGTAGTGCCTTTTACAGTTGAAACAATATTATTTCTATTGAGTTGGCTTGTGGGCCATGTCTTCATGTGACTCAGCTTGTCCCTGAAATGTTAGCCCTCCTCCCTCCCATGCATAGATTGTGTGGCAGTCTTATCAAGAAAATGTGTGGAACACTCTACTCTACTTATATTGCCAGATTAAAACTAAATGATTGGCTGGGCGTGGTGGCTCACACCTGTAGTCCCAGCACTTTGAGAGGCCAAGGCGGGTGGATCGCTTGAACTCAGGAGTTCAAGACCAGTCTGGGTGATGTGGCGAAACTCTGTCTCTACAAAAAATACAAAAATTAGCCGGGTATGGTTGTGCGAGCCTGTAGTACCAGCTACTTGGGAGGCTGAGGTGGGAGGATCCCTTGAACCGGGAGGTGGAGGTTGCAGTGAGCTGAGATTCTACAACTGCACTCCAGCCTGGGTGACAGAGTGAGACCCTGTCTCAAAAACAACAACTACTACTACTAATTGAAATAACATTCTATCCTGAGGTGGACAAAAAAAGTGGTGGGGAGCGGCAGCCTGGCTGCCACTGGTGCGTCTGGCCTGGAATGACCACTTGGGGAGCTGGGTGGACTCTGGGACAGCGGCCGCTGGGACCCGGGCTTCCCTGGTGGCAGGTGTGCCGAGGAAAACACACAGCATGTGGTTCAGTAATAACAAACAGCATTTTCATATGACATCTGTGTTCATATGACCACTTTATTATAATGGCATAGCATAACAGCATTTAAGGAAATCAGCCTGACGGCTCTATGTATGGGTAAATCTGAAACACAATGTTGGCAGAATTGCAGAATGCGAGCCATATAATATTTGTCTGTGTTTCAGACGCACACAAAAACAATCATTTATAGCCTTAGGTTCAGCACATCCTGGAAAAGTATGAAAAATAAAGTGAGTACGTCCCTGCAGGCCCTGGGAGTTGCACACAGGGCAGACTCGGGGGGAGGCTGAGGATCCTGGGGACTGTAATTTTATTTCTGCTCTTTATGTCTCTATGAAACTTGAAGCAAGTATGATGATAACAGTGAATTTTAAGTGTACTGGAATAAAATTGTCATGTTATTGTTTGTATTTGAAAAGTTTCTCAGTGAATAGAAACAAGAAGCCCGGCTGGGCGTAGTGGCTAACACCTGTAATCCCAGCACTTTGGGAGGCCGAGGCAGGCGGATCACCAGAGGTCAGGCGTTCAAGACCAGCCTGGCCAACATGGTGAAACCCTTCTCTACTAAAAATACAAAAGTTAGCCAGTGTGGTGGCAGGTGCCTGTAGTCCCAGCTACTCAGGAGGCTGAGGCAGGGGAATCGCTGGAACGCGGGAGGCGGAGCTTGCAGTGAGCCGAGATCATGTCACTGCCCTCCAGCCTGGGCGACACAGTGAGACTCCATCTCAAAAAAAAAACAAAAAAAAAAAAAAAAAAAGAAGAAGCCCACCCACCCAGGTCTGGCCCCAGAAGCCACTGCCACTGCCCTTTCCAGCCTGTACGTCTGGGTGTGGGTCTGAGATGTATTCAGGGAGGGGCCTTGCTGCTCGCTGTGGTCGGGTGGCTGTGCAAGCTCAGCCCCTATCTCCAGGCCCTTCTGAAGTGCTGCTCGGGGCCGGACAGGGGGTATTCACCCTCAGCCTCAGGATTTCTTTCTTCTCCCTGTTACTGATGTACGTACCCTGCCCTCTGTCCCGTAGAGACTCAGCTGGTGACCCAGGGGTGCTGCTGGGTTGGTGTGGTGTGCCACTCAGAGGTCCTCTGTTGGTTTGTGTCTAGGCTGGGAGGGGCCCTCTGTGCTTGGCAAGGCCTTGGGCTCCGAAACCCTTTACCTGCAGCTGGTGTGGGGGCTCAGACTCCAGGTGGACAGCAGGAGTGAGTGGGGAAGCTCAGGGGCCCTGGATGTCTGCCTGCATTCACTCATCCTGCCCTGGGTACCAGAGGAGGGACCCTCTTCCCTCTGTGTGTTTGTCTCCCCCTTCCTAATTGTGAAAACCCTTAGCGACCCACCCCAGCCTCACGGTGCTGGCCTCTGGCCCAGAGGGAGAGACCTGGTTGGAAGGACAGATGGTGTAGGCAGGCCAGCCGGCCGGCCTGTGGGTGGAGCAGATGGAGGGCAGGCCGGATGCCCCGAGGGTCTCAGCTACACTGCTGTCCCACAGCCCCACCACCACCTGAATCCCTGAGTCCTACCCACACTCCCTGATGGGGCAGGAAAGGGGAGCCCCAGACTGGGATGCCTGAGTGTATGCTACCTGTGGTGCTGGTGGACGGGCGCCGTGGCCTGGCTGTTCAGGACGGAAAGAGCCGCCTGGGCTGCTGATGGAGAGTGACAGTGCCACTGGCTTTTGTGAACTCAGAGGTCTGTTTCTTTCTTCACATTTATTGAAATTAGAGACTCGTTTGCAAATTTTAAAAGATGTTATCTTTGTAATGAATCAACTACATATTCTTGAAAACTGAGTGTTTACTCATCTGTATGTGAATCTGAAAAGTGTTTAATTGCGTACTTTAAATCATTCCCTGCATAGTAGAATATTATTTTTGCTTTTAAAATGCCTTTCCCTGGTAAGTATTACACCGTGTATATGTGCATCCAATCATCACTGGTACATTTCGAATATGTACAATCTTTACTTTTCAATTGAATATTCTGAAAATACCTTTCACATATATAAAACAATAAAAAAGTAAATATTTGCTTTTCTTAGGATGCACACCTTTATTTTTGGAAGAAAATTTCCCAAAGCAGATCATCTTATTTTAGTTCCAGAAGAGAATTTTAAATATGTGCTGACATTGGTTGGTAAAAATACTAATATTTAACCCAGTTGAATCAAAAGGCAAATGTCTTTTTAATCACTTCCTAATGATCTGTCTTGGCCAACTTAGGTTATTAAGAGAAATTACTAAGTGTCCTTATGTAGCACAAAATTCATTGTTTAATATATTTTAAAGAAATGCATAAAAAGCAGTAGATGTTTTAAAAATGCATGGGTTGTAAAGGGCCCCAAAATGAAACTTCAGATCGCAAAGGCAATGTATTCGAAAGTCTCACCGATGATTCATGAGTCATTTTGGTGCTAACTGGTGGGAATGAAGGGAGATGCCTGTGGGGAGGTCCAGGGTCCTGCAGCTCTGCGGATGGGCGGCCGTCCGGGGAGGCCCAAGGTGTGGCGAGATCGGGGAGTTCTTCTTTCCTGATGTTGTTGTGACCCGAAAGTCTGTGTTTTCTTCACCTGAGAGTATCATGTATTTTCAAATGGGGGGCTATCCGCTCAGCTCCCCCAGCCGTGGGGTGGGGTGTGGGTGGCAAGCCACCCAGGTGCCGAGGCAAGAGACCGAGGACACGAGCTGTTCCAGTATAATAAAATATAAAACAAGAATGGTTATTCCAGATATAGATCTTAGATATGATTATATATGAATATCATTAATCATTAGTTTGTAGCAATTACTCTTTATTCCAATATTACAATAATCCTCACTCTACAATCATAACCCAGGAAAAACCAGGCCATACAGAGATAGGAGCTGAGGGGACATAGTGAGGAGTGACCAGAAGACGAGTGCGAGCCTTCTGTTATGCCCGGACAGGGCCACCAGAGGGCTCCTTGGTCTAGCGGTAACGCCAGCGTCTGGGAAGATGTCCGTTGCCAGGTGGACTGTGGTCTAGCGGTAGCCTCAGTGTCACGGAAAAACAGCGGCTACTTAGCAGACCGGGAAAGGGAGTTTAGAGAAGACTCTGTTCCTCCACCTCTTGTGGAGGGCCTGACATGAGTCAGGCTCGCCTGCAGTTATCTGGAGGCCTAACCGTCTCCCTGTGATGCTGTGCTTCAGTGGTCACGCTCCTAGTCCACCTTCATGTTCCATCCTGTACACCTGGCTCTGCCTTCTAGATAGCAGTAGTAAATTAGTGAAAGTACTAAAAGTCTCTGATATGCAGAAATAATGGCGTAAGCTGTCTTTCTCTTTGCCTCCTCTCTCTCTCTGCCTCGGCTGCCAGGCAGGGAAGGGCCCCCTGTCCAGTGGACGCGTGACCCACATGGCCTTACCTGTGATTGGAGATGGCTTACTCTCCTTATCTTTCCCTTTTGTCTTGTATCCAATAAATATCAGTGCAGCCTGGCATTCGGGGCCACTACCGGTCTCTGCGACTTGGTGGTAGTGGTCCCCCGGGCCCAGCTGCCTTTTCTTTTATCTCTTTGTCTTGTGTCTTTACTTCTACACTCTCTCGTCTCCGCACACGGGGAGAAACCCACCGACCCTGTGGGGCCGGTCCCTACAGTGGGGCACTGCGAGCCCCTTGCTGCCTCTGTGTGGCCGCCCACCCTTCCAGTGTTGCCCTGACGCCCCTCCCGGGCTGTGCTGACCACCCAGGCCTCCCAACTTGTTTCCCAGGGTGCTCGCTACCACCTGGTTTACGGTTTCTTTGTTTAGTTCTCTCTGCCCGCTGATGCCAGTTTTTGAACTTTATCATTACTACTTCTGTTTATGTGTAAATGTTCCAGGACTTTTATCCACCGCCCTGTCCCTAGGACCTTTTGCATACCGCTGTTGGAAGACAGAGGCTTCACATCTCCTGCAGAGGGGTCTCCCGCTTGCTTCACCAGTGTTCTGAGGGCACCTGCATGTTTAGAGCCGCAGCCTCTGTGGAAGGCACACTCCTTCCTAGGAACAAATGTGGTTCTCCTTCCTAAGGAAAAGTGGATTATCAGATTTCCAAACTAGTTTTGCAGCCTTATAGAGAAATGTTGCGATAAAAATTCTAGTTTTAAAATTCTGTTCCATAATTGTCATAGAATCACAGACTTTTCCAGGCCGTGGTCCCCACCAGCACGTTCCATAGCAGACATCGCCGAGGGGCTGGAGCAGTGGATGATCTGCCTGGGTCACCTGGGTGGCGTCAGCGCGGCCCTGCGGCCCTCCCCTTACGGGTTTACATTGGGAATCAAGCTTCATGGAGGTGTTGCTCTTGAGCCCTGGATTTGAGACAGTACACGTGGGGAAAGCTAAGCATCTCTAATTGCAAGCACCGTCTTGCATTTAGAATGGTCGCTTGTAGCCTTAACTTAGAAAAGGAGTCTCGCCCTTGACCTGGTGTCCTTGTGTTGCAGGCGTGGTGTCCCTCGTGGCCGTTCACCCCTCCACCGTCAACCCGCTCGGGAAGCAGCTCTTGCCAAAAACCTTTGGACAGTCCAATGTCAACATTGCCCAGCAAGTGGTAAGCCTCCCGCAGGAGCGGACAGCCGGGATCTCGGTGTGAGGTCGGGATCGGATGAGCCGTGTGGTTGGGGATGTTCCCAGGTGTGCCTGGATTTGGGCTCCAGTTGCAGCATGGGGCCTTTCCCTCATCAGGGAGCCCGTGGCCAGTGCTAGATTTTCCATAGCCCTCTGCAGCTGCCCACGTGTTGTTGTGGGAGAGGTGATGGCGCCCACAGCACTCCTGTGTGCCCCAGCCCATGCCATCCTTCCAGTAACTGGAGGGTGGTGGGTGGGGCCGCGGCCCCAACCAGAGGCAGCTTCCTTTTAGTGTCAGAGCTCGAAGCTCTTCATCTAACAGGGGCTTCTTACGTGATGTGGCCGAGCGTTGGCTGTGGCCCTCCTGGAGACATCAGGCTGGGAAGCCAGAGAGGGATAGGGCCCTGGCCGTGGCTGTGCGTTTGCCCCGGGGCAGTGACAGGGCAGATGCTGCTCCCTTGGCCACGCACAGGAGAGGGGAAGGTGGGCATTGGGAAGTGGCGCATCCCCCCTCCCCAGGCTGATGCTGGCCAACTGATGCTGCTTCTCATAATGCTGTTTCCTGTCTCGTGTCCGCCCTCTGCGTCCTTGCCGGTGGCAGCCTACTGGAGACAGGGAGCCCACACAGAATCCTGACCTCACCAGAAATGGGGCCCCAGGCACTTGGTGGGCAGGTTTGGCTGTGACTGGAGCTGGTGGTGAGGGACATAGCCATCCCAAGGCTAGGCCGGGCTTCCAGTCCTTCCTCAGGGACTTGTTTATGGTGCCTGAGGGCTCCTTCCTGGTCCTGAGATGATGCTGTGGCCCCGCCTGGGCAGCTGCCCCAGCCCTGTTCCTGCCAACCCTGGGCTTTGGTGATGCAGCACCTCTTGCACCCCGGCCTCCTGGCCCACTCCACCCCCTCACCCTGCTCCGTCTGTGCTGTGGCCCAGTCCTCTTAAAAGGATTGAACACCTCCGGGTGGGATGAGAACCTGTCCGTTCACTGTCACCAGGTGTCTCTCAGGCATACCCAGGTGTCCTCACGTGTCTCTCGGGTGTCCTCAGGTGTCTCCCAGGCATCCTCACGTGTCCCCAGGTGTCCCCAAGTATCTCTCAGGCATCCCCAGGTGTCCTCACGTGTCTCTCAGGTGTCCTCAGGTATCTCTCACATGTCCCCACGTGTCTCTCAGGGTGTCTCTCAGGTGTCCTCAGGTGTCTCTCAGGGTGTCTCTCACGTGTCCTCAGGTGTCTCTCAGGGTATCTCTCACGTGTCCTCAGGTGTCTCTCAGGGTATCTCTCACATGTCCTCAGGTGTGTCTCAGGGTATCTCTCACATGTCTTCAGGTGTCTCTCAGGGTGTCTCTCACATGTCCTCAGGTGTCTCTCAGGGTATCTCTCACATGTCCTCAGGTGTCTCTCAGGGTATCTCTCACATGTCCTCACGTGTCTCTCAGGTGTCTCTCAGGATATCTCTCACATGTCCTCAGGTGTCTCTCAGGGTATCTCTCACATGTCCTCAGGTGTTTCTCAGGTGTCTCTCACGTGTCCTCAGGTGTTTCTCAGGTGTCTCTCACGTGTCCTCAGGTGTTTCTCAGGTGTCTCTCACGTGTCCTCCGGTGTCTCTCACTTGTCCTCAGGTGTTTCTCAGGTGTCTCTCACATGTCCCCAGGTGTCTCTCAGGGTATCTCTCACATGTCCTCAGGTGTCTCTCACGTGTCCTCAGGTGTCTCTCACGTGTCCTCAGGTGTTTCTCAGGTGTCTCTCACGTGTCCTCAGGTGTCTCTCACGTGTCCTCAGGTGTCTCTCACGTGTCCTCAGGTGTCTCTCACGTGTCCTCAGGTGTCTCTCAGGTGTCTCTCACGTGTCCTCAGGTGTCTCTCAGGTGTCTCTCACGTGTCCTCAGGTGTCTCTCACTTGTCCTCAGCTGTTTCTCAGGTGTCTCTCACATGTCCCCAGGTGTCTCTCAGGGTATCTCTCACATGTCCTCAGGTGTCTCTCACGTGTCCTCAGGTGTCTCTCACGTGTCCTCACGTGTTTCTCAGGCGTCTCTCACGTGTCCTCAGGCGTCTCTCACGTGTCCTCAGGCGTCTCTCACGTGTCCTCAGGCGTCTCACGTGTCCTCAGGTGTCTCTCACGTGTCCTCAGGTGTCTCTCACATGTCCTCAGGTGTCTCTCACGTGTCCTCAGGTGTTTCTCAGGTGTCTCTCACGTGTTCTCAGGTGTCTCTCACGTGTCCTCAGGTGTTTCTCAGGTGTCTCTCACGTGTCCTCAGGTGTCTCTCACGTGTCCTCAGGTGTTTCTCAGGTGTCTCTCACGTGTCTTCAGGCGTCTCTCACGTGTCCTCAGGCGTCTCTCACGTGTCCTCAGGCGTCTCTCACGTGTCCTCAGGCGTCTCTCACGTGTCCTCAGGTGTCTCTCAGGCGTCTCTCACATGTCTTCAGGCGTCTCTCACGTGTCCTCAGGCGTCTCTCACGTGTCCTCAGGCGTCTCTCACGTGTCCTCAGGCGTCTCTCACGTGTCCTCAGGTGTCTCACGCGTCCTCAGGTGTCTCACGCGTCCTCAGGTGTCTCTCACGCGTCCTCAGGTGTCTCTCACGCGTCCTCAGGTGTCTCTCACATGTCCTCAGGTGTCTCTCACGTGTCCTCAGGTGTTTCTCAGGCGTCTCTCACGTGTCCTCAGGCGTCTCTCACGTGTCCTCAGGTGTCTCTCACGTGTCCTCAGGTGTCTCTCACGTGTCCTCAGGTGTCTCTCACGCGTCCTCAGGTGTCTCTCACATGTCCTCAGGTGTCTCTCACGTGTCCTCAGGTGTTTCTCAGGTGTCTCTCACGTGTCCTCAGGTGTCTCTCACGTGTCCTCAGGTGTCTCTCAGGTGTCCCCAGGTGTCTCTCATGGATCCCCAGGCATCCTCAGGTGTCCCTGGCCCTGTGGAGAGCTCTCTGTACTGAGCTGTTTTTTGTTGTCTAGGGCATCTCCCTTTGGTCTAATCATGTTTTCTTCAGAGAACATGACCACATACCAGGGATATTTTGGTCATTTTTGCACTTTAGTCTTTATTTTATATGCATTCCTGCTATTTCCGTTTATTTAAATATGCTTGAAATTCTCTGGATTCTTTAACAGATGTTAGGATATGAGTTTTAAGAGAGAGTGGCTTGTGGGTCACAGCCTTGAGGATCTGAGCAGGATTGCCTTCCCCGCGCTCCCTTCCCCGCGTCCCACTTCCCTGCGCCCCGCTTCCCCGCAGCCCCCCTCCCCGTGTGTGCTCCCACACAGCTGTCCTGATTGAGCGGTTCCAGATCCCAGGCAGCTTTTGTGGCCCCGTTTCCTGCCTGTGGAAGGTGACAAAAAACTTGCTCTGCAGAAGTTTTGTGGCCATTGAAAGTAGCGGTTTGTGGAAGCCCTACCACGTCATACGGCTTTTCAACCACGTTGCACAGCAGATCACGGCTTTTCAGTAAATGCCATTTTGATAAAAGCTAAAAATTCAGTTTTTGTTTTGCTTGATAATTAGATTATAGGTTTGCTTATAAGTTGACTAGGAATTCTAAGTTTGATTTTATAGGTGCTGTGTGTCATAGCAGAGTTTGTCTGGGTGAATAATTGTAGCACCACTTTCGTCTTTACTGCCGGTGTGAATACACTGGGGGGAAACGAATGAGAAGATTATCTTATTGATGTGCTTTAAACTTCGTCACTGAAAGTCAAGTTCCTGATTTAAATTCAGCTGTTCGGGTGGAGTTTGTCATTGCTGTTTTGTGCTTTGCAAAATCCCAGTGATGGGAATTAAAGCTGACAAAGGGCAAATGTTTCTTAAACCTTTTTATATACCAGAGGTTTACAAAAAACTGGACTGGCTCATTCTGACACGAGGGGTGGGGCTCAGTCCGGGCATGTGAGTGAAAGCGGTGGGGAGGTCCTTAGGTCTCTGACCTGCACCAGTCAGCAGGCGCAGGGCTTGTCAAGGTCAGGGTCTTTTGAGGTGCGGATGCTTGTGAAGCCTGTGGTGCTGCAGAGCTCAGCACGCGCACAGGAACGTGTGCGGGACAGAGGACATATGTGCTCAGCCGGCAGGAGCAGCGGCCTGTGTGAGCCCCTGGGGAGAAGCAGCCCCCCACCCAGGCCTGTGTCCCAGAAGTCGGCATCTGTGGTCGCAGTGGCCTTTCCTTTGCAGCTGCGCCACTGGCCCTGTCTCTCTGGACACCGCGGTTAACCTTGGTCCATCTCTAGGATTCTGTGTCTGAGTGGGGTCACACTACACGGAGACATCGTAATCTCAGTTTTTAGAGTGTGTGAAATTAAGGTGCAAAAAGTGTGCACTTAGGGCAGAAGGGATGCCTTAAATCAGGAGTCCCCAACCCCTGGGCCTGTTAGGAAGCTGGCCGCACAGCCGCCTGAGCCCTGCCTCCTGTCAGATCCCAGCATTAGGTTCTCAGGAGCGCAAACCCCACTGTGAACGGCACATGCAGGATCTAGGTGGCACTCCGTATGAGAATCGAATGCCTGATGATCTGAGGTGGGACAGTTTCTTCCCGAAACTACCCCCGACTCCGGTCTGTGGAAAAACTGTCTTCCACAAAACTGGTCCCTGATACCAAAAAGGTGGGGGATCGCTGCTTTAAACACCAAGGCTCACTGTGCAGCCAGTGAGGAGGGGAGCTCCTGGGGGAGGAGGGTTGGTCTCGGGCAAGGTGGACCTCCGGCAGGTCCTCTACTGTGGGATGCTTCCACCTGGAGCTGTTTTCTAACGACTGCTGGCGTGGAAGCTGCAAAAGCTTTAGAGTCGAAAGACTGTGTCTGAAGCCGTGTAAAGACTGTCTGGAGCCGTGTAAAGACTGTGTCTGAAGCTGTGTAAAGACTATGTCTGGAGCCGTGTAAAGACTGTGTCTGAAGCCGTGTAAAGACTGTGTCTGAAGCCGTGTAAAGACTGTCTGGAGCCGTGTAAAGACTGTCTGGAGCCGTGTAGAGACTGTGTCTGAAGCCGTGTAAAGACTGTGTCTGGAGCCGTGTAAAGACTGTGTCTGGAGCCATGTAGACTGTGTCTGAAGCCATGTCATTTACTTTCTCTGAAGCGCAGCTTGGATTCCAGCCGTGAGCACAGTAGGAAGGGAGACCCCTTATGACCTGTGGGGCCTGGGTCACCTCCCCTGCTCCCCAGCGAGAGGCGGGTGAGGGAGTCGTGAGGGCGGAGCCCATCCTCCAGAGAAGCCGCTGTTAAATCTAAGGGGTGGGTGTCCCTGGCGCCTTTCAGCCCCTGCCTGCCTCCTGCTCCCAGAGGCTCCTGGATCTCCTGGAAAGCCCTGGTTGGAGTGGGACCCACAGCCTCCCAGCTTTGGGCAGTACCCCTCATTGTGCTGTGACCACTTCTCCCTTCCAGGGTCTCTGCCCACCACTCCAGCTAGCGTGGCCACTGCTTCCAATACCTCCTTTTTTTCCCTAGGGGCCCAGCTCTGAACTATCCTTCCCGGCACTGTCCCATCCACCCTTTGGCACCTCCTTGGTTCCTGTTTTCCCTGCGCTTCTGCCCACACACGCCCTCCAGGGCTTCAGTGTGTTGCCGTGCCTCCTCTGGCTGTTGAGTGTGGCTCCTGGTGTAGGGAAGTGAGGCCGGGGGCCTGCTCCATGTCTGTTGAATGGGAGACTGGAAGGCGTCCTGTGGCACAGGCGGCCGGCCCGAGTTCACCGGCTTCCTGTGCACCAGGAAGGAAACGCACACACCTGTGCCAGGTCCGGGAGCAAAGCCTCTGTCTCGTTCCTGGGAGGGCTGGCTCCAGGCCGCCCCTGTGATGCTGACTCAGCTCACAGGGCTGGTGAGCAGCAGGTGATGGGTGAGGAGCAGGGACAGTGCTGCGGAGACACAGTGAGGGGAGCTGCCACGCAGGGCACGCAGAGGAAGGTGCAGGCACCCTTGCCCAGCACTGCATGGGCCGGATGCCGCGGGGCCTTCCGCAGGGAGCAGTTAAAGCAGGAGAGTAAGGAGAGCTTCCTGTAAGACCTGGCCTCCGTAAACAACGCATTCCCAGTGCACTGGTGGCTCGTTCTCAGGGTGCCCCTGGGTGCTGAGTCCTGTCTTCCAGGAAAGGTTGTTGGTGAGCACCATTGAGCACCTGGTGTGTACCTGCCTCTGGCTTTCTCTTCTTCCCAACTTACAGTGGGTTTGACCTGTGATTTTGACTTTAAGATGGTCCAAAAGCAACATGCATTCAGTGGAAACTGCTTCCACTGCCCATACGACCGTCCTATTTTTCATTTTGAGTGTGGTATTCAGTGGGTCTCCTGGGATACCCACACTTGACTAGAGTGGGCTTTGTGTGAGATGCTTCTGCCCGACTGGGCTAACATGCGTGATCTGAGCACGTGTAAGGTAGGCTGGCTAAGCTGTGATGTGTGGTAGGAGAGGTGGATGACGTGCATTTCGACTTAGGGTATTTTCAGCTCATGCGGGTTTATCGGGATGTTCCTTGTAAGTTCCTCGTTGTAAGTCAGTTCCTCGTTGTAAGTCCACTCTTTGTGAGTAGGTTTGCTCCTGCCTGGAGGACAGCGGCACGGTGACGGCATCTGTTTTGGGGCCAAGATCCAGTGCCTTGCGTGGTCCTGGGATTCCTGGGGAAGGGAGTGGACCCATGAGGTGGGTTAGAATCGTGTGTGGGATTCTCCAGCCCCCTGTACCTGTGCGTGTGGTATGCGCGGAGCCAGCCAGCACTGCCTGGCGTGGAGCTGGCGGGTTCTCAGTCTGACATCAACTCCCGGAGAATGGCATCTGCTGAACTCAACGTAGGAAGCCGTGCGGGGCCAGCGCGCTCTCAGGCAGCCTGAGTGGCAGGGTCCTTTTGTCAGCTGTTTGGATCTCCCACGTGGCCCAGTGCCCCAGCAGCACACACACACACACACACACACACACGCGTATTGAACAAAACAAGTTTCACAGGACATTTATCCACGCCCAGGAGATTTATCTTTTGTATGGCTTCATTTTGCAGAAAATTCACTTGTTTGATTTCATGGCCTGGTGATCCACAGAAGGCCGCACTCTGATGAGTCTCTGATCATCGGAGAGATGAGTGTCAATGAAAAGATCAGTCCTTGAAATGTTTTTCTTCTCCGGAGCTGACAGGTGATCTGGCCTAGGGATAATTGGAAAGTGTCCCCGTCAGCTGCTCCCAGGGCCACCGCAGGTGATGCATTTATCCCCGTAAGAAGGGGAGCTGGGGGGGCCCAGCTTAGAGTAGCTCAGGGCATCGGCCACATGAAGCCCCCCCGCCAGCATACAGGTGTCCAGCTCCAATCCCTTTAACGGAAACTGCATGTCCATACAAGCAGTATAATCGCTGAGGCACTTTGATTTGTGGTGAATTGAATGATTTAACATTTACTGAGAAATAGTGTTTCCAGTTTAGATAGAGTCGTGCCACAAGATCTTTGAAAAGTCAGAGTTGTATTTGCCTGTATGAGGGTGTCCAGGTATTCACACTCGAACATTCATTGTTGGAACTAAAGTGGTAAGACCTTGTCAAGAGTCAGACCAGCCAGCATGTCCCTGAAGGGAGAGACAGTTGTTGACACCCTCAGGTGTGCTGTGGGGTGGGGCGGGTGGGTCAGTGTCCACACTGGCGTTGCCTCTGGTGGTTCCCCCCAGAGGGGCCCAGGTGTGTGAGCCCCAGGGGCGTGTGGAGCCCCTACCTTCCGCCCCCAGTGCTGGTGGCCCTCCCTCCTTGCCTGACGCCGTTGTGGGTGCAGGGGTTCCCCCAGACAGGGCCCCAGGGCACAGGGTTACCAGGTGATGGCTGTCACCCTGCTGGGCTGGAGGAGCAGCTGCTGTCACCCTGCCTGTGCTTTTGTCTTTTGAGAGCTGTTTTTGGTTTGTTTCAGGCCTCTTTTTAGTACCACAGAAGGATACAATTTCATCCTCATCCATATCACTAAAAGGAAGTAAAAGGGTGAAGGGAAAAATGGAAGCGTGCTCAAGTGCCCTGTGTGGAATTCTGTGCCGCCCCCTTCATTAAACTTGACCGTTAGCGCCTTGTGTGCGGTTTGGGGGTCACGCTCTGCCCTGTCCTGTTCTTGCTTGCTTGGGTCGTCCGAAGTTTCTTGTTGCTTTTGTCTAATTGGAGAAGATGCCTGTGACTGACAAGAGGAAGATGAGCCACATTCAGAACCGGTGGGGTGATGCCGTCACCGTGACAAAAGCGTCCACCGCTGGACGTTTTTCCTGCTCCGTCATGGCTGCTCACTGTGGTTAAGGAAATTCAGCAGTGGCTGCGGATAGCGAACAGATGGTGGGCATGGCACCCTCGCCGTGTGGGAGGGGACTGACTGTCTGAATTGTCTTTTTCGACTGTAGGTAATTGGTACGCCTCAGAGACCGGCAGCGTCAAACACCCTGGTGGTAGGAAGCCCACACACCCCCAGCACTCACTTTGCCTCTCAGAACCAGCCTTCCGACTCCTCACCTTGGTCTGCCGGGTGAGCACTTCCCTCTGGACCCTTAGAGTTGTAGGACTGCTTGCGGTTCGCACCTCCACGTTCTCCTGGGCCACGTGTGTCACACAGTCGTGCGATGGGGCTCCCACGCGCGTTGACGCCAGCCTCCGAATCACACTCACCCATCATCGTGGCCTGCACAGGTGTGCAGCCGAGGCGCACTGCCTCGGTCATGGAGAAGTCGGGCTGGGCACCGCCCACCCCGCTTTGTGTCTGGTGTAGTGGGTGCTCTCTGAAGGGCTGGCAGCTCTTGGCCAAGACGGGGAGAAGCTGGCCTCGTACTCGCCACAGGACCTCGGAGACTTTCCCTCGTCTGTGCTGGGAGCATGTGGGATGGATTTCACCCACTGCCCCTGAATTCAGCCTCTACTGCCCCTGGGGTTACGGCCCCCGCGGGTGGTCCCGCCAGAGCTGCTCCTTCCACTAAAGCAAGATCTGATGAGCTGTGTCTTTCCTTAAAAACACACACACGCAAAGCTGCAAAAGCCTGCCTGTGTTGGTGCCCAAAGCTTCACCAGCTAGGAACCTCAGGTGGCCTTTCCCGCCATGTGGGGACTGACCAGAGTGTACAGAGTTGGGCTTTCCCTCGACCTGAAGCACACTTAGTGCTTTGCACCTGTTGTCAAGCGGCTGTCACAGCCCAAGCTGTATGAAATTACAGCCTGCTGAAATTAGTCCTAAGAATTCCCAAATTTACACTGAAACGTCCCATAGTTCCTGATTCTGGCTGCCCTCTTTAGAAAAGTGGTGCTTGGGGCTCACGCCTGTAATCCTAGAGGCCGAGGCCAGCAGATCACGAGTTCAAGAGATTGAGACCATCCTGGCCAACGTGGTGCAACCCCGTCTCTATTAAAAATACAAAAAAATTAGCCAGATGTGGTGGCACGTGCCTGTAATCCCAGCTACTCGGGAGGCTGAGGCAGGAGAATCGCTTGAACCCAGGAGGTGGAGGTTGCAGTGAGCCGAGATGGCGCCACCGCACTCCAGCCCACGACAGAGCGAGACTCCGTCTCAAAAAAGAAAAAACAACAACAAAAAGAAAAGTGGTGCTTGGTGTACCGGCACATCTCCCATATGCTGATTTGGGTCCTGGGGACGCCTCCCGTTTTCCCTGACGCTTGGAAGGTTAGAGGTGCAGCCTGCTGGGGAGACACTCGCTTTCTGACCTGCAGGACCACTGGGCCTGGGGGCTGGGGCTAGGGGGTCCTGGCCTGCTCACGTGTTGGATCTGCTGCGCCCGTGGGACGTGGCCCCTTTTTGTGCAGCTCATTAGAGCTCTCAGGTAAAAGCATTCCTCGATTCAGGCTGATCCTCAGGAGGGCTGACAGTCGCTTCTCTTTTCCTTTGTATTTTGAAGGAAGCGCAACAGGAAAGGAGAGAAGAATGGCAAGGGCCTACGGCATTTCTCCATGAAGGTCTGCGAGAAGGTGCAGAGGAAAGGGACCACTTCCTACAACGAAGTGGCAGACGAGCTGGTTGCGGAGTTCAGTGCTGCCGACAACCACATCTTACCAAACGAGTCAGTAAGTGTGTGCCGGGGGCCGAGAGGCTGGGGTGGCGGAGCCCAGCGGTGTGGTACGTTTCGCTCTTTTAATATCGGGAACAGTTAAAACCATACAGAAAATGCCAAGTACAGCATAAAAGAATTTTTACCAAACGAGTCAGTAAGTGTGTGCCGGGGCCGAGAGGCTGGGGTGGCGGAGCCCAGCGGTGTGGTACGTTTCGCTCTTTTAATATCGGGAACAGTTAAAACCATACAGAAAATGCCAAGTACAGCATAAAAGAATTTTTCCGATCCATTTGCTGGCACGATGCTTTGTCAACTCCAGTGAGTGAGCACGTGGGCTGGCTCTGCACGTCTAGCGGCCCAGAAATGCACAAATGCCCACCTCACCAGCTGGGCTCGACACCCGAGAGCCCCCGGCTCTCCTTCTGGAACACACTCAGGCTTCGCACAGCCCCGTCTTGCCCTGCGTCATCTGTGGGGTGGGAGCGCTCCCTGAGGGCATGTTGGGGTGGCGGCTCCGTGAGCGGGGTGCCCCTTTGAGCCAGTGCCCATGGTCTACAGTTTAAGGATCCACCGGCCTTTTTGGATCATTTGGAAACTCCACTCCCTGTCATCCCCAGGCTTATGACCAGAAAAACATAAGACGGCGCGTCTACGATGCCTTAAACGTGCTAATGGCCATGAACATCATCTCCAAGGAGAAGAAGGAGATCAAGTGGATTGGTCTGCCCACCAACTCGGCTCAGGAATGTCAGAACTTAGAGGTGCCCCTTCAGCCTTCCTTCAACCTTGATTTCCCTTCAAGTCCGTGTAGATGTTTTAGTCGTCGGTCACTCAGAAGGGTCTGGGCTCCGTGCCCTTATGCTCTCTGTGTCCGGCTGGCAGACGGTCATGCAGACGTCTCCCTGCGTTTCTCAGTCTTGGCTGTCAGGGGAGGGAGCATGGTTGGCCCAGACCCACTAGAGTCTGTTAAACTCTAGTGTAGGTTAATTCTGAATCCTAGTTTGTGGGATTTTTGTTTTCTTTTTAGATACCATAGTTAAATCCAAGAAATGAGAGGAAAGGGGAGAAGGTATAGTTTAGAAATGGAAAAAAAACTCACCTATATCTTGTAGCACCTGCTATGTCTAGATTTGTCCATATCCCTTCGATTACATTCTGGGTAAACATAGGTAACACTGTGAGGATGTGAGGATGTGGGTTTTAAAAAACGCTCTGTGGAACAGTTGTGATGATTCTTCACATGGGTGGTTTGTTTTTGAAGGTGGAAAGACAGAGGAGACTTGAAAGAATAAAACAGAAACAGTCTCAACTTCAAGAACTTATTCTACAGGTAAGAGAATACGTATCTGTGGAGGCAGGGTAATTTTTATTTTACTAATTTAGCTTTATAACGGCAACATACTGCCTTGGGTTACACTCCTGCATGGCAAATCAAATGACTGCTCTAAGATTCTGAGTGTGAGTTCATCTCATAGGTGTTGAACGTGGGCCTTATTCCCAGAGCGAGGTTGTGCACGTGCGTGTGCATGCATGTGTGTGTGCGTGCATGCATGCATGTGTGTGTGTGTGCATGTGCCTGTGTGCGTGCGTGCGTGTGCCTGTGTGCGTGTGCATGTGTGTGCGTGCATGTGCCTGTGTGCGTGTGTGTGTGTGCATGTGTGCATACATGTGTATGTGTGTATCTCTCGTCACAGCATCTAAATAGGCAAAAGACAGATGGAGGGATGACTTCATGCAAAAGCAACATTTGAAAAATCTCCTCAGAGGTGCTTAACCCAAGGCCCAGGTGCCAGGCAAGGCCTGTAAAACTGTGGTGGACACAGTGCACCTGGGTCTTGACAGTGCTGATCAGGGCCCTGGAGCTGGCCTTCCCCACCTCCCATTGAGTGCTGAGGGTGGGCGGCACCACTGGGGGCCCCGTGTCTGGTGTGGAGGGGGTTGTGTGCAAGGTGCTCACTGCAGAGCTGGCTGCTGCCCTGACCAAGGTGTGCTCGAGCCCTCCCAGAGGGGACGGTGTGGCAGCCGTGGTGATGGAGGCTCGTGGGCAGGAGCTCCTCAGGACCCACAGAGTGTCAGGAGGGACAGTCCTGGTTGCCAGTGCCTTAGGACCTGCCAGGTGGGGATAGACCCAGGGTGGCCGGGAGAGGAAGGGAATCTCCTGGCTCTACATTAATAGCAAAGAAGGTCTCTCCAAGTGGAACACTTGGTTTGGGGCCCTGAGGCCCTGGCCCTGGATTCAGCCTTGCAGGGCCTATTCCCCCAGAGGAGCACCCCTGCAGCACATGGGCCCTTCTGCGTTCCACTTTCCAGGGTGGGCAAAGTCCACGGCACGGCACCCCCTCCAAGGCCATCACCCTGTAGGTGCCATGGTGGTAGGTGGTCTTAGAGGGGTGAAGGACAGCAAGGAATCGACTTCCAAAATTGGTGTTTTGTTGAGCGCCGTTGCCGTGGAGGACACTTTTATCAGGGCACGGATGGCTGTGCGCCCGCTTTCCCTTAGTTCTCCCCTCAGGATCCCGTTTCCTGAGCGCTTTTCTCCCTGGGCTGCAGAGGTCAGCACCCAGCGGCCGGCGCTGGCATTTCAGATGTCCAGGCCAACTCCTCGCTGTCACGTGGACGCAGGGAGGGCTGTGAGGACCCCTCGAGCACAGGGGCTGCGTTCTTGTGCCGCCACGGGCCACCTGGCTCCTCTTATTTTTTTTAGCAAATTGCCTTCAAGAACCTGGTGCAGAGAAACCGGCATGCGGAGCAGCAGGCCAGCCGGCCACCGCCACCCAACTCAGTCATCCACCTGCCCTTCATCATCGTCAACACCAGCAAGAAGACGGTCATCGACTGCAGCATCTCCAATGACAAGTAGGTTGTGGGCGGGGAGCTGTTCCCTGGTCACCCATCTCTTTTTTAGGGAGCCGACCCTGTTGGTATTGTCACTAGGACAAGTTTTAAATGTTGTACAAATAGCAAATGTTGCACAAATTGCTGTCCATTGGGGGGTGGTGGGAGGCTGCCGCCATGTGGCAGATGGAAGGTCTCTGTTCCGGGAGCGTGTGCCTTAGGGCATGTCCTCCTGGGGAGAATAGGCCTCGATTTGCCTCTCATCTCATTTACTTCAGAGTTTATAAATTCTGTGAGGAGACACTGATGACTGGGAACCGGGAAGCTGTGTGTGGCGGTCAGCGGGTCAGCCGTCCTGGCTCCACCCCAGTGTGTACCGTCTCCGCTGGGAGACCCTGTCTTTCTGACTGTGCCTTTCCCCTTCAGATTTGAGTATCTGTTTAATTTTGACAACACATTTGAAATCCACGATGACATAGAAGTGCTGAAGCGGATGGGCATGGCTTGCGGGCTGGAGTCGGGGAGCTGCTCTGCCGAAGACCTTAAAATGGCCAGAAGTCTGGTCCCCAAGGCTCTGGAGCCATACGTGACAGGTCAGCAATGCCCAGACAACCTGGCGTGGCTGTGTGAGGAATGGCCCCCAGCCTCCGACGGTGCCCTCCCCTCCCGGCTCGGGATGTGTCTTGCTGAGATCAGGCCCACGTGTGTAGGGCCAGGAGCAAAGACAAAGGGGCTGTGAGGGGGATGAGGGCAGGGGTGTGGCTGGGGTGGGGTCCAGCCAGTGCCGTGACCCACTGGATATGGGGGCCTTGAGTCCACAGGTGGCTCGTGTGGATTTCCTATGTGGTTTGTGTGAGGAGGTGCTAAGTCAGGATTTTACCCTCCAAGTAGGCCCAGAAGTAGAAGTTGAGATTCTTTGAGAAGTGCAGTTGGATTGCTGATCCCACCCACTGATGGTAGCTGATTGGTCACTAGGGCAAAGTCACCAAGAAAAAGCATTTCAGAGTCATTGGCGTCCTGCTCCGGAGGGCCGGGAGCACAGGAGCTTTTGTTGAAGGAGCTTTTTTTCTGTTCTGGTGAATTCTTTCCTTGGGGGCCGTAGGGTCCCAGCCACTGACAGCAGGATGGCTTTAAGGTGAGAAATTGTGAAGGTGTCATATCTGCTGATCCTTCTCTTGTTAGCCTAAACTTGGGGTGTAGATTTATTCCCTGAGAGGGTCAGAGATTCCTCCCTGAGCTCTTAGACTGCCCCAGATCTTGTGAAAATCTGGCTGGTCCATGTTGTCAGGTGACAGTGGGCTCTGGCCGCCCACGTGGGCTGGGCCCTGACCCCGGCCTCTGTCCCGTGCTTCATGGAGCTGCCAGGATGGGCTGTGGGAAGAGGGTTTCAGCTTGACACTTTGATTCGGTTCCGTTTCACGATGGGTATGATACTGAGGCAGCAGCACACGTGTGCCGTTTGTAAGTCAGTGTGTGCAGGTATTTATTGCAAGGCTGTTCTTGCCTTTTTAGAGAAGACAGGCTTATGTGACTGCACAGCGGGATGTCCTGCTCCGTGGCGCAGTGTGGAAAATACTGGACAAGCGAAGGATATCCGGAAGCTTCTACAGCCGTCTGTCCTGTGGAACTGCGCGTCATTTTGTTGGTTGCCTGTGCGTCTTGTGTTGTTTCTGTTTCATGACCATTCGCTTATTTTCTTTCCCTTTTCAGAAATGGCTCAGGGAACTGTTGGAGGCGTGTTCATCACGACGGCAGGTTCCACGTCTAACGGCACAAGGTTCTCTGCCAGGTGACAGTCGTTGAGGGTGTGGGAGAGGCGTCATCTGGGCCTCCCCCGGGGTCCAGGGGCCAAGGCAGGGCAGCCGTCTCAGGTGTGGCCATCAGGTCTGTGGCTGCTCTGACGTGGCTTGTCTGTCCAGGCAGTGGGGCCCCGCTGGCTTTCCCTGTGTGGAGAGCTGCTTTTCTTAGTTGGTTTCTGCTCACTAAAAACTGAAAGTAATACATGGTGGTTTTTTTTTCATAGTATCACCTAATAAGTAAAGTAGGAATGAAAACCACCCAAATCCTCCTGTCCCCGGCAGCCCAAGTAACAGCAAGTATTTCCAGGTTTTTTTTCCCATTTTTCAGAACGCGTCTGCGGTCACAGCGCACGTATTTTTCAGAACGCGTCTGCGGTCTGGGCGCAAGTAGTTTTCAGAACGTGTCTGCGATCACAGCACACATTTTTCAGAACGCATCTGCGGTCATGGTGCATGTGTTTTTCAGAATGCATCTATGGTCATAGCGCATGTATTTTTCAGAACGTCTGCCATCACGGCGCACGTGTTTTTCAGAACGCGTCTGCGGTCTCGGCGCACGTGCTGCGATCACAGTGCATGTATTTTTGCGAACGCGTCTGTGATTATGGTACACGTATTTTTCAGAACGCGTCTGCAATCACAGCGCACGTATTTTTCAGAACGCGTCTGTGGTCACAGCACACATATTTTGTTCCGTGCATTTTTCAGCTTACATTTTATTGTATGAATATATATTGTTTCTATGCTATTAAAGGGCCTTTATTTAAATAAATTTGTATTTAATCTTTGACCTGCAATCCCACAGAGTAGAATGGTGTCCCTAGGTATTGATCTTAGTGCTTCAAAGATAAATATAACTTTTATGGTAAATATTAACAAAACAATGATTTTATTAACTTTTATATTGCATTGTGATACAATATATAGTATTACTTTATATTAATCTTAAGTGTTAATAAAATCTTTAATTAGAAATACAAGAACTCAGTAACCTATGGGTCCGGGTAACAGGGCTCGACATAGTGAGTTTCAGTGTGCTTGAGCCTGCGTTGGGATGTGCTGTGGCCATGAGATGTAACAGGTGTGTCGGGCACGTGTAGCTTCCTGGCCAGCTCTGGAAGTGCAAAGCCAGCCTTGGCCTCCTCACCTGTAAGGTGAGACTGGTGATTGATGAGTTACTGATCTGTGGCAAGGATCAGTGAGGTGGTGATGGAAGAAAGGACTTTGGTGACAAGCTTTTGACAGAGGCCGGTTCTCCTTCTGTTGTAGCTATGTGTGAACGTGTGGCGGTCAGTCTGTAAACATGTTTAATGCTGCTTCTTCCATGAGGTGGGATGTGGGTATTTTTAGGACTTTTATCATCACATAATCCTTTTTATGGATGTGATTCTTCAGACTTGTCAGTTTTTCATAACAATGGAAACAAAGCTATTACCATTTCTTACGAAATACCGATTTTCATAGTGGCATGATGAGACATTTTATACAAGTACCTCATGAAAGGACATCTAGGTAGTTCCCAGTTAGAATAAAAACTGCAGTGAGCAGCTTTACAGCTGAATTTCTCGCCATTTCTGACTTGTTTCCAAGATACAGAATTACTTCATCAAAAGGCACATTAACACATTTTTATTGTAGTGTTAATAAATACCATTAAAATGTATTAAAATATGTACATATGGTTTTATGTTAATTGAAAACATCTTTAAACATTAGGAACGTAGTGAGCTCTGGTTGGTGGTAGGTTTTTGTGGTGCTGCCAGCCCTCTGGGTTCTCAGTCCCCGCTGCCAGATTCGACCCACGCTCTGGACTCCATCCTGTCCTGCCCCGGGCTCTCTTTTTTCCTGTTGCTGGTTATGAGTGAAAGTCCCGGAGGGAGGGATCTAATGGTTTTACAGTTTGTTCCCTCTGGGGCACTGCTCCTGATGGAATGATGAGTGAGGGAGAGGCAGCGTGTGGCTCTGCTCAGCCTCCTGTTTCTGTCGTTATGGGTTCCAGGAGACAGGGCCAGAAGAGAACCAGACAGAGATGGAGTAAGTGCCAGAGCGTTGGCGTGCTGTAGTGCAGACACTCAGCCTCCCCGTTCTGTTTGTGTGACTGACAAAACCCACACCTGTGGGGCACAGCCTGTCATTTGACCACAAGCCCTGAGGCGGGGGGAGGCTGGGTGGGCCGCCTGCACTGACGGCGCCATCCGCCTCCTGCCTTGCAGTGACCTGACCAACGGTGCAGATGGGATGCTGGCCACAAGCTCCAATGGGTCTCAGTACAGCGGCTCCAGGGTGGAGACTCCGGTGTCCTACGTCGGGGAGGACGACGAGGAGGACGATGACTTCAACGAGAATGACGAGGACGACTGACGTCCTCCCCACTTCAGATTCGGCTTCAGGAAAACGTTTAGCGAAAAGAAACTTTTTTTTTAATGTGGGTTTTCTGTTTCCTTTTGGCCTACTCCCAAGAAGATATTGGTAAGCTATTGAATTTAGATATGCACCTCTGATAAGCAAGGATTGTTTCCCGTAGGATTAGGACGTGCTGTGGATGTGTGTTTTGATACCAGTGTGCTGATGCAGAGCGTTTATTTACTTGTTAGGATTTTGTGTTTTCATTTGCTATTTTTCTTTAAGTGCAGAGTTCATTTTTGCCCCTGAAAAGTTTTTGCTGAGTTTGCTGAAGAAATTGTATTTCAACCACATCCATGAAAATAAAACACCTCCTGTTGTGGATGGTGAGCCCCTGATGCCGCTTATTTGCCGTGAGTTTGGACGGCACCCCTGCTGGCGGATAGCAAGACTCTGTGGAGTTTGTTCAGTGGTACGGTGTCCAAGCAAACAGCAGAATGCAACTTTCTAAACAGCCCCAAGCAAACAGCAGAATTCAACTTTTTAAACAATAAACACCATCAACCTTATTGACTTTATTGTCCCTTAAATTATATTGACTGTTGTGATTCCATCAAGTTTGTACACTCTTTTCTCTCCCTGTTTTGCAGCAACAAATTGCGAAGTGCTTTTGTTTGTTTGTTTTCGTTTGGTTAAAGCTTATTGCCATGCTGGTGCGGCTATGGAGACTGTCTGGAAGGCTTGGAATGGTTTATTGCTTATGGTAAAATTTGCCTGATTTCTTACAGGCAGCGTTTGGAAACCTTTTATTATATAGTTGTTTACATACTTATAAGTCTATCATTTAAAGACATGTACTGAAACAAATGTATTTGTTTCATAAGCATCTTCCTGTAATCTATTATAAAATTGAAATTAAATATAGAGAATGTTTTAACAATTTTTTAACTCAAAATTTGTCAATCATTTTTAATAGTTCTTTTTTTATAAAAAGAAAAAGGAATTTAAGGACAGGCAGTAGTCTCTTTTAAAATTTATTCACAAAACCCATTAACTGCACAGTTGCTATTAGCTGCCTGTTCTAAAACGATAGTCTTTTTATTGAAACACAAATAAACTTTTCTGTAATATTTTATGGTATATAAAGAGACTTTAATTGTTTGACTTGTTTAACTTGGCACTGTTAGTTTTTATTAATAAAACGCGCATGGGCATTTTAAACAAGCTGTGTTTCTCTAATTCAGGATTATTATCTAGAAATTTGTCTGTCTTGTTGGTTTTACTTTATACTTGAGTGAGAAAGTAGGTTGTTAGGCCCAGACGCGGTGGGCCCGGGTGGTCCCTGTGGGTGCAAACCCCACCACCACATGTTGTCTGAGGCACATCCTCCGGGAGCCCACCCTGAAAAGGTGGAAGGTGGCCAAGGGTGGAGGTCTTGGTGGACACAGGGCAAAGAGGCACCTTCCTTTTCGGTGCCTGTGGTGCAGAGAAAGATAAGCCAAGTTCCTTGGCCTTTTTTCACAATGAAAATTGAGACAAAATTTAAAAGTTTGACTTTGAGAACAAGAATAAGATTGAGAGGATTCTGGGAAGATGGTGGAATAGGGAGCACCAGGAATCTGGCTGCCCAGGTAGATGTCTACCTCGCGGGCAGGATCTGCCTGATGCAGCTGTTCTGTAACTACGGAATCTACTGAAGGCTTAAAGCTTTCAAGGGAGGCTTGGTCAGCACATTGCAGTTAATTTTGGTCCATTTCAGCTTTCTACCCCGACCTCTGTTCCTTCATTTTTCTCTTTCCCCTTTTGGGAGCCAGACATTGAAGACTAGGACGTATAAAAACAACTGTGTTGTATATATGGGGCTGCCCAGGGAGAGGCTCAGAAAAGACCCGAGAAGACCTTACGTTTACACCTCAGGCTGAACCATGGCACAGGTACAGCCTAGAGCTGTCAAAAAAGCAATAAACACAGCAATAACAAAAATGGCAAATCCGGGGGAACAGGAGACTTCTTTTCAGAGTTGTACCACAGTAATAGATTCAGATGTCCAGTTTTCAACAAACAGTGACAAGGCATACCAAGAAATGGCAAAGTATGGCCCATTTAAAGGGAAAAAAATAAAAACAAACTGTCCTTGAAAAGGATCTGTTGGCAGGTACACTAGACAAATACTTTTAAATAACTGTGTTAAAGATGCTCACGGAAGCCAAAGAACATGTGCAGAAAGTCAAGAGAATGAAAATAGAACCAAATGCAAGGATCATAATGAGGCAGACAACCTGAAAAACCAACAAGAAATTCTGTAGCTGAAAAGTACAGCAACTGAAATGAAAAATTCATCAGAGTGATTCAAAGGCAGAAGTAGCAAATTTGAAGACAGGACAGTGGAAATAACTGAGTCTGAGGAGCAAAAAGAGAAAAGATTGAAGTGAACAGAGCCTGTGGGCCCTGCAGGACACCATCAGGCTGACCAGTGCACATGTTGTGGGGTCTATGAAGGAGAAGAGAAAGAAAGGGGCAGAGAGAATATTTGAAGATAATAATGGCTGAAAACGCACCAAGTTTAATAAAAGACATGAATATAAACATCCAAGATGCACCATGAACTCCAAGGAAGATAAACTCAGAGATCCACACCGAGACACATTATAATTAAGCTTTCAAAAGACAGAGAAGACCTTGAAAGCAGCAGAGTAGGAGCAATTCATCACATACAAGGGGCCCCCAATAAAATTATCCACAGAGTTTTCCTCAGAAACTGGAGGCCACAAAGTAGTGGGCCAGTATATTCAAACTGCTAAAAGAAAAACAATAAACTACCAAGAATTCTACAACTGACAAAACTGTCCTTCAAAAGTGAGGGCGAAATTAAGACATTCCCAGATAAACAAAAGCTGAGGAAGTGTGCTGCCACTAGACCTGCCCTGCAAGATGTGATCTTATATGCAGGAAATCTGAAAGAATCCACTTAGTTTCAGACACTAGAAAAAAATCTAAACCCATAGCAAGTAGAGGGAAAACAATTTAATAAAAATTAGAGCAGAGCTAAAATCAGAGAACAAAAACAAAGGAGAAAATCAAGAAACCGAAAAGTGTGTTTAGATCAATAAAACCGACAAACCTTTAGTTAGGTATACTAAGAAAGATTGACATTACTAAAATCAGAAATGAAAATGGGGACATTTCTACTGGCTCTACAGAAATAAAAAGGATTATGAGAGAATAATAGGAACAATTGTGTGTCAACATATTTAAAAACCTAGATGAAATGGACAAATTCCTAGAGACAAAACCTACCCAGATTTAATAAAAATAAGTAAAAATCTGAATAGACCTTTGACTAGTAAGGAGATTGAATCAGTCCTTTAAAATCTCACTTTGGACCTAGTGGCTTCCCTGGTGAATTCTGCGAAACATTTGAAGAATAACTACCAGTCCTCAAGCTTTTCTAAAAAATGGAAGAGGTGGGAATACATTCTGATTCTGTGAAGCCACCATTACTACCCTGATATCAAAGCCAAAGACACCACAAGCACAAAATACCAACATGCCTGAGGAGCACTGATGCAGAAATCCTCAACAAAATACTGGCAGCGTATTTCAAAGATCATGCAACGTAAATGCTAGCAGCGTATTTAGAAGATTGCACACCATGACCTAGGGATTTATTTTTAGAATGCAAAGATATTTTGACATAACAAAATTGATCATTGTAATGCACACATAAACGGAATGAAAGAAAAAATCATGATCATCTCAATGTTTTATTAACAGCTTTTTTTTTTTTTTAAATTAGGGATGGAGTCTTGCTCTGTCACCCAGGGTGGAGTGCAGTGGCGTGATCATAGCTCACTGCAGTCTAAAACTCCTGGGCTCAAACTCCCACCTTATGCTCCCAAGTAACTAGAACTACAGGTGTGTGCCACAATGCCAGGCTAATTTTTTGATTTTGCACAGATAGGGTCTCTGTGTTGCCCAGGCTGGTTTTGAACTCCTGGCTCAAGTGATCGTCCCACCTTGGCCCCCCAAAGTGCTTGAATTACAGGTGTGAGCCACTGCGTTCAGCTGTAGTCATTGCAAGTGATGTACAAAAAGTATTTTATAAAATTCAACATCTTGTTATGGCAAAAAGAACAAACTAGGAATAGAAGGAAACTACTTCAGTATAGTTAATGCCGTATATGAAAAACTCAAAGAGAACAAACATCAAGGTGAAAGACTGAAAGTTTTTCCTCTAAGATAAGGAACAAGGCAGAGATGGCCACCCTGGCCTTTTCTATTCAACATAGTACTGGAAGTTCTAGTGAAGCAGTTATGTGAGAAAAATAAATACAAGGCATTCGTATTTGAAAGGAAGAAGTAAAGCTATCTCCATTTGTTGATGTGATCTTATATGCAGGAAATCTGAAAGAATCCACTAAAAAACAGAACTAATAAGGTTACAGGTTGTAAAGTAAACAGGAAAATCACTTGTGTTTCTGTACACTAACAATGAAAATATGAAAAGGGAATTAAGAAAATAATTCCATTTACAATAGCATCAAAATAATGAAATACTTAGGAATTAACTTGGAGGAGGTGAAAGACTTAATACAGTGAAAATGACAAGACATTGCTAAGAGGAATTAACAAATGGAAACGCACCCCATGGCTATATATTGGAACACAGTATTGTTAAGATGTCAACACTACCCAACTTAATCTGTAGGTTACATGCAATCCCTGTCAAAGTCCCAGTGATTTGTTTTTCAGAAATAAAAAGTCTCATCCTAAAATTCATACAGAATCTCAAGTGACCTCAAATAGCCCCAACAATCTTGAAGAGCAAAGCTGGAGGACTCATACTTTTGGTTTCAAAACTACAAATCTGTAATAATCAAAACAGAGCAGTATTGGCATAATGAAAGACCTACAGACTAAAGGAATAGAATAGAAAGCCCAGCCAAACACCCTCGCATATTTGGTCAAGTGATTTTTTTGACAAGGGAGCCAGGACCATGCAATGGGGAAAGGATGGTCTTTTTCACAAATGGTATTGGGAAAACTGATTATCCATGTGCAAACAAATGAGGTGGGACCCTTAACACTGTTTCAGTGCAAAGCTTAATTCAAAATGAACCTAAGATCTGAATGTAAGGCTTAAGACTGTCAAGCTCTTAGAAGAAAACAGAGTGGCCGATTGTGGTGGCTCACTCCCGTAATCCCAGCACTTTGCAGGACTGAGGCGGGTGGATCACTTGAGGTCAGGAGTTTGAGACCAGTGTGCTTGAAGCCAAATGACGAAATCAAGAACTCAGTAAAGGTAAATATGTGCGCAACTATAAAAGCTAGTATTGTAAGAGGCTAGTATTGTAAAAGCTAGGTGAAACCCCGTCTCTACTAAAAATACACAAAACTAGCCCAGCGAGATGGCGTGAAGTACACCTGTAATCCCAGCTACTCCGGAGGCTGAGGCAGGAGAATCATTTGAACCTGGGAGGCAGGGGTTGCAGTGAGCTGAGATCGCACCACTGCACTCCAGCCTGGGTAACAGAGCGAGACTCTGTCTCAAAAAACAAAAGAAGAAAACAGCAGAAGTTTCATGGCATTGGACTTAGCAGTGATTTTTTTGGATATGACACCAAAGGCACAGGGAAAAATAGACAATGTGGACTTTATGAAAATATAAACCTTTCTTGCATCAGAAGACAATGTTGACAGAGTAGAAAGCCCACAGAATGGGAGAAAATGTGCACAGCCCCTGTGTCTGGTAGGGGATTAATATCCAGGATACATAGAGAACTCTTAAAACTCAAAAACCAAACAACCTGATTTAAAAACAGGCAAGGGCTTGAATAAGCATTTCTCCAAAGAAAAATCTATGAATGACTTGTAAGAACATGAAAAGGGGCTCAACGTCACTATCATGAAGGCAACATAGATTAAACTATAAAATAGAAAATAAACATTGGCGAGGATGTGGAGAAGGCAGAGCCCTGTACACGGTGGGGATGTAAAGAGCCGCAGCCACTATGAAAAACCAAATGGCTGTTTTTCACAGAATTAAAAACAGAATTACCCTATGCCCGGCAATTCTGCTCAGCGTATACACCCAGAGACATTTGTACACCCATGTCTACACGTACCACTATTCAGGGTAGCTAAACAGTGGAGGCACCCGAAGTGTCCATCCGTGGATGAGTGGACAAGCAAAGTGTGGTTTGTACAGACAGCGAAATCTTTGGAAGGAAATCCTGTCACACTACAACACGGATGCCCCTTGAGGACGTTATACTACGTGAAATATGCCCGTCATAAAATACTTATATGAGGTACTTAGAGTCGTCGAATCATGGAGACAGGAAGTTGAACGGTTGCCAGGAGCTGAGGGAGAGGGGATGGGGAGTGAGTGTTGAATGGGACAGACCTTCTCTTTGGAAGGATGGAGGGGCCTGGAGGTGGATGGCAGTGACGGCTGCAGGACCCTGTGAATGTGCCCAGTGCCACCAAACTGCATTAAAAATGGTTAAGACAGCAGATTTTATATTACATGTATTTTACCACAAAAAAAAAAAATTGGAAGGACATAGAAGGTATGAAGGAGAGCTAAGTGTTTTATTTGAGTTGGCTAAATCAATCACTGAAAATTCCAATAGAAGACTAGTTTTAGAAGAATCATTTTTTCCTAATCTTGAATTACCATAAGCATATCGAGGGTTGTGGAACTTACATAAAACTACGGGCAGTCGTGCCTCAGAGGGCTCTGTGTGGGTGCATGTGCAGCCAGCACCTGCGGGTGCACCGTGGCTTCCCGTGGCGAGCTTCCTGTGCCTGTGTTTCTTCCAGGCCTTGGGGGTTGAAACTCAGGGCTGGTGATTCTGAAGGGTGGGGCAGGAGCAGCCCCCGGCTTTATCAGGAAGGGGCTCTGATCGGGCACGGGGGTGCCCCTGTGGGTGGGATTGCTGGAGCCCAGGACATCAAGGCCAGCCTGGGCAGCATAGAGAGACCCTGCCTCTGAAGAAAGAGTGGGGCTCTGGTGTCCATGGAGAGTCTGGGGAGGGAGGAAGAGGCTAGGGTTCTGAGGGCCTGGAGATGGGGGCTCTGGGTGGCCATGGGACACGTGGCAGGCGTGTTGGGTTCCAGCTGGGTTGGCTTTGAGAGTCTGGTGGGATGAACCCTCATGGCTCCACCGTCACTTTGAGGTGGTGTCACCTCTGACCTCTGACCTTCAGCATGGCATGACCTCGCTGAGGTGACCCTGGTGTCCCACATATCACCCTGAGTGTTCTTAATACACAGTCGAGGGCTGTGTTCATTGGACTATTCTGGTGTCACCGCCCACTTCATTTCTGTGCCTGGCAGCACTTTTACTCCTGGTTGGGAGCATGACCGCCTCCCAGTTCAGCTTCCTCCTGCGTCCCAAGTGAGCGGGGCGGCTGTCCTCGAGGACTCCGGGCTCACAGCCAACCTGCTGGCACGGCTCGAGGACTCCGGGCTCACAGCCAACCTGCTGGCACGGCCGCCCTTTCCCGCCCTGCCTCGGGTGAGCCAAGGACTTGTCTTCTGCTTCCTGGGTTCCTGAAAGAGCTCTCCTCTGATTTCTCAAAGGCAAAATAAAACTCAGATTTAAGTCTTTGGTGCGTAGCCCCTAATTTCCTTCCCTTTCTCTGAATCCTCACTGCCCAGCATGATGGACCGGCCTGGGCTCAGGACCTGATTCCACAGGCTCCCAGCCCTCCCACAGGTACCGTGTCTTCTGTGCTGGTGTCGCACCCGCCGGCCACCGCCACCCTGCGTCTTAGACGTCCCGCCGCAGCTGTGTTTCCACCTCATCTCCAGCTTGAGTGGCAGCCAGCGGCGCCACCTGCACACGAGCCCCCTCCATTCGAGAAGCACAGACTATGAGTGTGGCCACGCGTCCCATGACGTGAACTCACGTCTGCGCCGAGACCTTTGCCGGCGGTTTTTTACTGACGGAGTAAGCACTGGAGATGCTTGGTACAGCGTCTTCCATCGGTAAATTGATTTAGTTAACCTTACAACATATCTGCAAGGTTTTTAATCTTTCTTCCAAGACCGTTTCTCATGGACTTTTCTGTGTGTCTGTTGGGGGCTGACGGACTTCGACGCGCCAGTCGCTTGTGCTTGGGGCCCTTTGGGTACTAACAGCCACACTGCTGAGCATGTGAAATCAGGACCCAGGCTGCACACCGCCGTCGGGGTGAGACGCCCGTGGCCTTGCATGATGAAACTGGGACCCAGGCCTCACTGCTGTCTGGGTGAGAAGTCTGTGGCCTTCAGCAAGAGCAGGTTTGCTTGTTTGGGAGAATGTTCTCATTTCAGTTTTTTGAAAGGGTTAGAGCTGCTAACTTAACATTTATATTTGGAGGAGAGACTTGTTCTTGGTGAACGAGAAGTGTGTTTGTAACTAACTGGGTTTTAAACCATCAGGCTGCCGACACACTCACTCCCCACTGTTTGCCTCCCGGAGCTGTGAGCGTCCTTAGGTGACAACCCCACACCAACGTGGTTTTTGTAATTTTCCTGACTTGCAATGGAGACTTTTAGAAGGAGATTTTTAAGGAAGCGTTTGGTTTTTATTTAATTTCTCCCATATCAGGAAACACGATTTCTTTTTTTACATACAATAAGAGTAACTTTAATATATTTTATGTTTACAACTTAGGAATTGCAATTTTAAAAGCAAGAATTCAGAATGTCATTAGTGTAAGCCGTGTTTCATATCAGTGCATTAGTAGTTTTTATATTAATGTGGGGGGGGCAGTTCATATTGAAGTGTAGAAAAATAAATTATAGTAAGAAAGTGATGTCTACATAGAAGACGAATCGTTTTTATGACCTGGTTAATTAGAGAGTTGCTGCCTTGCGTTCCCATGGTAGCTGGACATTCTTATAGCAGCAAATTCCATCTAAAAACTGTAAGAATTCAACAAGGAAGAACTGATACTCGCGAGCAGGTCCTTCAGATGTGGGCGCTTCTCTGGAGTTCGCACACTGACAACACCGTTGCTCCAAACCACTTTGGGGATGATTTGGCAGGGAACTGACGGGCAAGGTAAGCCCAACCAGGAGGGTGTCCTTGAGCGACCCCGCAGGCGTGCCCAGGACCCCTGCGCAAACCGTTTCACTTCTCAATCTTGAGTTTGAACTCCACTTTCCCTTCATACGGGTCGTGGGGATTGTTGAAGGTCACGTGCTCCGCCATGACCTTGCACACGATGGCGACCTCAGCGTTCCTGGGGATGTTGAGGAGCTTCGCTGCCACCAGGGGGTTGCTGTAGTGGGGCTGAAGTGGGAGTGAGGAAAGGACAGGTGTTTCAAAAATCTCTGAAGTTAAGGAGAGAAAACTAAGCAAGGAAGTGTCAACAGTCAGGTTGGTGCAGAGAAGCAGCTCTTTTGTGTAAGACTGGCCCTGACCGAGTGCATGCCCTGGAATTTGCTGAGATAACACCCCCCATGTAAAAATGGAAAGCAACTGTCTGGAGGGGACAGACAATACCAGGAGTAAATTCAGCTTCAAACTCTTACGATGATTAACGTAAAAATGAAACAGGAAAAGCACGTGATGTGGAGGAAAGTCTTCGAAGTGGATATGCAGTTGTTTTAGAGGATCTGGGAAGTAGAAAAATTAGGCTGGGCGCAGTGGCTCATGCCTGTAATCCTAGCACTTTGGGAGCCTGAGGCAGGCTGATTGCTTCAGCCCAGGAGTTCAAGACCACCCTGGGCAACATACTGAGACCCTTTCTCTATAAAAAATACGAAAATTAGCTGGGCATGTTGGTGTGTGCCTGTGGTCTCAGCTACTTAGGAGGCTGAGGTGGGAGGATCACTTGAGCCCAGGTGGTTGAGGCTGCAATGAGCTAAGATGCTAAGATTGCATTGCTGCAATCCACCCTGGGTGACAGAGCAAGACTGTCTCAAAAAAAAAAAAAAAAGTTGAAGAGTTAGAGTTGTATTTTCATGTTGCGTGAGAGGAATGTTTCCAGGTAGATACAAGAACCTGGGCTTGGGAAACACGCAGAACGTTCCAGTCAGGACCGGCTAAGTCACACCTTTGTTTCATTTTTCTACATGAAGGGGCTTATTGCTTTCCTTTCGCTAAGTGTGAGAGGACTCAGCAGCTGTGGTGAGGGAAGCGTGGAAGGAAGGAACCTACCTGGGCTTTCTTCCCGTAATAAGGGAAGTAGTGCAGACTGAAGGTGCCGTTGGGAGGGTAGTACTTGACCTGCAGCGGCTGGCCGAGCTCGCGGGGCTGGTCCTGGGGAGGAGAGGCCACTGCCTGAGTCAGGCGGGAGCTGGTGTGTGCCGGTGTCTGTGTGTTGCGTTTGTGTGCGTGTGTGCACACACGCGCTGTGTAGGTGCTTGCATAAACACTTTATTGCATACTTAGCATAAATCAGATGCAATCTTTCTAATCAGTGCTGAGATCTCAGCAAGGATATGATTTGTTAGCATGCAAAATGCCCAGTGACCCCTCCGTGTGCCTCTAACAACTTGAAATGTTGGAAGGATGACGCAGGTGGGTGAAGCTGGGAGGCGGCTTGCTTGTCTGTACTCGAGGGTAGCCACTGCTCAGTGGCAAGGGCTGGTTTGCCAAAACTGGGTTACAAGTTGGTGTGAGTGGGGCAAGCGAATGCGTTTTTGTGAGATTGGGGCCCTCTCGTTTCAGAAGCAGAGGCTTGCCCAGTGGGTAGCTCAGGGTCATCAACGAACAGCTGAAGGGTGCTTTGGATCTGTTAGAATCTCAGGAGCCGCAGTGTGGCCCAAATAAATTAGAAAAGGAAAAGCAAATCCCCGCGGCCCCCACCGAGAGTGGAGGCTTCGAGGGAAGTGAGGTTCCCTCGGACACCCTAGTGGGAAGGCTCCACGCGGTAATGGAACCACGCTGTGAAACCTTTGCCTTTGGGTGTCATGGTGGAAGCAAATCTTAGAAGACATTTAATTTAAAAAATTCAGTTTTAAAAAATGTTGACTTAAAAAGCAGTTTTGAAAAACAACCTGGAATTAGCCTGAGATCGATGCCAACTCTTAGCAGTCTGTATACTAAACACAGTTAAACAACTGTAGCTGCTGGCAAGCTGGAACCTTTTTGTAAAGAAGCACATAAAAAGGACAGAACTGGTGGAAGGTGCACTGGTCTTTCCACATCGCCACCAGGCGTTTTGAAGCGTGCTGCTGACACGCTACTCAGATGCTTCTGGAAGCCAAACAATAAGAAAAAGCCCCATTGTTTCCCTTGCTGGGTTTTACCCGCCATGGTGGAGCTCGCTGTGGTGATGGTTCGGTGTTTACGTCTGGTTTACTGGGCCGACGGCTGACATTCCTGGAGAGAACCAGGTGGGCCGTGCCCAGCATGAACCAGCACGACCCTGACAAGCTCCTTTCCTGGGGCAGCCCTGCCCGCCGCGCGGCCGTACTCACCAGGAAGGCGCAGTCCACTCTGGGGGCCGAGCCGTTGCTGGGGAGGAACTTGACGATCTAGAAGGGAAAAGCTTGAGCGTGGCCGCTCCCCACCCCCACCGCCATGTGAGGTGCACGGCACCCACCCATGGAGCTGAGATCTGGCCGGCCCCAGCCTGGGCTTTCTGACCAGGACTGAGAAGGGCCCTTGGTCTGGTTTGCGGCTTCCCTTGGAGGAATCCCCATAGGTGTCACTAACTCATCATTCAGAGCCACAGCCCTCCCCCCACCCACCCATCAGCAAGCCACTTGGCCCAGGCTTCAGGAGGCGGCTGGCAGGAGGCAGAGCTGGGGCGGGGTGGTCTTAGCCCTCGAACCATGTCCAGGTCCGGTGGAGCACTGAGACAGAGCACGGGCCGGCCTGCCTCCTGCTCTGCACAGCTCTTCCAGAAAACTCTCTCTGGCCCACCCGGGCCTTCAGCCCCCTTCCCCACACCTCTTCCCTGGGCTTCTCCAGCCCCAGCCATCCCCTGCTGTGCTCCGAGGGTGGCAGCTGCCATGAGACGGGCACAGTGGCCACCACGCCCTGCTGGGACCCCCGTCACAGCCCCTCCATGCCGGCAGTGCTGAGACCCTGGCTGACGGGGACCCGTGAGGTGTAGAGGGCACAAGCCTGCAGCCTCTTAAGTGGAAAAGGAACAGCACAGCTGCCCGGAGGCCCAGCACAGAGCTGCTGATTGGTCCATGGAGTGGTGGCCCCAAGCCCTCTGCTTGGCCAGGACCTGCCCTGCTCGAGCCTGGCTCAGGGATCACCTCCCCACACCCCCTAAGGGGCCCCTGGTCCCAGGTTGGAAGCCTCTGCTTTAGAAGGTGCTAAACCCCTCCCAATCCTGACTCCAGAACTTGAGGCCCCTTTACCTGGCCCTGGCATCTCTGGCTGCCCTGAAGGGGGCCCTGGCCTTGCAGAGACCCCTGTTCAAATGTTTCCACATGTTTTAGAGGGCCGGCTATGTGCTGGTGTCTGACGAGTGGTTTCAAATTTGTATCTAAGAACCACACGGGACAGGTGCGTGCCAAACCAAGGTACAGGGTGGTGAGGCTGGAGTCCCTGTCCCGCTTGGGCAAGCCCCAGACAGGACACCTGTGCTCCTCGTGGTGGGTGTGGGTGAGAGGCCCTGACTGCACTGTTGTAGTGGCGTGTGAAGGAGACCCTCAGTACTCACCCTGTTCATTTTAATAATAAAACATGGCTTTCCTTCTTCAAAGCCGAAGTTGGGATCCGCCAGGCCTGAGCAGTTCTGCAGCATATCTGCCGTGAACTTGCAGGAGAACTTGGTGTGGTTGGGAGCGCGGAAACTCTCCTGGAAGAAGTACTGCTCGGAGGTGCAGTTGATGCTGTCCTCCTGGGCTGCTGGAGAGTAGCCTGCAGACGGACGCACCTGCCAGCCCTGTCCTGCCCTGGCCCTGACGCCTGGCTGCCCCCCGGGAAGGCCTTGCAAGCCCTGAGTGCGAGTTTCTCATGAAATAGAAAAGGCCGAAGCTGTGGAGCCGTTTCACACCTCACCTGCTGCTTCACACCTCACCCACCCGCCGCTTCACACCTCACCCACCCGCCGCTTCACACCTCACCCACCCGCCGCTTCACACCTCACCTGCCGTTTCACACCTCACCTGCTAGGAAGGCGTGGAGAGTCTGTGTGAGGTCTGCCCAGGTTCTGTTATCAGAGACGTTGTAGACAATTTCCAGGCCTTTCTCCCCGTAAACATCCGGCCTTAAGGTTACCCCTGGAGAGAGAGACCTTTGTGCTTAGCGTCTCCAAATGCTCACCACATTTAAGCCATCAGTTCTGAAGTGGCTGAGGATACGCCAGAGGCGGTGGCCCAACCCAGGAGCCTCCTCGGAGTAAACTGTCTGCAGCACAGGAAGGAAGGACCCCCAGGACAGCACAGTCAGAATGCAGCCTGGGTCCCTGCTGGGAGTTGCCCCGGCCCTGGAACCTGGCTGGCTGCCATGGTGGGGGGTGGGGGGTGGCTGGCTCTCTCCACCGGGTGCCTGCTCTGTGACAGGTGATGACTAATCCAGAGGCTGCACCTGGGTTTCTATGTAAAATTGCATTTGAACATGCATTAAAAAAAATCTTCACTGGTTTTGGTTAAGAACAAAAGCAGTCTAACAACATGTTAACTGTAAAACTGAACATCAGGATGCACACAGCGGGGAGTGAAACGCAGAGCCGTCGACTTTCCCGATGTGAACCGTCAAATGTGCATCCTTTGCACACTTTCCTGTTTCTGTGGAAACACAGATGCAGAAACGTGTGTTTACTGCAGGTCCTTAGGAACAGCCCGCCATCCACACACCACTGGCTTCCCAGTGGCCACACACTTCCACTTCCCGTGCGATTGGGAGCCTCTTTTTCTGTCATTTTGTGTCAACTCACCTCATTCTTTCCATAAATGTGGTTTCATTGTGTGAAGCCTGCAGTTTGCTTAGTTGGTCCCCTATGGATGCAGCTGGCTTTACATTTGAGGCTAGGTGTTGCTGTTTAGTGGATTTTGTTAAGAGTAAAATCTATACGTGGTTTAAAATAAAAACCTTCAGCAGGGTCTGAGGGAAAAGGAGGTTCTGCACTTGCTCTGCACACCGATGGGGACGTCTGTCCTGTGGCCTCTGACGACTCGGATGCCTGTTCCTCTGTCCTTGCACCCTGCTGATGTGTAGGTGACCAGCGGGCTCTTTTCTGCTGGTCTCCCGGGTGTGCTCCTTGGAAACTGTTTCCTGTGCGTCCTTGCAGAAACATTCCGTGTGCATATCCAAGCACAGGAAGTAAGTGGATGGAAAAACTTTGTCTCTATAACAAAACCCTTCTGTTTCATAATTAAAACTAAAGCCAAAGTCAGATTTTATAATTTGGAGTCATTTTCCTCATGGAAAGAAACTAAGGGGCCGCTTATGCCTTGGTGCTGCTCTTAAAGCCGGTTCAGGGGCCAGGGGCTGCCCTCGGGGGCACCTGCTGGGGTGTGTGGCTCACCCTGGGGCTGCCGGGCTGGCTTCCCTGGGCTTCATTTCTGGGGAGGGCACGGGTCCCCCGGGCGTCTCCAGAGCCGAGGAGGCGGCAGCCTGGCCTGTCACACGGCATGGGGGCAACATCCCGGGCGCTTACCTGGTGACCGTAGCTGGTCTTGGTAGTCCGGTGTGTACGGGTCCACTGTCTGCATCAGCACATAGAGGCACAGGGCGAAGAGCCCAGTCATCACCACGTAGAAGGCCACGTAGTACAGGCTGATCCACACTGCGACACAAGGCAGGCACAAAATTTACCACGTCAGCCATTTTAACGCACACAATTCGGTGGCCTTGAGCGCGTCCGTGATGTGGCGTGACCATCTTCCCTACCTAGTTCCAGAACATTCTCCTCCCCCAAAACAGAAACCCCGTCCCCACAAACAGTCACTACAATCCCCTCCCAGCGCCGCACCACCGGCCACGTTCTGCCTCTGGGTTTGCCCGTCTGGACGTCCACATAGGCAGAATCCTGCGACCCGAGGCAGTTGCACCCAGCTGCCTTCACTCCAGCCGCTGTTTGAGATGTGGCCGAGGATGCGCCACCACCCCAGCTCCAGCAGGAACCGAGGGCCCTCTGAGGGGGGAGTTATGGTTCCCCCATCACAGGAAGGGAAACTGAGGCAGAGAGGTGGGGTCCTGCCCATGGTGACCCATAGTGCAGCCTGGAAGTGCATGGCCGGTCCTGCTTCCACAAAGACATCAGGAAGAGAAAGGGAGGAAGGGAAGCCCTGGAGATGGCTCTTCTCAGAAGCAAGGGTGTCCATAGGCACCGGCAACTCAGGGTGCAGCTTCATCTCATCTGCTTCTGAGACCCTCCTGTGAGCTTCCCCTGCAGCGTCAGAACCTAACGGAAGCCACCGTCCCCGTGGCCATGGGCGGCTCCTGGACACAGGCGACTGCCTGTGTGCTGTCTTCGTCTCTGTAAATTAGCTTGTGTGGATCGCAGGAGGCATTTGCAGGGAGACACCGGCAGGAAGAGGACGGTTTTGTGTTTGCTACGGCTTTTGTCTTTCTGGAAAGTCTGTAATGAACTGGGCCTCCTGCTCCTCCTCTCCGCTGATGTGGCATGGATTCTGCTTAGTGAGCCGTTCTCCAGTGACCCAAAACACAACCAAAGGGCAGGACCAAGTCAGAGAAGCAAGGGAGTGCAGGGCCAAGAGGCCAGAGCCCTGAGCTGTGATGAGAGGCTGTGGCCTGTGGACTGCCTGCCCTCTTCTGTGAGCTGGGACAGCACAGATCTCTGAGCCAGGTCCCTTCAGCACCAGCTGGGCTCAGGGCTGGGTCTTGCTCACCTGGCATCCACTTTGAGTCCCTCCTTTCCCCGCCGGGCGTCCCTGGTGACGGCGTTCTTGTGTGGCCACAGCAGCTTGGCTTCAGCCTCCGGTTTTGAGTTTCCAGCTTCAGCAGTGTGGGGCCCGCAGTGGTGGAGGGTTTCTGTCCTGTCACTGGATCACGCCTGGTGCCTCCCTGGTGCTGGCCCTGCAGGTCCTGCCTCAGTGTCCCCAGGTCACTCCTGATGTGGCTTCTATTTGACTTGGCCGCCTGTCCCCCGGGGACCTACGCTCGTGACGGCAGGGGTCTCTGTTCCCCCGCTGTGGGTCCTGTGGGTCTGCTCTGGGGCCCGTGGTGCACAGTGGAGATGTGGGCGGTGCGTGTCTCCCCAGTGGCTGCTGACCCACTCTGTGGCGAGTCTCAGCTCCACCAGGCGGCTCAGCCCTGCCTCCCGGGTAGGAGCCCGAGGTTGGCCAGGCTGGGCCCAGGCTCGGGAGGGCCATGCTCCCTGCACTTCCTGGGCCCCCGCTTGCACCACGGTGTTCAGGGCACGCTGCAGTGCACAGGGGAGGGGTTGGGAGGTGACTGAGAGTCCCATTCCCGCCAGCTCCTGGGGCCGGCCGGGTGCAGCTCACTCTGCCTCTCCTGCACCTGCACCCGTCCCCCAATTAGTAAGAATAACGTGTCCTATTCCTTTTGTTTTTGTCATTTCACTTGAGTTGTGTTTTCCTGGGGCCCTAAGACTTTCTTATCCCAAACGGAGGCCATGTCTACCGGCCAGGCAGTGAGACCATTCCAGAAGGTTCTCTGTGGCCCTGCAGCCAGGAGGCGGCACATGGGAGTCTCAGCATCTAGAATGGCCCAAAAGATGGGGCTTCCAAGGACCTGGCCGGCAGCCCCCAGCCCAGCCCCCGCCCTCAGCTCCTTCCCCATCCTGGCCTCCCGCTCTGCCGCCCCGCCTGGCCCAGGAGGCCCTTCTGCCCCCGGTCCCTGCCTCTCTAGGAACGGGGTATTTGTTCTACTTCAAATGCGCCCATGACTCCAGCTGGCTCTGGTGCCCTTTGAGACCGTGGAGCCTCCAGCGGGGGCTGCAGCCTTCACCAGCACTGTGGTGAGTGTGGGGGATTTGGCAGCGTGTCACGGGCATTCCCAGCACGTCTCAGCTACACACACAGGTGGGGCGGGCCTGGGGCTTTGCATTCCCACCTCGGCTCTGGGACCCCCAGAGCCGGGCACCGTGGGAATTGAGGAGGGCCTGACCTTCCCTGGGAGCCGGGGACGGCACCAGGCCAGCCAGTTCAGCCGCATCCCGACGCCCAGGGGTCGCAGGGGGAGGTGGGGGCGCACAGGTGCTTCCTCCAGACTCTCTCATAAGGGGTGAGGGCGTTTCCCGGAACGGGTGTGGCAGCCCTGATGTAGACGCAGACGCTTCCACCACCTGTGTGGCCTTGGAGGCCCAGGCATCTGCTTTCCTCCCAGGAGGGCCAGGCTGCCCGCGCCTCTGTGCAGCCACGGGGACAGGACCCTGCAGGGCAGACCTCGCACAAGGCGCAGGTGCTGCAGGCTGAGGCAGGCCTGGTTTACTCCCCACCTCCGCATCTGGACGCCAGCGGGTGTCCCGGAAAGGGGCTGGCAGCCGCGTCTCGGCAGAGCCCCTTATTCAGGTCATTGCGTGAATCTGTGTGACCAAGGAATCACCGTTGCCACCTTTCACGTTATTTTCAAAATGATTCACTTTAGAAACATACTTTTAAAATGCTGTTCTCAGACATACGGCTGACATTTGGGGCCAGTCTGTGGACGCCCTCCACCGGCGTTCTGCAGCTGGGGCTCCAGGTCAACTCAGCCTTCAGGATGCTCTGGGGACCCTCGCTTTCCCTGGGAGGCAAGTGAGGCCCTGGCCGAAGCCCGTCCACGCCATCCAGGCAGCATCGGGGTCTCACTGTCAGGGGCCCTCTGCTCCCCTCCTCCTGAGCTCACCTGGAGGCTGCGTCCTCAGAGCGGCCCCCTCCATGCACCCAGCCGGCCCGCCCCCCGCACGTACCCCACCGGGACAGGGTGCGGCCCAGCATCTGCCCCGTGTCCGGGTTCCAGCAGTAACGCTGGAACTCCTCCATGCGCTGGCCACACGTCTTCTTCTCCTGCAGAGCCGCCATCGTCCCTGGCCTGAGATCCTCCCGTCTGCTCCCTGCACCCTCTACGCCCAGACTGAGGCCAGATGCCCACCTCTGGGCTTTATAGTTTCCTCTGCCAGAGGTCAAAGGCATCGCAGGCGAAGGATCCCAGGGAGAGGCCAGGGCCGTTTATCAGCGCCGGCCATCGCCTCACCAAACACCAGGGGCTGGGTGCAGCCCGGCTGTTGCCCCTGGGGCGGGCCAGGCCCGCTTTCCTCACCCTGCTGCTCTTGGGACGCCCTTGGCTGCAGCTTTGTCTGCTCTGATTGCGGTGAGGGCACGTTCCGGGGTGAGCAGCACTCACAGGCCCTTCCCCTTCCCTCCTCTCCTTCAGGAGGGAGATTGAGGTCAGAGCAGAGCCGGCCTGGACCCACTGTGTCCACGACCTTGGGCTGAGCCAGCTGGGGCCGCATCCCTGGCCTGGGAGGGCGTGAGGCAGGCGAGTGAGGGGCGACCGGCTCCCTGGGCCCCCCGCTGCGGCCGCCCCGATTCTGGGTCACCCAGTGGAAGGGTGAGCCTGGCAGCTGGAGCTGGGTTGGCAGGGAACACAGGGGTCCCCGGGGACTCCTCTGCCTCCCAGATTCACCCAGAGCAGCAATAGCCTCTTAGATCCCCAGAGGGCAGTGGCACCGAGGGCCCTTTAGGATTTTTTTGTGTCCATGGAGGAATTCATAAACACAAACCCCTAAATCTAGTGGTCCTCAAAATGAAGTGCACAGGAGCCCTGAGCATCTGTTGAATGCAGATTCAGCCCAGCGAGTCCTGTGGGGGCCCCAGACTGCATTTCTAACAGTGCTGGTGGGAGGGAGTAAGGCAGGGTCCAGGTGGGGGATGCTCAGCCTGGGCAGTACCTCGGGGTCACCGGGGGTCCGGGCAGTGCACTGGGGTCACAGGGCCGGGGCAGGGACCATGAAGTCATCACTGCCCACTTCCGCCCGGAGATTCTGCCTGAGCCTCTCGCCCATGGGTCCGAGCACCAGGACGTGGAGGGCTCCCAGGCAGTCTTGTTGGGCGGCGCACTTCAGAACCCCGGCTCAGACGCTTTGCTGTTGGAGACAGGGGTCCTGGATGGCAGATGCCATTGCTGCCTGCTGGCTGCAGTGCCCATCTCTGCAGGAGGTTGATGGGAATGCAGGGCAAATGAAATGTGCTCAGGGGCCTTCTGACAAATATGATTCGAAGTCGACTAGCCCTGTGTGTCCAGAATTACATGCAGAGTTTCCCATACTGTCAACTCTAGGCCGTCCCTCTCAGGGACCCGTGTAACCAAATTCATTTCTTAGAAGAAACAAAATTCCTCTAGGCATTACGCTGCTTTAATTTTTTAGGATAATTTAGAGTTTGCAAAATAATTGCCCTAAAATTCAAATGGAATGATGTCATTTTAGCCTGGATTCCTATCATTTCTTTTCTTTTTTTTAATTTCTAATTTTTATTTCTTTTATTTTTTTGTAGAGATGGGGTCTCCCTATGTTGCCCAGACTGGTTTAGAACTCCTGAGTTCAAGGGATCCTCCCACCTCGGCCTCCCAAAGTGTTAGGATTACAAGCGTGAGCCCCTGCGCCCAGCCATAATTTCTTAATGGACCTATCCTTCCTTTAACATTGTACCCATTTCTGACTTTGGAATGTTAGGGCGATAAGAACACAGGGTCTGGCAGTAAAGGCCACAGTCTGATTGTTCACAGACTGTGGCCCTGGGACCCCAGAGTGCCAGGGGTCTGACAACACCTGGATGCAGCAACTGTTGTCTGTGAAGGGTATAGATGCTCTTGAAATGAACAAAGTATGAATTATTTCTAAACATCTTTGAATTTAGTCTTCCTAATGTAGTCTCTGAATTTCCAGAAGCAGGTACATGTGCTGAGCTGTACACATGTTATCAGAATGACCTTCTTCTGGACACATACGTGTGGGGAGGAGGGCCAGAGACCTTGGTAGAGGGCAGTTTCCCCACAGCATGCTCTGAAAACATAGAACTAGGTGCTCTATACAAATTGGGTGCCAGACAATGAGGGGGGCCCAGAATCCCACCCACATCTGGCAGCCACCGGTCACCCCTCTCTCCCCCCATCTGAGTGGTGTCAGACACAACGTAGTAGAAAGTTAGGACTGTGACCACCACACAGTGACAAGGCCACCTCCCACTGTGGTGTCAGTGGAGACCATATGGAAAGCCAGGACTGCTACCCACCCACCCAACAGTCCTCAGGAGCCCACCCAAAGGTTCCCAGTGGGAAACCTAGACTTCTGGCCCCACATGGTGTTAACAAGGTGAAGCCTCTCCCTTTTGCTGCTGAAGTGGGGTCAGAGAAAGCCAGTAAAAAGAGAAGGATTAAATAATATGAAAACGTCTGGGTTTCAGTAGATAACCACTCATCACACAAAGAACGAGGACGATTTTAAGATGAATTAATACAAAGCTGGGTGTTTTGGCTCATGCCTGTTATCCCAGAGCTTTGGGAGGCTGGACTGAGAGGATCGTTTTAGACCAGGAGTTCCAGACCAGCCTGGGCATCTCTGCTAAAAAATTAAAAAATTCTAAAAATGAATTTAAAAAGACAATATATGCCAACACCAAGGTGACAGAGATGTTAGGATTAGCTGCCAAAAATTTTAAAGCAGCCATGATAAAAATGCTTGAATAGCAATTACAAACAAGCCTGAAACAAATGAAAAACTAGAAAGCTGCAAAATATGGAAAGCAAACTGATAGAACTAAAAGTAGACATAAACACATCCACAATTATAGTTGGAGATCTCAACACTCCTCTCTTAACAATTGATAGAACAACCAAATAGAAAATTAGCATGGATACGGAAGAACTCAACATCATCAACCAACAGGATGTCATTGACATTCGCAGAATACTCAACAGAGAATACACATTCTCTTTAAGTCCCCATGAAATATATATCAAGATAAGCTGTATCTTGGGCCATAAAGGAAGTCTTAGCAAATTTAAAGAATTCAAATCATACAGAGTATGTTCTCCAATCACAATGGAATCAAATTAGATATTAATAACAAAGATAACAGAAAAACCTCCAAATATGAAACCTGAACAACATACTTCTAATACTCATGAGTCAAAAAGGAAGTTTCAAGGGAAATTTAAAAATACATGGAACTGAATGAAGAAAAAATACACCATATAAGAACTCAAGGGACATAGCTAAAGCAGTATTAAGAGGAAAATTTATAGCACTAAAAATGCATATTTTAGAAAAGAGGACAAGTCTCAAAAACCCTAAGCTCTCATCTCACAAATGTAGAAAAAGAAAAGCAAGTAAAACAAAGCAAAAGCAAGCAAGCAAACAACAGCAGCAACAAAAACAAGCAGAAGGAAGAAATTAAAAGATAAGAGCAGAAACCAATGAACTTGAAAATGCAAAAGCAATAGAAAGGACTAGTTCTTTGAAAATGTAAATAAAATTAATAAACCTGTAGCTAGAGAGAAGGCTGAGATAACTGATAGCAGGAATAAAATAGGAGCTATCACTACAGACCCTGCAAACATCAAAAAGATAAGGAAGGAAATACTTGCGCAATTCTACATACATAAACTTTACAACTTAGATAATGGGCTGCTTCATCAAAAATCACAACTCACCCGACTTCAAATAGATAATGTAAATAGCCTATAACTATTAAGGAAACTGAATTAATAATTTAAAATCTCCCAATAAAGAAACCTCTAGGCCCAGATGATTTCATGGGACAATTCTACCAAACACTTAATAGAGAACACCAATTCTTCACCATCTTTTGGAAAATAGAAGAAGAGGAAATATTTTCCAACTCATCTTATAAGACCAGTGTTACCTTTATAACAAAATCAGACAAGGATAGTTCAAAAAAGAGAACTACAGATCAATATCCCTCATGAATATAGATGCAAAAACCATAAATAAAATTTGGTAAGTTGAATCCAACAAAGTATAAAAAGCAAATGCCATGACCAAGCGGGATGTATTCCAGGAATGCAAGGCTGGTTCAGTATTCAAAACCCAATCAGTGTGATCCACCACATTAACAGGCTGAAGAAAAACCACACAATCATATCAATCAGCAAAGAAAAAGCATTTGATGAAATTCAGCTTCCATGTGACAAAAGCTCTCAGCAAACCAAGAGTAGAAGGAAGCCTGTTCAACTTGATTAAAAGCATTGACAAAAAACCCACAGCTAACAGTATGCCCAATGGTGAAAGATGAAACGTTTTTTACCCCAAGACCGGGAACAAGCCCCTCATTTTTATCCAACATTGTACTGGAAGTTCTAGCTAGAGCAATGAACAAGAAGAGGAAATAAAAAGCATGAATATCAGAAAGGAAGAAATAAAACTGTCCTTATTTGCAGATAACATGAATGCTTATGTAGAAAATCTCAAAGAATCCATAACAAAACTCCTACAGCTGTTAAGTGAGTTTAGCAAGGTCTCAGGATATGAGATGAAGGTGCAAAAATCCACTGTACATCTATATACTAGCAATAGGCATATGGATACCAAAATTAAAAACACAATACCATTTATGATTGCTCAACACCAAGAGGAATATTTAGGTGTTAATAACAAAACATGTACAGGACTTGCATGCTGAAACCCATGTAATATTGATGAAAGAAATTAGAGTTTGAATAAATGGAGACACACACTATGTTTGTAGTGTGGAAGACTCAACATAACAAAGAGATCAATCTCCCCAAATTGATATAGGGTGCAACATAATTCCTATCAAAATCCAGACACAATGTTTTTGGTAGATATATACAAGATTATTCTAAAATTTATATAGAAAAGCAAAGGAACTAGAATAAGTAAATATTTTCTTGCATATTTTGAACATAGGGTTTTTTAAACATTTTTTGAAATTTTTTTTGAAAAACAAGAATAAAATGGGAGGACTCAGTCTACCCAATTTCAAAGCTTATTATGTAGCTGTGGTGATCAAGATTGTATGGTATGGTCAGAGGGAGACACATAGATCAATGGAACAGAAGAGAAAATCCAGAGGTGGACCCACACAATATGTGCAACTGATTTCTGACAAAGGCGCAAAAGGAATTCAATGAAGCAAAAATAACCTTTTCAACAAACAGTGCTGGAGCTATTGGATATCCATTGGCCAAAGGGGGAGGAAAAAGACCTTCAACCTCTTAAACCTTCTATAAAAAGTAACCCAAAGTGGATATGAACGTAAATGTAAATTGTAAAACTATAAAACTTTTAGGAAAAATATGGGAGAAAATCTTCAAGATCTGGGGCTGGACAACACCAAAAGCACAATCTATAATATTTATATTCAACAAAATTTAAAACTTCTGCTCTATGAAAGCCCATATAGAAAGGAGGCAAAGAGAAGCTATCACTGGGAGAGGATATTCGAAAACCGCATGTCTGACAAAGGACTGCTATCTGATATTGATAGAATCTCAAAACTCATGACAGGAAAGCAAACAATCCAGTTGTTACATGGTCAAAAGATGTGAAGAGACATTTCACCCAAGAGCACGCACAGATGGCAATGCACACATGGAAAGGTGTTCTTCCACCATTAGGGAAATGTAAATTACAACCGTAAGGGAATACTCCACACCTACCAGGAGGGCCAAAACAAGACTGTGGCAGCGCTAAACTCTGGGGAGGATCCTGAGGAAGAATCTGCTCACCATCGCTGGTGGGAATGTAAAATGGCACGGCCACTCCAGAAAACAGCTTGCCGGTTTCTTCAAAACTAAACGTGCAATTACGACACTTTTAGGCATTTACCCCAGAGAAATAGAAACTTCTATTCACACAAAGGCCTACACAGATGTTTATAGCAGCTTTATAGCTAAACACTGGAAACGATCCAGCCGTCCTTCAACCGGTGAACGGCGAAACGGACTGTGGCACTCTCCTCTGTGGAGCACACCACAGAGACGAGGAGGGAATGGCTGACACCTGGGAACAGTGCTGAGTGAGAAATGCAGGTCCTGAAAGGCTACATAGTGTCTGACTCCATTCATGTGACGTGCTTAGAGAAGTCGTGGTTGCCGGGCATTGAGCAGGGCGGGCTGGGGGAACTTCGGTGCATCTGTGAGCAGCACAGGAGGGTCCCGTGGATGGAGGCGGCCTCTGTCTCAGCCATATGGATGCCAATATCCTCGCTACTTGGCAAGATGTCATCATTACAGGAGACAGAGTTAAGGGTACACAGGATCTCTCTGGATTGTTTCTTAACATGGCATGTAAATCCACAATTATCACAGAATAAAGAGTTTAATTAAAAAGGGATTTTCAGGGCCAAATGAATTTGGGAAACGACATACTTTACTTCTCTTTGAGAGACACGTTCACTCTGAAATCACTGAATAAACCCTGTGATGGACACGTTTCACATATTTTTAACTTTGCTTGTTTAACATATTTAACTTTATTTAACCGAACGCTTCCCAACATGACTGCAGGTGGAACGGCCCCCAGTCCAACAGGAAGCCATCCTCCTCAGACCCTACGCCTCCACAGCATCAGCACCACCTGTGAGCTTGTTACAGGTGCAGTCTTGGCCCACCTGGCCACTGAAGCAGACTCTTTATTCCAGCAAGGTCTCCGGGCGATTCATGTGTGTAGCTGTTTGAGGCATGAACCAGGACAGGCAGCGAGACGTCAGCAGAGACGGCTACACTTCACAAAGCACCACAGTTGCCCCATTGGGTGAGCAGGCAGGAAGGAGTTAACGTGATCCGCCCAAGGTCACTGCTGTGAAGGGCAGGGCTGGGCCCGTGCAGGGCTCCTGGTGAACGATGGGATATCACTCACCTCAAATATTTACTCGTGATCCACCTGCCAAAGCCCTCAGGAGACCGTGGGGACGTCGGCTCGGTCTGCGGGCCCTCGCTTCGGCCTCTGTAGACCCTGCCAGGTGCAGCCCCCAGTGCCCTCCCACAGTTGCCTCTTCTCCCACGTGGAATGGGGTGGGCTGACAGTCTCCACCTCTCTATGCTCCGGCATTCTTCCTTTCTGCGACCCTTTGCTTCCTCCCTGTGTGAGCTGGAACCAATCCCCTGCTGAATTCCTCCTCATTCTTCTCCAAACCTTTATTGAGTACCTACTGTGTGCTGGAATAAGACAGGCAGGGCCATGCCCTCATGAAGCTGACAATCCTATTGGTGTGACCATCCCCAGGTGTGTCCCAGGTGTGTTGCAGGTGTGTCCGAGGTATGCCCCAGCTGTCCCAGGTGTGCCCCAGCTGTCTCAGATGTGCCCCAGCTGTCCCAGGTGTGTCACAGCTGCATTGCAGGTGTGCCCCAGTTGCATTCCATGTGTGCTCCAAGTGTGTACCAGCTGTCCCAGGTGTGTCTCAGGTGTGCCCCAGCTGTATCCCAGGTGTGCCTCAGCTGTCTTAGGTGTGTCTCAGGTGCATCCCAGGTGTGTCTCAGATGTGCCCCAGCTGTCCCAGGTGTGCCCCAGCTGTCCCAGGTGTGCCCCAGCTGTCTCCAGTGTGTCCCAGCTGTGCCCCAGGTGTGTGTCCTAGGTGTGCCTCAGCTGTCTCAGGTGTGCCCCAGGCATATCCCAGGTGTGCCCCAGCTGTCCCAGGTGTGTCCTACGTGTGCACCAGCTGTATCCCAGGTGTGCCCCAGGTGTGTCTCAGATGGGTCCCAAGTGTTCCCCAACTGCATTTCAGGTGTCTCAGGTGTGCCCAAGCTGTCCCAGGTGTGTCCAAGATGTGCCCCAGGTGTGTCTCAGGTGGGTCTCAAGTGCCCCAGCTGCATTTCAGGTGTCTCAGGTGTGCCCCCCAGTGCATCCCAGGTGTGTCCCAGGTGTGCCCCAGGTGCATCCCAGGTGTGTCCCAGGTGTGCCCCAGCTGTCTCAGGTGTCTCAGGTGTGCCCCAGGCATATCCCAGGTGTGCCTCAGCTCTCCCAGGTGTGTCCTACATGTGCACCAGCTGTATCTCAGGTGTGTCTCAGGTGTGCCCCAGATGTGCCCCCGGTGTGTCTCAGGTGGGTCCCAAGTGTTCCCCAGCTGCATTTCAAGTGTCTCAGGTGTGCCCCAGGTGTGCCCCCGCTGTCCCAGGTGTGTCCAAGATGTACCCCAGGTGTGTCCCAGCTGTCCCAAGTGTGTCTCAGGTGTGCCCCAGGTGTGTTCCAGGTGTTCCCCAGCTGTCCCAGCTGTCCCAGGTCTCAGGTGTGCCCCAGGTGTGTTCCAGGTGTTCACCAGCTGTCCCAGCTGTCCCAGGTCTCAGGTGTGCCCCAGGTATGTTGCAGGTGTTCCCCAGCTGTCCCAGCTGTCCCAGGTGTGTCCCAGGTGTTCCCCAGGTGTGTCCCAGCTGTCCCAGGTGTGTCCCAGATGTGCCCCAGGTGTACCCCAGGTGTTTCTCAGGTGGATTCCAGGTGTGTCCCAGGTGAGCCCCAGCTGTATTCCATATGCGTCCCTCTGAGTGGGGCCTTGGTTTGATGTAGCTCCGGGGATCTTCTGCTCCCTGGTCCTGGTGTCACCAGCAACTGCCTCTTGACAATCCTGCCTTGCCTGCAAACCCCAGGTGAGAAGAAGACAAATGACTGGGAACTGACCCCTCAGTAAGCGCTGGTGGTCTCACCTACAGACCCCCAGGAAGCTGGTCACTGTGGGCTTCTTTTCCTCTCTAAATTCCTATTATCAGGTGGTTTTCTTTCTCATTTGCTATTTTCTTAAAAATAAAAATAGGGAAAAACAGCCTTTGTAAATTACGGTTTCTTCCGGCTCCATCCTCTCCGTCAGGCCCACATCCCAAGGAAACAGCAGGCTTGAGCCTGGCTGCTGAAGCCAGGGGCTGGATGGAGCAGCTCAGAACAGAGCTTTGAGTGCCTCTCCAGCCAGGGGCCCCAGAAGCCTGGTGGTTGTTTGTCCTTCTCAGGGGAAAAGTGAGGCGGCCCCTTGGAGGAAGGGGCCGGGCAGAATGATCTAATCGGATTCCAAGCAGCTCAGGGGATTGTCTTTTTCTAGCACCTTCTTGCCACTCCTAAGCGTCCTCCGTGACCCCGGCTGGGATTTAGCCTGGTGCTGTGTCAGCCCCGGGCTCCCAGGGGCTTCCCAGTGGTCCCCAGGAACCCTCGACAGGGCCAGGGCGTCTCTCTCGTCCAGCAAGGGCAGGGACGGGCCACAGGCCAAGGGCAGCAGTCAGGCCTGCTCTGTCTGTGAACGCTCCCGGCTTGGCCTCGGCTGATGGGCCCTCACGCCTGAAGCGGGCAGGAAGCTCCGGGATGGATTTCGGGTCTTTGGAGACCGTGGTGGCCAACTCTGCCTTCATCGCCGCCCGAGGCAGCTTTGACGGCAGCAGCTCCCAACCCTCCCGGGACAAGAAGTACCTGGCCAAGCTCAAGCTGCCCCCGCTGTCCAAGTGTGAGTCCCTCCGCGACAGCCTCAGCCTGGAGTTTGAGAGTGTGTGCTTGGAGCAGCCCATCGGCAAGAAGCTCTTTCAGCAGTTCCTACAATCGGCAGAGAAGCACCTGCCGGCCCTGGAGCTCTGGAAAGACATCGAGGACTATGACACGGCAGACAATGACCTCCAGCCACAGAAGGCCCAGACCATCCTGGCCCAGTACCTGGACCCCCAGGCCAAACTCTTCTGCAGCTTCCTGGATGAGGGGATAGTGGCGAAGTTTAAGGAGGGGCCTGTGGAGATCCAGGACGGGCTCTTCCAGCCCCTGCTGCAGGCCACCCTGGCACACCTGGGCCAAGCCCCCTTCCAGGAGTACCTGGGCAGCCTGTACTTCCTGAGGTTCCTGCAGTGGAAGTGGCTGGAAGCCCAGCCCATGGGGGAGGACTGGTTCCTGGACTTCAGGGTCCTAGGGAAAGGGGGCTTCGGGGAGGTGTCGGCCTGCCAGATGAAGGCGACCGGCAAGCTGTATGCCTGCAAGAAGCTGAACAAGAAGCGGCTGAAGAAGAGGAAGGGCTACCAGGTGAGCAGCGCGACCCGGCCAGCAGGGATGGGGTGGCAGGGTGCAGGGATGGGGCGGCAGGGTGCAGAGGGCCCCCAGGTCACTGTCGGCTCCGGGGCCCTTAACAGCTGGTGCCTAAGGGAGCATGCATGCCAGCCTCGCCACGTGGGCGCCCCGCGGCCGTGCGGTTACGAGCAGTTCCAGTCCATGTGCAGAAGTCCCTCCTCGGAGAGTGACCTCCACATTTTTGGGTGGGGACGTGCCACGTTCACTCGTCGGTTTTTCACCAACCACAGACTAGCCTCAAGTGTGGGGGAAAGAGGACCTCTCAGGGGAGGCTGAAGAGGGGCAGGGTCTCCGGATTCTTTGCCATGACTGTGGAAGACTTTCCAGGGCCCTGGCTCCTCTGATCGCAGCGAATGCAGGAGGAACTGAGGCAGGACGGAGGCAGCCTCGCTCTGATGACAGTTTCTGTGAGGCAGAGCCTGGCGTGACGCCGGGGGCAGGAACTGTTCCCCTGAGTGTGCTGTCCTCGGGGGTGGGAGTGAGCGACGGGCACGCAGGCCGCTCTAAGTTTCATCCGCTCTGCCCACTGGCGTCAGACTGTGCATCTGGGGCAGGATCAGCAGAAGCTGCTTACAGGTCTTAAGGGTGAGGGGCAGCGGCTGTGCCGGGTGTGGACGTGATCTCCTGAGCCAGCCCCCTGCACTTTGACTCCACGTGGCTCCTGGCCCCTCTCCCACCACGCAGCTGTGTTGAGTGCACAGGAAGCTCTTAGGGTTAAGCAGCAGCCACTGTGCACCCTGGCTCTGCGGAACCTCAACCCTCAGTGAAGGTGAAATACCAGGTGCTCACAGCGCTGGGCGGAGGCCCTGGAACATCTGCGTGTTCTCGCCGTGGAACTCGGGGCGAGTAACTATGCTGTGTGGTTGTAGCAGTAATTTTTAAAAATTAGCTTTCTTGACATCTAATTCCCCCACCGTGCCATTCACATCTAACTGTAAATTTAACCCAACATTCAGCCTCTTTTCCTGACTTCCGTCACCAAACTGAACTCCATACTGACATCAACTGAACACCTCCCCATGTAAGTGCAGAAAGGGGCCTCCGACATCAGGAATTCCCTCTTCAAAGAGGGATGTGCTATCCTTATCCAGACACTTACAAACTCGTTCAATGGAGCATTGTGAGGTTTCAAAATAAAGACAAAATGAAGCAGAGTGGTGAGGGGGTTTGGGAGGTGCTGGTCTGGGAGCCCAGCCCACGGGGGCCTGGACAGGAGGGAGGGCTGTGGCTGCAGGATTGCTGGGCAGGCGGGGCTGGCAGGGTCCTCACCCATGTTGCTCAGCCTTGGGGCTTGAGCCTCCCCTTGCCAGAGGCTGGCCCAGAAGACCAGAAGTCCCCTGTATGTGAAGGAATTCACATGTCTGGTTTTCTGAAATGGGGGTGCAGGCATGTTTTGAAGTCATTTGCAATTGCTTTGTGAAAGGCGCATTTAAAGCATGTTTGCGACTGCTCCGTGGCTGTGTGCAGTGGGCGTGGCCGGGTGCACACGGTCTCTGCGATGCACCTAGTCCCTTTCCTATTCAAAGCCAGTGCGTACTCAGCGTCTCACTTTTCAGGGTGCTATGGTGGAGAAGAAGATTCTGATGAAAGTACACAGCAGGTTCATCGTGTCTCTGGCCTATGCGTTTGAAACCAAAGCCGACCTCTGTCTGGTGATGACCATCATGAACGGAGGTGACATCAGGTAAGGGCTGGGCCAGAGGGCACGAGGGGGCCCCGCTGTCCCACTGGGTCAGGGTTTCCAGGGCCCGGGCTCCTTTCCACAGGCAGAGCCATGGTGGCCCCAGGCCTGCCCTCGAGGGAAGCCTTGCACCCATCACAATCCCCTTCTCGCTGTTGGTTCCTGAAACAATGCACCCTGGACCCACATCGGAGCAGGAGCCTGGGAGGCGCCCAACCTGACAATCAGGGCTCGTCCTGTGTGTGGTCTTGGTGTGGGTGTGGGAGGCACGTGGTGCTGTGGGGGACGTGTGATGCAGTCGGCGGGGCCTCTGCAGGGCTGAGGGCCTTGCACCAGGAGGGTAAATGAAGACGAACTTCACCAGCGCCCACTCCTAGGGCTGACCCTAGAGCTGGAGACAAGATCAGTCCAGCTGGGGGCCGTGATCTTGCTGTCCCCAGGCAGAGAGGAGGTGGCGCTGCCTCCACAAAGTCCTGCCCCGGATCTGCCGCTGAGACAGGCCCCAGGCCCGTGCTGGGGATCAGATCACAGGCTCGCTTGGTAGCTGGGCCGCTTAGCCACTGCGTGCTTCTGTTTCCTGGTCTGTAAAATGGGGAGAGATAATATCTGAGTCCAGAGACTGTCCGGAGATTAAGACAATACGTGTGAAATACCTGCAGTGTCTGATGCCCGTAAGGTTAGCAGTGGGCAGGGGCCATGGCTGTGGCTGGCAGCACCATGCCCCATTCTCACCTGCTTTTAATTTCCAAGGAAATTCCTCCAGGTGAGGCTGGTGGCCCCATTTTTCAGATGAGAAATGTGAGTCCAGACTAAGTCACCACGCGGAGGGGGCACTGGGAAGCGCAGACACAGGGGTGTCCAGGCGGAGGGGAGGGGGCGCTGGGAAACGCAGACACAGGGGTGCCCAGGCGGAGGGGAGGGGGCGCTGGGAAACGCAGACACGGGGTGCCCAGGCGGAGGGGAGGGGGCGCTGGGAAACGCAGACACGGGGGTGCCCAGGCGGAGGGGAGGGGACATTGGGAAGTGCACACACAGGGTTGTCCAGGAGGAGGGGAGGGGTGCTAGGAAGCGCGGTCACAGGGGTGCCCAGGGAGGGCCTGGTGGCTCTGGCCGCCTTGTGGTCCGCCTGGCTCCAGGGCCTCCTCTCCTGTTTCCTGTGACGATACTCCTGGTGCCACCTCGTTTAAATTATTTCTTGTTTAAATCATTTCTTTTATTTGTTAGGTTTTGCTTCTCTGCAAAACCTGTCCGTGGAAAACATAAGAGATGATGTTCTATGGGGGAGGAAAGAGGCTGAGAAGAAACACCTTACTGCAAATCTTTCATGAGTCTGATGAACTTGGGGCCTGCGGAGCTGCATCCCACCTCGGCCTCGGCCTGGCCCCTTCCTGAGACGGTCTGGGCTGTTTCCTAGCACCTGCGGCCCGCGCTGGAAAGCAGGCGGACAGGAGACGCACGTGGACAGCACTTTCTCCCTGTTAGCAGTTGGGGTTCAGGGTCCCTGAGCTGCTAACGCCGCCAGCCACCATGGCCTTCGGGTGTCCTCTGCAGGGACGTAGGGGGGCCAGGCCTCAAAACGACCAGAACGCTGGCCGAGAGACATGGTTCTGAGGCCCCAGCTCTGTCTTTCCATGATTTTACTCCCCATTAAACCCGGGGTGCATGGTTCCCACGTGTCTTCCCCCAGGTACCACATCTACAACGTGAATGAGGAGAACCCTGGCTTCCCGGAGCCGCGCGCCCTCTTCTACACGGCGCAGATCATCTGCGGCCTGGAGCACCTGCACCAGAGGCGGATCGTCTACCGCGACCTCAAGCCCGAGAACGTGCTGCTGGACAATGACGGTAGGAGGTGCCCTCGGCTGGGAGGGATGAGGGCTACGAGGAGGGCGGGGCGCAGCTTCCTTGGGGGTCTCTGCACAACCTCACGAGGGCTGACGGCTGTGTGGACGGTGGGGGTTCATGAGGGCTGACGGCTTCGTGGACGGTGGAGGTGTCATCGGGCACCAGGAGTCACAGGAGTGAGTGCAGGGGTCTGTGGTGCAGAACCAGCTGGGAACGGCGAGTCTGTTACGCCCAGTCCCCACCTTCCTTCTGCCTGAATGAGGCGTCACACAGGGATTCTTCTCAGAAATAAACACGAGGGTTTAGGCTCCCGACAGCGGCAGGTCAGGCAAGTGCGAGACACGTGCCAGGGCCCTGAGAGAGTGCGTGGGGGGCGGGGCGAGAGCCGAGGTGGGAGGATCTCGGTGGGCAACACTCACGCTCAGCTGTGGCACGGCCGGCCCTCTTCCCTACACCCTGCGCCCTCCACCGTCAGCCAGGGAGCCACTGTCAGTGTGCGTGGTGTGTGCTGTGTGCGCGTATGTGGTTTGTGGGGTGTGTGTGTGTGTTGTGTGTGGTGTGTGTGTGGCATATGGTGTGTATGTGTGTGCAGTGTGTGGTGTGTGATTGTGTGGTGTGTGCGGTGTGTGTAAGTCTGACTGGGGTGCTGGGGCCTCGTGGTCACTTGGTATGTGTATGTGTGGTGTGTGGTACCTGTATGGTGTGGTATCTGGTGTGGTACGTGGTATGTGTGGTATTGTGTGTGGTATGTGGAATGTGGTGTGTTCGTGGTGTGGTGTGTGTGGTATGTGTGGTATTGTGTGTGGCGTATGTGTGTGGTATCTGTATGGTGTGGTACATGGTATGTGTGGTAAATTGTGTGGTGTGTGTGTGTGAGGTGTGTATGTAGTCTTTGGTTGTTTTTGTACAGTATATATCAATTCTGTGTAATCTGCCATAATTATAGCAATCAAAATTTGTTCACTCAGATCCCAAGATTTGTTTAGAACTAAACAAGTATGGTTATACAAAATTTTACTTCTCTGACCAAAATGTTCTTTCAGTGTACCCTCCTTAGCCTTTGGGTTTTGCCAATATTGTGTCTATTTACCTCAACCTAATTGTTTGTATCACCACATTTATCTCATTTTTCTCTTCCCTCTCTCTTAACTCTGTCTTGCTCTCCATTAGCTGAAATTTTTCTTTTGATGCCATTTAATGTTACAGAAACTTTATAATTATTTGCAAAACTTTCATTTTTTTTCTTCAAGAGATAGAGAACACATTGTTGAAAAGGTGAATAATTCTTTCATTCTAGATTCACTGTTTACAAATAGCCTAGAAGAAGAATGTATTCAAAGTTTAGAGCAAAGAATGTTTTAATG